>NC_000008.11:11929863-12234345 GCF_000001405.40 Homo sapiens | reverse complement strand
AGGCAATTGAAATGTTTACCGCCTTCCCTCAAGACAAACACCAAATAAAAATTATTTTCAAAATGCATAGCAACACTTCTTAAAATCTTATTTTCCCATCTCTTTCTCTCTCTCTACCACATTCCCAGGAGTTTCCCAGGAGCAAAACTGTCATAAAGACCCAGGAGCAAAATGATTAGTGACTTCACGATATCTGATTCTCATTTAGTTGGTTTAGAGTGGTGTCCGGGCATACGTATTTTTTAAAATCTTGCTGGGCACAGTGGCACACACCTGTAGTCTCAGCTACTCAGGAGGCTAACGCAGAAGAATCACCTGAGCCCAGGAGTTTGAGTCCAGCCTGGGCAACGTAGCAAGACCCTGTCTCTGAAAAAAAAGAAAAAAAAGCAAAAACAAATCTCTCTCAGCTTCAGTCAGGGTTGATAACTAGTTGATCAAAAAATTGTGGTAGTCATCCTTCACAATGGACCTTAATATTCCCACCTCCTGGTGTTATTCACTGTGGAATCTGTCTTAGCTAGTCCTCAACTGGGTCTGGTATCCAGGCCCCACCTTGAGAGTCTAGTCCCACCTCCTACCCCACACATGGTTTTACACTTACTTTCAAGACTGGCCTAAAAATGTAAAATGTATTTGTTTTGACCTTGTTTCCAATGAAACAACTGTTCTAAACATTCCTTTAGGATGGTTAGGGAAATTTGAACACCGGCTAAATATTAGAAGATATTTGTTTCAAAATAACCCAGCTTGGTAATGAGATGATGGCGGCTGAGGCTGGTGATAGGCACAGAGGGCTTCATTATCAAATATAAACAAGTGGAAAAAACAGAACTTTTCCACAGTACAAATATAAGGTAAACAAGAAAATGTATTGAGTGCATAAAAAGAATCTATGGTCTCACAGGCATTAGCTTATAATTTGAACATCAAAAATAAAAGTGACAGCCGGGTGCAGTGGCTGATGCCTGTAATCCCAGCACTTTGGGAGACCTAGGTGGGTGGATCACTTAAGCCCAGGAATTTGAGACCAGCCTGAGCAACATAGTGAGACCCCCATCTCTAAAATAAATAAATATAAACAAAAGTGACTAGAATTGATTATAGAACATCAACTCGATTTGAGTCTATAAAGATTACTGGTGAAGGGGGGCAATGGGGAGAAGGAGGAAGAGAATATATTTGTGACCTAAATTATTTTCCTTAGTTTTGAGAGAATCTTCGGGTCTCCTGGGTCTTCTAGCCCAGTATTTATTTTTATTTTTTATTTATTTGTGTATTTATTTTTTTATGTTTTTAGATGGAGTCTCACTCTGCCACCAGACTGGAGTGCAGTGGTGCGATCTCGGGCCACTGCAACTTCCGCCTCCCAGGTTCAATCTATTCTCCTGTCTCAGCCCCCCAAGTAGCTGGGACTACAGGTACCTGCCACTTCACCCAGATATTTTTTTTTTTTTTTTTTTTTTGAGACAGAGTCTGGCTCTGTTGCCCAGGCTGGAGTGCAGTGGTGCAATCTCGGCTCACTGCAAGCTCCTCCTCGAGGTTCATGCCATTCTCCTCCCTCAGCCTCCCGAGTAGTTGGGACTACAGGAACCTGCCACCACGCCCGGCTAATTTTTTTGTGTTTTTAGTAAAGACAGGGTTTCATCGTGTTAGCCAGGATGGTCTCGATCTCCTGACCTCGTGATCTGCCCGCGTCGGACTCCCAAAGTGCTGGGATTACAGGCATGAGCCACTGTGCCCGGCCGCACCCAGCTAATTTTTGTATTTTTTGTAGAGATGGTGTTTCACCATGTTGATCCAGCTGGTCTCAAACTCCTGACCTTAAGTGATCCGCCCACCTTGGCATCCCAAAATACAAGGATTACAGGCATGAGCCACCACACCCTGCCTATTTTCCTTAGTTTTCAGAGAACCTTTGTGTCCCCTGAGTGTTCTAGCCCAGTATATCTCAAACTTTGCTGCATCAAGGACCTTGTTGAAATGCAGGTTCTCATCTGGGAGGCTCAGTGGGCCGGCAAATCTGCACTGGTTTAGGAAGCTCACCCTGAGTACCAAGCTTCAGTGAGGATCAGGCAGGCCCCTGCCTACCAACCCCCTCTCAGCTGGGCTTAACTCTGTCTCTCTCCTGCCTGGGTTCCTCCTCTCAAAATAGGAGCTATTTTCAAAAAGTCTCTTGGAAAAAAAGCCCTGTTTTAAAATTGGGGTGTTCAGGATTGGCCATCTGCTCACCATGGGGTTTTAAGACCTTTGCCCATAACCCTGTAACCAACGTAGAACTGACGTCTTTACTTTTGAAGGCCCCACTCCACACCATATTAAATTAATTAAAATCAACCCGCATTACAGGCATATCTCAGGCATCATGCCCTCAGAAAGGAGTTGCAGCTGATCACTTGACAATGTTGTAAGGCATTAAACATGCATTCATTTCAGCCTTGCAGTTTTCACATTTAGGAGCCAATTGTCTTAGGTCTAAAGCATTCATGCCGAAGCATTGTTATGGGCCCCAGACACTATGCTCCCCAGCCTTAATGGCCTCTGCAATGCTGGTTCCTACTGGCCCACCCCTGGGTTCTGGCCGGCTAGCCCGCGCCACCTCACTGCTCCCCCATTCAAGTGTGCCTTAAATGTGTGGTTTCCAAACTCATCTACACTTTAGGGTCACCTGGGATTTTTTTTTTTAAATCTTCCAAAACCCAGGCCACTCCCAAGAACAATTAAACCTCAACCTCTGGAATGGGACATAGACTCCGTTTTTTGTTTTGTTTTGTTTCTGAGACAGGGCCTCGCTCTGTTACCCAGGCTGGAGTGCAGTGGCACAATCATAGCTCACTACAGGCTCCAACTCCTGGGCTCAAGAAACCCTCCCACTTCAACCTCCACAGTAGCTGGGATCACAGGCGGGCACCACCACGCCTGGCTAATTTTTAATTTTTTTATAGAGACAGTATCTCCTTATGTTCTCCAGGCTAGTCTCAAACTCCTGGGATCAAGTGATACTCCCGCCTCAGCGTCCCAAACTGCTGGGATTATAAGCATGAGCCACCATGCCTGGACATCAGCATCTCTATTTTTTGAAGCACAGACGAGTTTGGGAACTACCGCGCTAGACTGAGCTCGGATTCCTAGCCCTGTCTGACCGTAGGATTCGGCTGGGCTGCTTCTGAAAACAGAGCTCCCCAGGCTCCTTCCCAGGTAATTCTGATTCATTAGGTCTGGGGTGGGCCCCGGAATGTGCATTTTTTATGAGATCCCTCTGGGTGAATCTGGCTAAAGCCAGTTTGGGATCTGAGACCTTGGAGATCATTCCCCAGCTTCCCTCCTAACCCAGTTCCCGGCTTGGCCCACCTCACCCAGGCTGTGTCACGTCTGACTTCACAGATTACACCTGAGAGGGAAGCCCCAGCCATCACAATGTAAGAATATTTTACAATGACGAGGAAATGCCAAGTACATTTTAAGACTCATTCAGGATTAGCGTTCACCTTAAACTTGACAGACTCAGAGAATGGGCTGGCCACGTGCTGTGCACAACCCTTAGTGCCCTTCTGTGACTAATATTTGGATAATTGATTGTTGGAAGCTCAGGAAGCCTCTCTCTCTCTCAGAGGGGTTGAAGTTAACTTCTTTATTTCTGAGGTAGGGAAGAAAATGAGAATGTTCTGCCTTTTGCTAGACTGAATACTGTCCTCCAAAAATTCACATTCACCAGGAATCCCAGAATGTGACCTTATTAGAAAATAGGGGCAGGGCATGGTGGCTCATGCTTGTAATCTTAGCACTTTGGGAGGCTGAGGCAGGAGGATCACTTGAGGTCAGGAGTTCGAGACCAGCCTGGCTAGCATGGCAAACCCTGTCTCTACTAAAAACATAAAAATTAGCTAGGCATGGTGGCGTGCACCTGTAATCCCAGCTACTTCAGAGGCTGAGGCTGAAGAATCACTTGAACCCAGGAGGCAGAGTTGAAGCGAGCTGAGATTGTGTCACTGAACTCCAGCCTGGGCAACAGAGCAAGACTCCATCACAAAAAAAAGAAAAGAAAATAGGGTCACTGCAGATCTAATTACAAAGAGGTCATATTGGAATAGCGTGAACCTTAAATCGAGTAATAATGGCATTCCTCATGGGAAGAGAAGAAGAGACAGAGACACACAGGGGAGAAGGCCACATGAGAATGAAGGAAGAGAATGGAATGATGTGGCCACAAGCCAAGGAATGCCAGCAACCACCAGAAGCCAGAAGAGGCAAGGAAGGATTCATCCCTAGAGCCTTCAGAGGGAGCACGGCCCTGCCGGTTTCAGACATCAAGCTTCTGGAACTGGAGAGAATGACTTTCTGTTGTCCTGAGCCACCCATTTGGGGAACTTTGTTAGAACAGTCACAGCCAGGTCATGTGCTCCTGGATGCATCTCAGGCATTAATAAGCACTGTCCTGGCCAGTCAGGGTTGCTCACCCCTGTAATCCCAGCACTTTGGGAGGCTGAGGTGTGTAGATCACCTGAGGTCAGGAGTTCGAGACCAGCCGGACCAACATGGAGAAACCCCATCTCTACTAAAAATACAAAAATTAGCTGGGTGTGGTGTTGTGCACCTGTAATCCCAGCTACTTGGGAGGCTGAGGTAAGAGAATCACTTGAACCCTGGAGGCAGAGGTTGCAGTGAACCGAGACTGCACCATTGCCCTCCAGCCTGGGCAACAAGAGCAAAACTCCGTCCCCCCAAAAAAATAATAAGTACTGTCTTGACTGTGGTCATCAAAAATATTTGATTAAGGGTTAGCTAGAAAGCCTGACCCTTTCACAGACAGACGGAAGGGCCAAAAGAAAATAGATTGTTTGCAGTGGGGCAAGAAGGATAAGAATCCTATGGAAAAAAAAATAACAGAGGGATTTGTTTAGTGAGCGCTGGGGAGAGGCATTTGTTTTCTTGCTTGAAAAAGAAACACACGTTGGGTGCGGTGGCTAAAGCCTTAATCCCAGCACTCTGGGAGGCCAAGGTGGGTGGATCACCTAAGCTCAGGAGTTTGAGACCAGCCTGGCCAACACTGTGAAACCCCATCTCTACTAAAAAGACAAAAACAAAGAAAGAAAGAAATTAGCCAGGCACGGTGGTGGGCGCCTGCAATCCCAGCTACTCGGGTGGCTGAGGCAGAGAATCACTTGAACCTGGGAGGCAGAGGTTGCAGTAAGCCAAGATGGCATCATTGCACTCCAGCCTAGGCAACAAGAGTGAAACTCTGTCTCAACCAAAAAGAAAGAAAGAAAGAAAGAAAACCATAGTTTTAAGTCCACTCAGTGGAGTTTAAAAATACATTCCCATTGCACAGTGCTTTTGGAATCTTTTCTAAACTTCTGTTGCACATGGTCTAATTTGATCTTCATAGCAACTCCCTGAGGTGGATAGGGCAGGCCTTTCTGAACACCTATTTTCTAGTTTGCATTAAAAGAACGGAATTGGCTGGGACCAGTGCCTCATGCCTATAATCCCAAAACTTTGTGATACAGAAGGGAAGTGCTCAGAAGGGAAGAATGTGGTCCCTTTAAATGATATGGAAGTGAGGAAGGGAAGTACTGGGTAGAGGAGGGTGTGGTCCCTGGCTAGGGCTCCACCCCAGGGCCTGTGTCCACGGACCTAGGTGAGGACTGGCATTTTTGTTTTCCTGCCCAGATGTTGCATTTCCCAAGACCACCCTGGCTGCCAAACCCCCCTTCTGTGCCTATAAAAACCCTGAGACCCTAGCAGGCAGACACAGGCAGCTGGACTTCGAGAGGAGCACATCAGCGGAGGAACACAAGGGTGCTGGACGTCAAGAGGAACGCACCAATGGGCACCGTCACACCGCAGGCCACTGACTGCAGAACAACGCAGAGTTTGGCTGGGACATTCGGAGAAGAGTCCGGCCACTAAACCAACTCCAGGGGTAAACCATCTCCCTTCTGGCTCCCCCATCAGCTGAGAGATACTTCCACTCAATAAAACCTTACACTCTCACGCCTGTAATCCCAGAACTTTGGGAGGCCGAGGCGGGCAGATCACGAGGTCAGGAGCTCCAGACCATCCTGGCTAACACAGTGAAACCCCATCTCTACTAAAAATACAAAAAAATTAGCCAGGCGTGGTGGCGGGTGCCTGTAGTCCCAGCTACTTGGGAGGCTGAGGCAGGAGAATGGCGTGAACCCAGGAGTCGGAGCTTGCAGTGAGCTGAGATCGCACCACTTCCGGTACACCAAGGCAAGAACCCCGGCACAAAGAGAGCCCTCTCTCCTTGCAATAAGGCAGGGGTCTAATTGAGCCGACTAACAAAAGCTACCTACAGACGGCTAAACTAAAAGAGCACCCTGTAACACACGCCCACTGGGGCTTCAACTATAAACATTCACCCCTGGACACTGCCATGGGTCTCCCTACCTGTCTGCATGCTCTCCTAGAGGTTTGAGCAGTGGGGCACTGAATAAACGAACCACACCCGCATCGCATGCCCTTCGAGGGGGACAACAGAACTTTTCCCATTTCATCTGAGAGGCCAAGGCAGGAGGATCGCTTGGGCCCATGAGTTTGAGACCAGCCTACACAACATAGCAAGACACCATCTCTACAAAAAAAAAAATAAGTAAACAAAAAAAAAGCATTAAAAATTAGCCAGCTGTGGTGGCACACACCTGTAGTTTCAGCTACTCAGGAGGCTGATGTGGAAGGATTGATTGAGCCCAGGAGATTGAGGCTGCAGTGAGCCAAGATTGAACCACTGCACTCTAGCCTGGGCGACAGAGTGAGACCCTGTTTCGACAACAACAAAAAGAATGGAACAAAATAACTTCTCAAATAGCTAGCAGAGGGAGATCTGGTTCTCAAATGCAGGTTTTCCAGGTTTCAATTCTTGTTTCTAGCAGTATTATGGAGAAACATGATCACTAATACATGAAGGAGAGGAGGTTTCAAGTTCTGATGAAAAGATGGTAAAGAGAGGAGTTAGTTGACTAGGAGCGACTAGGAATAGGAAGAAAATGCGTGACACTACTTAGAGGAAAGAAGAAAAATAAGCATAGAGGTGACTGAGCAGACAGAAAGGACTTGGAAGAAGCGTGTTTGGCCCTGTCTCTAACTTTTTTCCCTTGCATTAGTAACTTCCCTGATGACTTGGATGAATCTTCTCTTCCAGGGTACCTAGTGCTCCCTTTCTGTCCACTTCTCCTTTCCCAGGGCCCATACAGTCTGGGAAAGCATGCTCTGCAGGCTTCTCATATCTTTCCTTCCTTAATCTGCCCCTAGCATCTCTACATAACCCATATATACCTGGAGTTCCACATGTTCCAGTCTTTGCACTGCAGTGAATTCAAAGAATTGTAGACTCTAGCTGGGCGCAGGGGCTCACACCTGTAATCCCAGCACTTTGGGAGGCTGAGGCAGGTGGACCACTTGAGCCCAGGAGTTCAAGACCAGGCCCGGCCAACATGGTGAAACCCCATCTCTACTAAAAATACAAAAATTAGCTGGGCTTGGTGGTACATGCCCAGTAGTCCCAGCTTCTAGGGAGGCTGAGGCAGAAGAATTGCTGGAACCCAGGAGGCAGAGGTTGCAGTGAGCTGAGATCGTGCCACTGCACTCCAGCAGACTGGGCAACAGAGACCAGTCTCAAAAAAAACACAAAGACAAAACTAAACAAAAAAAAAAAAAACAAAAAACAAAAAACGCGCACACACAAAAAAACAAAGGTAGACTCCAATAGGAAAAATTCACTCAAAAGCAACTCAAATAATTATTCAGTCAACCCAGTTCTATCTCAGTTCTTTATTATATATATAAACTTATTCTGTCCAGATTCCCTAGTTTTCTTTTTCTTATCTTTTTTGTTTTCTTTTGAGACAGGACCTCACTCTGTCACCCAGGCTGGAGTATAGTGGCACAATCATGGCTCACTGCAGCCTCAACCTCCTGGGCTGAAGTAGTTCTCCCACCTCAGCCTCCCAAGTAACTGGAACTACAGGTGCATGCCACCATGCTCAGCACCTTTTTGTATTTTTTGTAGAAACGGGGTCTCGCTATGTGGGCCAGGCTGGTCTTGAACTCCTGGACTCAAGAAGTCCGCCTGCCTCAACCTCCCAAAGGGCCAAGATTACAAGCATGAGCCACTGCATCTGGCTGATTCCTTAGTTTTCTTTTTCTCTTTGCCCATTGCCTGGATTCCATAAGCAGAAGGAAAACCCAGGGACTGACTTTGTAGGCAAGACCCTTTCCTCTTCAAAACATAAATTGGCTCAAGTGGTACCAAAACTGAAACATGTTTATAACTTAACATCTTTTCTTCCTACCCCTTCAATCTCTTGAGCAATGAGAAAAGGCACTGGGCTCTTTATTTGTGTAGGGAAAAGAAAGAGAGATCCGACTGTCACTGTGTCTATGTCGAAAGGGAAGACATAAGAGACTCCATTTTGAAAAAGATCTGTACTTAAAACAATTGCTTTGCAGAGATGTTGTTCATTTGTAGCTTTGCCCCAGCCACTTTGCCCCAACCACTTTGACCCAACTTGGAGTTCACAAAAACATGTGTTGTATAAAATCAAGGTTTGAGGGATCTAGGGCTGTGCAGGATGTGCCTTGTTAACCAAATGTTTACAAGCAGTATACTTGGTAAAAGTCATTGCCATTCTCTAGTCTCAATAAACCAGGGGCACAATACACTGTGGAAAGCCGCAGGGACCTCTGCCCTTGAAAGCAGGGTATTGTCCAAGGTTTCTCCCCATGTGATAATCTGAAATATGGCCTCGTGGGATGAGAAAGACCTGACTGTCCCCCAGCCCGATACCCATAAAGGGTCTGTGGTGAGGTGAATTAGTAAAAGAGGAAAGCCTCTTGCAGTTGAGATGGAGGAAGGCCACTGTCTCCTGCCTGCCCCTGGGAACTCAAAGTCTCGATGTAAAACCCGATTGTACATTTGTTTAAGTCTGAGATCGGAGAAAAGCTGCCCTGTGATGGGAGGCAAGACATGTTTGCAGCAATGCTGCCTTGTTATTCTTTACTCCACTGAGATTTTTGGGTGGAGAGAAACATAAATCTGGCTTACGTACACGTCCAGTCATAGTACCTTCCCTTGAACTTAATTATGATATAGATTCTTTTGCTCACATGTTTTTTGTTGACCTCCTTATTATCACCCTGCTTTCCTAGTATATTCCTTTTTGCTGAAATAATGAAAATCATAATCAATAAAAACTGAGGGAACTCAGAGGCCGGTGCCTGTGCATGTCCTTGGTGTGCTGAGTGCCGGTCCCCTGGACCCACTGATGTTTCTCTATACTTTGTCTCTGTGTCTTATTTCTTTTCTCCGTCTCTCATCCCACCTGACTAGAAATACCCACAGGTGTGGAGGGGCAGACCACCCCTTCATCTGGAGCCCAGCGTGGGGCCCTTCTCTAGGGTGAAGGTACGCTAAGAACGTGAGCATTGAGGACAGCCGATGAGAGATTCCCGAGTACGTCCACAGTCAGCCTTGCGGTTAGCTTGTGTGCTGGGAGGAATCCAGGATAACAATGGGGCAAACTGAAAGTAAATATGCTTCTTATCTCAGCTTCATTAAAATTCTCTTAAGAAGAGGGGGAGTTAAAGCTTCTACAGAAAATCTAGTTACGCTATTTCAAACAATAGAACAATTCCGCCCATGGTTTCCAGAAAAGGGAACTTTAGATTTAAAAGATTGGGAAAAAATTGGCAAAGAACTAAAACAAGCAATTAGGGAAGGTAAAATCATCCCACTTACAGTATGGAGTGACTGGGCCACTATTAAAGCAACTTTAGAACAATTTCAAATAGAAGAAGATAGGGTTTCAGTCTTTGATGCCCCTGAAAGCTGTGTAATAGATTGTGAAGAAGAGGCAGGAACAGAGTTTAAGAAAGGAATGGAAAGTTCACATTGTAAAAATGCAGTAGAGCCTGTACTGACTTGGTCAATGCAGAATGTTGACTATAATCAATTACAGGAGGTAATATATCCTGAATCATCAAAATTGGGGGAAGGAGGTCCAGAATTATTTGGGCCATCAGAGTTTAGACCACGATGGCCACCAACTCCTTCTCCCGCGGTTCAGATGCCTGTGATGTCACAATCTCAAATGCCAATCCAGGCACAGTATCCGCAATACCAGCCAGTAGAAAATAAAACCCAACCATCGGTAGTTTATCAACACCAGCCGCCAGCCGCATTTCAGTATCCGCCGTCTCCAGAGGTTCAGTATGGATCTCAGGCGGTGCGTCCTGTGCCAAATAGCAAGGCACTATATCAACAAC
The DNA here is from genome assembly GCF_000001405.40 of Homo sapiens. Classification (NCBI taxonomy): domain Eukaryota; kingdom Metazoa; phylum Chordata; class Mammalia; order Primates; family Hominidae; genus Homo; species Homo sapiens. The sequence continues at coordinate 12,224,064 of NC_000008.11, read as the reverse complement.
CCACGGCGATGGCGTTTGATCTTACGGTACCACCTAGTGGACAAGATAGTGCACTGCATGAGACCATTGCTACAGCCAGAAAACAGGGAGATCTTGAGGCATGGCAATATCCGGTAATGTTACAACCGATGCCGGCCGGGAAAGGCAGTCAAGCAGGAGTTAAACAATATGGACCTAACTCTCCTTATATGAGAATATTATTAAATTCCATTGCTCATGGAAATAGACTTATTTCTTATGATTGGGAAATTCTGGCTATATCTTCCCTTTCACCCTCTCAGTATCTCCAGTTTAAAACCTGGTGGATTGATGGGGTACAAGAACAGGTACGAAAAAATCAGGCTACTAATCCTGTTGCTTATATAGATGAAGACCAATTGCTAGGAAGAGGTCCAAACTGGGACACTATTAACCAACAATCAGTAATGAAAATGAGGCTATTGAACAACTATAAGGGCTATTTGCCTCAGGGCCTGGGAAAACATTCAGGACCCAGGAACCTCATGCCCTTCTTTTAGTTCAATCAGACAAGGCTCTAAAGAGCCATATCCAGACTTTGTGGCAAGGTTGCAAGATGCAGCTCAAAAATCCATTGCAGGTAACGCCCGAAAAGTTATTGTAGAAATAATGGCTTATCAAAACGCAAATTCAGAGTGTCAATCAGCCATAAAGCCATTAAGAGGAAATGTTTCAGCAGGAGTTGATGTAATTACAGAATATGTGAAGGCTTGTGATGGGATTGGAGGAGCTATGCATAAGGCAATGCCATTGGCTCAAGCAATTACAGGGGTTGCTATAGGAGGACAAGTTAAAACATTTGGGGGAAAATGTTATAATTGTGGTCAAATCGGTCATCTAAAAAAGAATTGCCCGAGCTTAAATAAACAGCAAAAAAAAAAAAAAAAAAAAAAAAAAAAAAAGAGCCACCTGGCCTGTGTCCAAGATGTGGAAAAGGAAAACACTGGGCTAAGGCATGTCGTTCTAAATTTGATAAAAATGGACAACCATTGTCGGGAAACGGCAAGAGGGGCCAGCCCCAGGCCCCACAACAAAGTGGGGCATTCCCGATTCAGCCATTTGTTCCTCAGGGTTTTCAGGGACAACAACCCCCACAGTAAATACCACCATTTCAGGAAATCAGCCAATTACAATACGACAATTATCCTCTGCCACAGCAGGCAGTGCTGCAGTAGATTTATGTTCTACTCAAATGATTTCTTTACTCCGTGGAGAGCCCCTGCAAAAGATTCCTACAGGGGTATATGGCCCGCTGCCACAAGGGATGGTAGGCCTTATTTTAGGAAGATCTAGTCTAAATTTGAAAGGAGTTCAAATTCATACTGGGGTAATTGACTCAGATTATAAAGGGGAAATTCAGTTAGTGATCAGCTGTACTGTTCCCTGGAGTGCCAATCCAGGTGATAGAATTGCTCAATTACTGCTCTTGCCTTATATTAAAATTGGGGATAGCAAAACAGAAAGAACAGGAGGGTTTGCAAGTACCAACACTGCTGGAAAAGCTGTTTATTGGGCTAGTCAGCTCTCAGAGAATAGATCTGTGTGTACAGTTACTATTCATGGAAAACAATTTGAAGGATTAGTGGATACTGGGTCTGATGTTTCTATCATTGCCTTAAATCAATGGCCAAAAAATTGGCCTAAACAAAAGCCTGTTACAGGACTTGTTGGTGTGGGCACTGCCTCAGAAGTGTATCAAAGTGCCAGGATTTTACATTGTCTAGGACCTGATAATCAAGAGAGTACAGTTCAGCCTATGATTACTTCTATTCCAATTAATTTATGGGGCCGAGACTTATTAGAACAGTGGCATGCAGAGATTACTATTCCAGTCTCTCTGTACAGCCCCACGAGTCAAAAAATCATGACTAAAATGGGATAGCTCCCTGGCAAAGGACTAGGGAAAAATGGAGAAGGCATTAAAGTTCCAATTGAGGCTAAGGGAAATCCAGAAAGAAAAGGACTAGGGTATCCTTTTTAGGGGTGGCCACTGTAGAGCCTCCAAAACCCATTTCATTAACTTGGAAAACAGAAAAGCCTGTATGGGTAAATCAGTGGCCACTATCAAAACAAAAGCTGGAGGCCTTACACTTATTGGCAAAATAACAATTAGAAAAGGGACATATTGAGCATTCATTTTCGCCTTGGAATTCTCCTGTGTTTGTAATTCAGAAAAAATCAGGCAGATGGCGCATGCTAACTGATTTAAGAGCCGTTAATGCAGTAATTCAACCCATGGGGCCTCTCCAACCTGGGCTGCCCTCTCCAGCCATGATCCCCGAAGACTGGCCTTTAATTATAATTGATCTGAAGTATTGCTTTTTTACCATTCCTCTGGCAAAACAGGATTTTGAAAAATTGGCTTTCACTATACCAGCCATAAATAATAAAGAACCAGCCACTAGATTTCAGTGGAAAGTGTTGCCTCAGGGAATGCTTAATAGTCCAACTATTTGTCAGACTTTTGTAGCTCAAGTTCTTCAACCAGTTAGAGACAAGTTTTCAGACTGTTATATCATTCATTATGTTGATGATATTTTGTGTGCTGCAGAAACAAGAGACAAATTAATTGACTGTTACACATTTCTGCAGACAGAGGTTGCAAACGCAGGCCTGACAATAGCATCTGATAAGATTCAGATCTCCACTCCTTTTCATTATTTGGGAATGCAGGTAGAGGAGAGAAAAATTAAACCACAAAAAGTAGAAATAAGAAAAGACACATTAAGAACATTAAATGACTTCAAAAATTGCTAGGAGATATTAATTGGATTCGGCCAACTCTAGGCATCCCTACTTATGCCATGTCAAATTTGTTCTCTATCTTGAGAGGGGATCCAGACTTAAATAGTAAAAGAATATTAACTCCAGAGGCAACTAAAGAAATAGAATTAGTTGAAGAAAAATTTCAGTCAGCAAAAGTAAATAGAATAGATCACTTAGCCCCACTCCAACTTTTAATTTTTGCTACTGCACATTCTCCAACAGGCATTATTGTTCAAAATACAGATCTTGTGGAGTTGTCATTCCTTCCTCACAGTACAGTTAAGACTTTTACATTGTACTTAGATCAAATGGCTACATTAATTGGTCAGGCAAGACTATGAATAGTAAAATTGTGTGGAAATGACCCAGATAAAATCATTGTTTCTTTAAACAAGGAACAGGATAGACAAGTCTTTATCAATTCTGGTGCAGGGCAGATTGGTCTTGCTGATTTTGTGGGAATTATTGATAATCATTACCCAAAAGCAAAAATCTTCCAGTTTTTGAAATTGACTACTTGGATTTTACCTAAAATTACCAGACAAAAACCTCTAGAAAATGCTCTGACAGTGTTTACTGATGGTTCCAGCAACGGAAAAGTGGCTTACACTGGGCCAAAAGAACAAGTCATTGAAACTCAATATCACTCAGCTCAAAGAGCAGAATTGGTTGCTGTCATTTCAGTGTTACAAGATTTTAATCAGCCTATTAACATTGTTTCAGATTTTGCATATTTAGTACAGGCTACAAAAGATGTTGAGACAGCCCTAATCAAATATAGTATGGATGATCAGTTAAATCAGCTGTTTAAATTGTTACAACAAACTGTAAGAAAAAGAAATTTCCCATTTTATATTGCTCATATCCGAGCACATACTAATTTACCAGGGCCTTTAACTAAGGCAAATGAACAAGCTGACTTGCTAGTATCATCTGCCTTCATGGAAGCACAAGAACTTCAGGCCCTCACTCATGTAAATGCAACAGGATTAAAAAACAAATTTGATATCACATGGAAACAAGCAAAAAATGTTGTACAACATTGTGCTCAGTGTCAAGTCTTACACCTGCCCGCTCAAGAGGCAGGAGTTAATCCTAGAGGTTTATGTCCTGATGCATTATGGCAAATGGACGTCACACATGTACCTTCATTTGCAAAATTGTCATTTGTCCATGTGACAGTTGATACTTATTCACATTTCATATGGGCAACCTGCCAGACAGGAGAAAGTACTTCCCATGTTAAAAGACATTTATTATCTTGTTTTGCAGTCATGGGATTTCCAGAAAAAATTGAAACAGGTAATGGGCCAGGATACTGTAGTAAAGCATTTCAAAAATCCTTAAATCAGTGGAAAATTACACATACAACAGGAATCCTTAATTTCCAAGGACAGGCCATAATTGAAAGAACTAATAGAACACTCTAAGCTCAATTGGTTAAACAAAAGAAGGAAAAAGTAAGGAGTATAATACTCCCCAGATGCAACTTAATCTAGCACTCTATACTTTAAATTTTTTAAATATATATAGAAATCAGACCACTACTTCTGCAGAACAACATTTTACTGGTAAAAAGAACAGCCCACATGAGGGAAAACTGATTTGGTGGAAAGACAACAAAAATACAACATGGGAAATAGGTAAGGTGATAACATGGGGGTGAGGTTTTGCTTGTGTTCCAACAGCAGAAAATCAGCTTCCTCTTTGGGTACCCACTAGACATTTGAAGTTCTACAATGAACCCATCAGAGGTGCAAGGGAAGGCACCTCCGCAGAGACAGAGAACCCGCAATCGAACATCATCGACTCGCAGGGTGAACGAAATGGTGATATCAGAAGAACAGATGAAGTTGCCATCCACCAAGAAAGTGGGGCCGCTGACCTGGGCCCAGCTAAAGAAGCTGACACAGTTAGCTGAAAAAAGCCTAGAAAACACAAGGGTAACACAAACTCCAGAGAATATGCTACTTGCAGATTTAATGATTGTATCAGCGGTGGTAAGTCTCCCTATGTCTTCAGGAGCCGCTACAGCTAACTATACTTACTGGGCCTATGTGATTTTCCCACCCTTAATTCGAGCAGTCACTTGGATAGATAATCCTATTGAAGTATATGTTAATAACAGTGCATGGGTACCAGGCCCCACAGATGGCCGTGGCCCTGCCCAACCTGAAGAAAAAGGAATGATGATAAACATTTCCATTGGGTATCATTATCCTCCTATTTGCCTGGGAAAAGCACCAGGATGCTTAATGCCTACAATCCAAACTTGGTTGATAGAAATACCTACTGTCAGTGCCACCAGTAAATTTACTTATCATATGATAAGAGGAATGTCGCTCAGGTCACAAATGAATAATTTACAGAATTCTTCCTATCAAAGATCATTAAAATTTAGGCCTAAAGGGAAACCATGCCCCAGGGAAATTCCAAAAGAATCAAAAGACCCAGTAGTCTTAGTTTGGGAAGAATGTGTGGCTGATACTGCAGTGGTACTACAAAACAATAAATTTGAAACTATTATAGACTAGGCCCCTCAATGCCAATTATATTATGACTGTATGGGCCAGACCCACTCATGTTCACAGGCTCCATGTGTCTGGCCCACTAATCCAGCCTGTGATAGTGATTTAACTAAAAGGCTAGACCAGGTTTATAGAAGGCTAGAATCACCCTATCCATGGAAATGGGGTGAAAAGAGGATTTCATCACCCCGACCAAATTTAGTTAGTCCTGTTTTTGGTCCTGAACACCCAGAATTATGGAAGCTCACTGTGGCCTCGTACCACATTAGAATTTGGTCTGGAAATCAAGTTATGGGAACAAGAAATCATAAGCCATATTAACTATTAACCTAAATTCCAATCTGAAAATTCCTTTGCAAAGTTGTGTAAAACCCCCTTATATGCTAGTTGTAGAAAACATAGCTATTAAACCAGATTCCCAAACTACAACCAGTGAAAATTGTAGATTGTTTACTTGCATTGATTCAACTTTTGATTGGCAGAATGCTATTCTGTTAGTAAGGGCAAGAGAAGGCGTGTGGATCCCTGTGTCCATGGATCGACCGTGGGAGGCTTCTCCATCCGTACATAACTTAAGTATTAAAAGGAGTTCTAATTAGATTTAAAAGATTCATTTTTACTTTGATTGCAGTGATTATGGGTCTTATTGCAGTCACAGCTACTGCTGCGGCTGCTGGAATTGCTTTACACTCCTCTGTTCAAACTGCAGAATATGTGAATAATTGGCAAAAGAATTCCTCAAAATTGAGGAATTCTTAGACTCAAACAGGTCAAAAATTGGCAAATCAAATTAATGATCTTAGACAAACTGTTATTTGGATGGGAGATAGGCTCATGAGCTTAGAATATCTTTTTCAGTTACAGTGTGACTGGAATATGTCAGATTTTTCTATTACACCTCGAGCCTATAATGAATCTGAACAGCACTGGGACATGGTTAGACGCCATCTACAAGGAAGATAAGATAATCTTACCTCAGATATTTCTAAATTGAAAGAACAAATTTTTGAAACATCAAAAGCCCAGTTAAATCTGGTGTCAGAAACGGAGGCAATGGTAAAAGCTGTTGATAGCCTCACAAATCTTAACCCTGTCACTTGGGTTAAAACCATTGGAAATTCCACTATTGCAAATTTTGTATTAATTCTTGTATGTCTGTCCTCTCTATTGTTAGTCTACAGGTGTATCCAGCAGCTCCGGAGAGACAGCGACCAGCGAGAAGGGGCCATGATGACCATGGCGGTTTTGTCAAAAAGAAAAGCGGGAAATGTAGGGAAAAGAGAGAGATCAGACTGTCACTGTGTCTATGTAGAAAGGGAAGACATAAGAGACTCCATTTTGAAAAAGACCTGTACTCTAACTATTGCTTTGCTGAGATGTTGTTCATTTGTAGCTTTGCCCCAGCCACTTTGCCCCAGTCACTTTGCCCCAACTTGGAGTTCACAAAAACATGTGTTGTATAAAATCAAGGTTTGAGGGATCTAGGGCTGTGCAGGACGTGCCTTGTTAACCAAATATTTACAAGCAGTATACTTGGTAAAAGTCATTGCCATTCTCTAGTCACAATAAACCACGGGAACAATGCACCGTGGAAAGCCGCAGGGAGCCCTGCCCTTGAAAGCAGGGTATTGCCCAAGGTTTCTCCCCATGTGATAGTCTGAAATATGGCCTCGTGGGATGAGAAAGACCTGACTGTCCCCCAGCCTGACACCCGTAAAGGGTCTGTGCTGAGGCGGATTAGGAAAAGAGGAAAGCCTCTTGTAGTTGAGATGGAGGAAGGCCACTATCTCCTGCTTGCCCCTGGGAACTGAATGTCTCGGTGTAAACCCGATTGTACATTTGTTCAAGTCTGAGCTAGGAGAAAAGCTGCCCTGTGGCGGGAGGCGAGACATGTTGCAGTAACGCTGCCTTGTTATTCTTTACTCCACTGAGATGTTTGGGTGGAGAGAAACATAAATCTGGCCTACGTGCAAGTCCAGTCATAGTACCTTCCCTTGAACTTAATTATGATATAGATTCTTTTGCTCACATGTTTTTTGTTGACCTTCTCCTTATTATCACCCTGCTCTCCTATTACATTCCTTTTTGCTGAAATAATGAAAATCATAATCAATAAAAACTGAGGGAACTCAGAGGCCAGTGCACGTACAAATCCTGGTGTGCTGAGTGCCGGTCCCCTGGACCCACTGTTGTTTCCCTGTACTTTGTCTCTGTGTCTTATTTCTTTTCTCCGTCTCTCATCCCACCCGACTAGAAATACCCACAGGTGTGGAGGGGCAGGCCACCCCTTCAATTTGGTGACACATAGCCTGTGGCCTCAAAGAACACTGACACCCCGGTAACATCCATTCAAAGAGGTTCTCCGTACCTCCCCTCCTTTATCCCCAAGGTCTCTGGGTCACAGATCACTGAGTCATTCACAACATGATGTTTAACACCGAGACGCTCTGGAATTGCTCCTTCAAGATGACTCAGAAGAAGACCCAGTGCTGAGACAATCGTGTTCTCTCTCTCTCTGGATCACCGCCCAGAGACAAGGACTGCCAGAGACCCTGGCTTCCCCAGCTGCTGCCTCCCATTCCTGCGCCTGTGGGATGAGAGATCGAAGCTGTGTGACCTTGACCAAGTTACTTACCCTCTCTAAGCATATGTTTCCCTAAATGTGAAATAGGATGATGGTGATGTGTTTATTTCACAGATTTGATAGAAGGATTAAATGAGAGATGCATCAAAAGCAGTGGGCACAGGGTCAATGCTCAGTGAGCTTTCTCTTTTCTTATCAATAGACAGGTCTCCATGAGGACAGAGACTGGCTTCATCTTGACTGTAGCCTCAGGGCTGGCCACAGTGTCTGCACCCAGCAGGACTTCAGTAAATATCTGTTTATACACTAACCACAGACTTAGGCATAAAAGCCCTTTGGAAGAAAGTTGACCATTTCATGCACCTTCAGACTATGAAGAGCAATGATGACAACTTTAGCTCGAGAGGCTCTCAGTGCTCTTTCATCACCACTGTGAAAAGGCAGAAACCAGAGCTGTGTGTTTAACTCTCAGCCCCAAAACCTGTTGGCTTTGCTTTATCACTATGAACTTCCAACGCCATCCCTTTAGAATGAGACCTCTCTCTTCTTCCCCAAGGCACCAGCCTTCACCCTAGACCTCTCCTTATTAGCTGGTTCCTCCTGTCTGTACTCTGAGCCCATGCTGTGCTCGTCAGACAGCAACAAGGGAGAATACAGCAGCCCAGAATGCAGGCTGCAGAGTTAGATCCCCAGAACAGGATCTCAGCCGGCTCCATCCTTCCTCAGCTGGGCGACCGTGGCCATTGACTTCCTCTCTGTGCCTCAGTTGCTCCATCTGTGAAATGACGATTGTCATAGTCCCTGCTTCAAAGAGTCACTGGGAGGATTAACTGAGAAAATGCAGGGAAGGTGCTTGGAACTAAATGCTCCAAAAAAGTCCATCTGGCCAGGCACGGTGTCTCACGCCTGTAATCCCAGCACTTCGGGAGACTGAGGCAGGTGGATCACTTAGGTCAGGAATTCAAGACCAGCCTGGTCAACATGGCAAAACCCCGACTCTACTAAAAATACAAAAATTAGCCAGGCATGGTGGCAGGCACCTGTAATCTCAACTACTTGGGAGGCTGAGGCATGAGAATCTCTTGAACCTGGGAGGCAGAGGTTGCAGTGAGCCGAGATGGTGCCAAGGCACTCCAGCATGGGCAACAAGAGCAAAACTCTGTCTCAAAAAAAAAAAAAAGTCCATCATTCTTATTAATGGAGGACAAATCATCTCAGTGCTTCTTTGGCTGATCAGTACCCTCAAAGCTAGTGTTATCCAATAGACCAGAGGTCCCCATCCCCCAGACCACAGACCAGTAGCAGTCTGTGACCTGTTAGGAACTGGGCTGCACAGAAGGAGGTGAGCAGTGAGCTAATGAGTGAAGCTTCATCTGTATTTACAGCTGCTCCCCATGGCTAGCGTTACCGCCTGAGCTCTGTCTCCTGTCAGATCAGCAGTAGCATTAGATTCTGATAGGAGCACCAACCCTATTGTGATCTGCATGTGGAAGGGATCTAGGTTGTGTGCTCCTTATGAGAATCTAATGCCTGATGATCTGTCACTGTCTCCCACCACCCGGAGATGGGATTATCTAGTTGCAGGAAAACAAGCTCAGGGCTCTCACTGATTCTACATTATGGTGAGTGGTATAATGATTTCATTATATATTATAATGTTCATAACAATAGAAATAAAGTACACAATAAATGTAATGCACTTGAATCATCCTGAAACTTCCCCCAACAAGTACACGGAAACTGGTCCTTGGTGCTAAAAAAAAATTGGGGACCACTGCAATAGACTATTCAGTCATGGTCCAATCAAACATTCTGCAATGGTGGGCTTGCTCTACTCTGCACTGTCCAACATGGGAGCTGCTAGCCGCCCACATGGGCTGTTGAGCCCTTGAAATGTGGCTGGTGAGAATGAAGAACTGAATTTTCAATTTTCTCTTAATTTTTTTTTTTTTTTTTTTCAGACAGAGTCTCACTCTATCCTCCAGGCTGGAGTGCAGTGGTGCAATCTCATCTCACTGCAACTTCCATCTCCCAGGTTCAAGCAATTCTCCTGCCTCAGCCTCTTGAGTAGCCAGGATTACAGGAACCCGCCATCATGCCCGGCTAATTTTTGTATTTTTGTAGATACGAGATTTCACCATGTTGGCCAGGCTGATCTTGAACGCCTGACCTCAGGTGATCTGCCCAACTTGGCCTCCCAAAATGCTGGCATTACAGGTGTGCCACCATGCCTGCCCTTAATTCATTTCTAAATCACAAAATCTAAACAGTAAGTGGATAGGAGCTACCATAGTGTACAAGGCAGCTGTAGAATCACAGGAAATTGTCAATGACCCTGTCCTGCTTCAAGTTGACTTTTCTCCCTCATGGTGAGACTCTAGATTCTTTCCTCTTCTCTCACATTTTTTAGACTTTCAGGCTTAGACCATGAAAATAAGTTCTGTCCTTCCAAGAAAATAACGTTCATAACACTTACTGTATACCAGGCTGATTTCAGTGCTTTACATGTATTAATTTACAACAACTCTGAGGCACAAGCTGTGATTATGCCCATTTAACAGATGACAAAACTGAGGCACAAAGCAGTGCTGGAACTTCTCAAAGTCACACAGGTAGCAGGAGGCAGAGCTCGGATTTGAACTCACTTTGGGTTCAGCAACTCACAGCTCTCACCTATGACATAATATTACTTCTGTGGTTAAAACACTTAGACCTGGATTTTACAGGAATCTTGTGCTTGCCTGGCTGCTAGGGAGGTTTTCATCATCTTCCTTATCTCACAGTTCAAAACCCAGGGCCTCCAAGCTCTTGCTACGGTGGCTGTTCACTGGCAGGAGGCTTCTGGGAAGGTTCTCCTTTTCTGTCATTTTTCTTATTCGTCTTTTTTTGTCTCATTGGTGTTTATTCGCAGAACTTTGTTTCCTTCTGCTCAATTCATAATCAGAGTGCTTTTCCTCCTGGCTGAATTCATAAGTGTTTGTGCAAAAAGAGGTTGGCGCAGAGCCAGGCGACTGACGACACCCGGCTCATCTGGCAAGTGGATATCAAATTGTTGTATCTCGTTCTGCCATTCACAGCTCCTGCTGTGGGGCTGGGTCATCTGCCAGCTCTCCAAGGAGCTGGCGGGAAACCGCTGCAATCAGAGCAAACCCAGGGCCCGGGTGAGCCCGCCTCCGCACAGCACTCCAGCTGCCCCCAGTGCCTTTTGGGGACACATCTGCTTTGCCAGGCAGGGCTGTGGGAGGGCCGCCTGTCTCCTGTCCATCACAGGGAAAACCTACCCTTGTCCCGCGTCCCTTCCAGGCAGCCTGTGTGGAGCTTGCTGCATTCACCTTTAATATGGCTAAAATGTTTTCCTTCAATGACAGTAATGCTGCCAGAACCCATCAAGACACCCAGGAACTGATGTGCCTTGGCAGATGATGCTGGAAAAATGGGATTCCCGGCAGCCTTTGCATCCCTTGCTCACAGCCCACAAGCATCTCCACTGTCCAGCAGGTCAGGACACGGTCTCTCTCTCTAGCTCTGTGTCTCTCTCTCACGGTCTTTCTCATGGTCTCTGTCTCTCACGATCTCTCTCTCTCATAGTCAGGGCAGAAAGAGAGAGTCCATCTGGAGCAGACTCGGATTTTAAATGAGTGCCACCGATAATTTAACATGATCAATGGCTGAGGTATTTCACCAAGTTCAGGAGTCCCAGTTCTCAGAGAGAGGCAGCCAGCCATGACTGTAAGACCTGGGCAAACCGTACAAACCAGACAGCAGGTCTCACCGCTCCCCAGAGAGCTCCAGAGAATATCAAAGAGTGAAACAGCAGAGGGATGGTCTGGGTGGGGTCATCGTGGCTGGCAAGGGCCTGTGACAGCACCTTGTTAGGCTACTCCCAAGAGGAAATTTGGAGAGAGGGTGGGAGGGCGGCTCTCAGTGCAAGCTAAGTCTCCTGGAAAGTAACTTCCAAGCTTTGGAGGATTGTGAGCAAGATGGGACCAACTTCTACCTAAAAGCAACTTCTACCTGAAAGAATGTTAATAGCAAGATAACTCATCCTAATGTTGGTCCAAGCTAGGTCTTTATTATGTATCATAAAGGCTCTGAGAATAACAATGTAACCTCCAAAAGGGCTGCGGGCTTTGAGGAATCTCAGGCAACTCGCTTCCTTCTGCTCAGTGACTCCCGTGGAGCACAGCAAAGCAAGGAAACACTTAGAGCCAAGCTTGAGTTCTGAATTTCAAATACAGGGAGTCCATCTCTTTCTACCCAATTGTTCCCTAGATGAGTAACTAACTCCTTCCCCATAACTGCACATATTTCCTACCAAAGCACAAGAGCGATGGGCTGTCCATGAGCCTCCCCAAAACATGTGCACCTTGTGACATAAATTCTGTCACCCAAAGAGACCAGACAAAATGCAAAACCAAAGTGGAGCCTTTCCTTGAATTATAGGTTCTAAAGAGTTTTGGACCCTCTACAAAACCCAAGAGTTAGGAATTGCCTGTAAGAAGCACCAGCTCTTGTTTTAAAGAGGCAATTTAAGAATAATAGCCATGCTGATGCCACACTATGCTAAGGGAGAAGAATGAACCTAACAAAACAAGCGATTTTCCAATTGCTTTTGCTGCTGGAAACACTGATTATGCTAATTAAAGGGTAGAATAGTAAATAGCCACTCTTTTGCATCCAATTAAGTGTTCAGATTATTTCTCAGAAGTATTTGTTAAAAATAGCATTTCTGATAATCATGGGTCCCAAATAAACAGAGTCAAGTGCGGTGTGGTACATGTGTGAGTGTGTGTGTGTGCACACGTGTCTTTCTGGAGCTCATTTTATGGAGATCCAGCATAGCTCCCCAAATTCCTGTGAGAACAAATAAGAAAAATCACAGTCTTCTAAGACTACAGCTTGGGATATCTTTGGAAAAGGTGTGTATTGAGAACACAGCATATGGAAACTATTTCACGTTGGCAATGTCTGTGATTTAACATTGCAAATATTACAAATGAAACTGGTTCTTCAGAGTCACCTAAGTCCCTCATAATGGCAATATTAGCTTCTTCTAAATAATAAATTAGCCAGTCAAACTATGTTCTACAGCATGTTAGAAGTTTCATCCTTCTAGTCAATGTCACATTTCAAGACAAAGTCGATTTATATGTAAGTTAAAAGAAGTGCTGTCACTAAAAATTGAGAATTATGTCTAATGCCAATCAGAAATGGAATAAATAAGTATTAGAGGATTTGCAAGTGAAAGCAACCATAGAAATGCTATCATCAGGAAGGAAAATGTATTACCTGCAGAGGTTACAGATAAGACGTTAGAACCCAGAAGAGAAAGAATCTCTGTAAATATTTCCATTAAGTTAATCAAGAGTGGCTGGGTATGGTGGCTCATGCCTGTAATCCCAGGACTTTGGGAGGCCAAAGAGGGCAGATCACGAGGTCAGGAGTTCGAGACCAGCCTGGCCAACATGGTGAAACACTGTCTCTATTAAAAATACAAAAAATTAGCCGGGCGTTGTGGTATACACCTGTAATCCCAGCTACCCAGGAGGCTGAGGTAGGAGAATTGGTTTAATCCAGAAGGCAGAGGTTTCAGCTAGCTGAGATCACACCATTGCACTCCAGCCTGGGTGACAGATCATGGCTCCATTTTGAAAAAAAAAAAAAAATAAAGAAAGAAAGAAAGTTAATCAGGGTGAGAATAGGATGAGTTTTTCACCCACAAAAAGACATGAGATTCATGCATTCTTTCAACATGCATTCCATCAATAGTGAGCACCTGCTCTGAGCTAGGCCCATTCCAGGTCTCAGGAAATGAGTAACCAACCAGACACGGCCCCTGATTTGGAGCTCACATTTTAGAGCAGCTAAATGGACAGTAAACAAGTAAGCAAATTAAGATCGTCTTAAATTGGGGGAAGTTCTTTAGAGAAGCACTTCCATAAAGCTGAATCGCATCATAGACTATGACTGCCAGGTGGTAGGGAAGGTAATATCTCACCTGCTTGTGGATAGCAGAGCTTCTGAGGCCTTGCAAAGTATTTAGTACTAAGATTTCTGTCTTAGGTCAAGTTCCCTAAAAGCAGAGACTGAGGCAGGGATTGAGTGCATGTAATTCATTCAGGAAGAAGTCTCAGGAGATAGGAGTAAGGAAAACAGGATATGGCAGGAAAGGAGCTAAGTGAGATGTGGTCTCAGCTGGAGACTGGCTCCAGTCTGATCTCACAGGGAGCTCCAGAGGATGAACTGCACCACCATGTTATCCCAGCCTAAGGTCTTTTGTTCTCCTGTGTCAGCCGGTCCTTGGCCAAGGGCTGCAGACTCTCTTGGGGCCCCAGCAGACCGGAGGAGAAGGAGCATGCTCTGTGGTCTACTCTTTTGTGCACATCCACCCACCACTTCCCCAGCTGACACTGCTGGAGGAGAAGAGGGAGAGATGTCATCTCCTTCTATGGCAACCTGTGGGGTGGCAATGGCCCTTTTCCTGTTGGGTGTAATCTGCTGCCATCTCCTGCTGTCTGCAGCCTGACACAGAAGGGTGAATGTCACCAGGTTCCACTGACAGGGGTCTTTGTCTCAAGCAGCAACCATAGGACCGAGGGTCCCTTGCAAGATTCAGCCACATTTCATGACTGTCTGCAACACACCCCATGCCTCTGATGGAAGGAACCCAATGCCCCATGCAGCACTCATTTCTGCCAGACTAGAGTCCCTGATCTCAATTTCCCTCTGCAGTCCCCAACTCTGGGGTCTGCAGACAGATTTCAGATCCCTCCTTATACCTCCCAGGAGGCAGAAGCCAGAGGAAATAATCCTTGTCCCAATGCACCTGACCATGCCACCTCACTGCATGCTCTTTCTCCCTCTCCAGGAAAAATCAAGCTGGTTGAATACTAACCAATATGCCCACATGCATTTAGTCCCCATAACCACTTCTTGGGGCAGCATTACCATCCCCAAGTTACAGACGAGGAAACTGAGGAGAACATTTATATAACATGCATCTAAGTGGTGGACAAAGGATCTAACCAGGCCGTGTGGCACCAGAGCACACATTTTTGTTGTTCAGAGAGATGGGGTCTCTCTCTGTCCCTCAAATTGGAGTGCAGTGGCCTGATCATAGCTCAGTGCAGGCTTGAACTCCCAAGCTCCAGCAGTCTTCCCGCCTCAGCCTCCCGAGTAGCTGGGACTAGAGGCATTCACCACCAACCCAGCTAATTTTTAAAAAACATTTTTCTAGAGATAGGGTCTGATTCCAAACTCCTGACTTCAAGCGATCTTCCTGCCTCAGCCTCCCAAAGTGCTGATATTACAGTTGTGAGCCCCCGCGTCCAGCCCAGAGCAGATTTTTTTTTTTTTTTTTTTTTGAGATGGAGTCTCACTCTGTCACCCAGGCTGAAGTGCAGTGGCAAAATCTCGGCCCAGAGCACACTTTTAACCACCATATCATTCTGCCTCTGGGTAGGTTAGTCAAGCTCTGTAGCTGATCAGATGTCTGTAGAGAGAAAGAGACATCAATCTCCCCTTCTTCCAAACACCCCCAAATTTTACAAGTGATTTTCTCAGATCCCTCAGCATCAGGAATGGGGATGTGCAGGGCAGCCTGTCCCCTTCCCAACAGCCCAGCAGATATCCCAAGATTACATCTCATTGGCTCTGACTAGGACATGAGCCCAAAGCTGAACCAGTAGCTGTAGCCATGGCATGCAGCATCCTCGGTCCTCTGGCCAGGCCAGAGCTACATCCCACCTCTGGATCCCCGGGTTGAGTCAATAATCTCCAACCAGGCGCGGACTGAAGCTCAAGGGGGAGTCATAGTAATGTGACCCAGCCCACCAGGAAGTGGGTGCTGAGCAGGCAAGCATTCATCACCCACTGCACACACCAGGGAAGGCTTGTGGTGGCTTAGTCCCACCTGGGGGCAAAGAAAAGAGTGCCTGCTCCATGCCAAAACGTGATGCCCAACACCGTATCTTAAAGCTAGCTGGCTTTGTAATCCCTGCTACTTGGAAGGCTGAGGCAGGAGAACCACTTGAATCCAGGAGGCGGAGGTTTCAGTGAGCCAAGATCACGCCAGTGCGCTCCAGCATGGGTGATAAGAGAGAAATTCTGTTTCCAAAAAAAATAAAAATAAAAATAAAAAAATAAAAAGCTAGCCTGCTTAATCCTCACAAAGATGCCATCTACTTTTTGGCATTCTAGATGTAGAAACACTGAGACGCTGAGAAACTCACCACCAGCCGGGAACGGTGTCTCATGCCTGTAATCCCAGCACTTTGAGAGGCTGAGGCAGGAGAATTACTTGAACCCAAGAGTTCAGGACCAGCCTGGGCAAATTAGCGAGACCTCATCTCTACAAATATTAAAAAAAAAAAAAAAAATTAGGGCTA
Organism: Homo sapiens; assembly: GCF_000001405.40. Taxonomy (NCBI): domain Eukaryota; kingdom Metazoa; phylum Chordata; class Mammalia; order Primates; family Hominidae; genus Homo; species Homo sapiens. The sequence goes on along the minus strand of NC_000008.11, from coordinate 12,207,781 downwards.
GGCGCGGTGGCTCACACATGTAATCCCAGCACTTTGGGAGGCCAAGGCAAGTGGATCACTTCAGCCCAGGGATTCGAAACCAGCCTGGCCAACACGACACAACTCTATCTCAACTAAAAATACAAAACTTAGCTGGGCATAGTGGCACATGTCTATAATCCCAGCTACTTGGGAGGCTGAGGCACGAGAATTGCTTGAACCTAGGAGTCAGAGGTTGCAGTGAGCTGAGATTGTGCCACTGCACTCCAACCTAAGTGACAGAGTGAGACCGTGTCTCAAAAACAACAAAAAAAAATATTGGTGTGGTGTCACATGCCTGTTGCCCCAGCTGCTCAAGAGGCTGAGGTAGCAGGATCACTTAAGGCCCGAAGTTCAAGGGTGCAATGAGCTATGATTGTACCCCTGCACCACAATGTATACATATATGTGTATGTGTACACACACACATATACATGTGTATGTATATATGCGTGTGTACACACACACATATACATGTGTATGTATATATGCGTGTGTACACACACACATATACATGTGTATGTATATATGCGTGTGTACACACACACATATACATGTGTATGTATATATGCGTGTGTACACACACACATATACATGTGTATGTATATATGCGTGTGTACACACACACATATACATGTGTATGTATATATGCGTGTGTACACACACATATACATGTGTATGTATATATGCGTGTGTACACACACACATATACATGTGTATGTATGCGTGTGTACACACACATATACATGTGTATGTATATATGTGTGTGTACACACACATATACATGTGTATGTATATATGTGTGTGTACACACACATATACATGTGTATGTATATATGTATGTGAGTATATGTACACATATATACATGTGTATGTATATATGTATGTGTGTATATATACACATATATACATGTATATGTATATATGTGTATATATACACACATACATATATACATGTACATATGTGTATATATATGTGTGTATATATATATGTGTATATATATAAAAAACACACATGCACAAATTCACCACCACCAACTCAGAAATTACCGTCTCCTTCTATTCTAAGGAACTATTTTTCATATTGCCATCTCTGTAGTTGTAATACACCTTACAATCACTGGAATGTCACGGTCTCATTGGCAGCATTTTTCTGCTCAGTAGCCCATAAAATAATAGTACATCTTGTAACTAACAGTGTTGTAGATGCTATGAGATCCTGGGGAAGCCCAGAATCTAACTCCACCCTGTCTGACTCCAAAGACCACATATTTCCTACACCTTTGGACAGGGGCACAGATGTAGACAACTCGAGCTTTGCTGATTGTGAGAAAGGTATGACAAATGGCCCTGATGGAATTTTCTTCTTGTACTTACAGGGGAACAGAGCGGCATCATTCCACTATTCCAGGGGAGGTGCTAAATATGAGGGTGAGGCTGTCAAGTGGTCCCTGGTGGATTCCTACACTCACCCAAGCAGCAACGAGACAGAGCGGAAGGAGAACATCGATACCGTCATGAACTGGTTCACCAAGGAAGACTTTGATTTTGTGACTCTGTGCTACAGAGAGCCAGATAACGTGGGACATCGATTCGGGCCAGAGGCAGAGAAAAGGAAGTTGATGATTCAGCAAATCGACAGGACCATCGGGTATCTGGTGGGAGCCACTGAGAAGCACAGCCTGCAGAGCACCTCAGCGTCATCATTACATGAGACCGTGGGATGACCACCGTAAAGAAGAGACCCAATGTCAACAAGATCCCCTTGTCCAACTACGTCAAGTTCAGGGACCTGGTCAAGTTTGATATTGTGCGCTACGGTGGCTTTGGGATGCCCCTGCCCAAGTTGGGGCAAGAGGAAGCCCTTTACCAGGCACTGAAGAATGCGCACCGTCACCTCCACGTCTACAAGAAGGAGGAGTTTCCAGAACACTTCCATATCGCTAAACATGACCGGGTTCTGCCAATCGTGATGTATGCCAACTCTGGTTACAGTATCAATGGGGTAAGTTCATTCTAAAATGAATAAAGTCACCTTAGATCTAGGAGACAACCATTAGGGAAGGGTGGTTCTGCAAAAATCAAACATTAGTGCACAGCCAGGCACGGTGGTTCACGCCTATAATCCTAGCACTTTGGGAGGCTGAGGCAAGTGTATAACCTGAGGTCAGGAGTTTGAGACCAGCCTGGCCAACATCGTGACACCCCAGCTCTACTAAAAATACAAAAATTAGCCGGGCGTGGTGGCGCGCATCTGTAGTTCCAGCTGCTCTGGAGGCTGAGGCAGGAGAATCGCTTGAACCTGGGAGGCAGAGGTTGCAGTGAGCCAAGATCATGCTACTGCACTCCAGTCTGGGCAATAGAGTGAGACCCTATCTCAAAAAAATATAATATAATATAATATAATATAATATAATATAATATAATATAATATAATATAATATAACATAACATAACATAACATAACATAACATAACATAACATAACATAACATAACATAACAAAACAAAACAAAATAAAATAAGTGCACACACTATGAGTTGTAGCCCACAGGGTCCTAAAGGTTCCCCACCCCCCGCCCAACCAATGCTGCGCCAAGTTACCGTTATACAAGATTAATGACCAATTCAACTTGATAAGGCTGATTTAAAAATAAAAATAAGGCTGGCCATGGTGGTTCACACCTGTAATCTCAGTGTTTTGGGAGGCCAAGACAGGAGGATTGCTTAAGGCCAGGAGTTCAAGACCAGCCCAAGCAACAAAGGGAGACGTCATCTCTACAAAAAACTAACAAATAAATAAATAGCCAGACATGGCGATGCATGCCTGTAGTCCCAGCTACTCAGGAGGCTGAGGTGGCAGGATTTCTTGAACCCAGGAGGTCAATCCTGCACTAAGCTGTGATTGCACTACTGCACTCCAGCTTGAGCAACAGAGCAAGACCCCGTCTCTAAAAAATAAATAAACAAATAATAAAAAATAAACACCAACTTCATTATTCAAAACTGTGCACAGCGCTTCACTAAACATTGAACAGCAGTTCTTTCATTTTTGTCGTCCCAACAACCCTATAAAATAGATGCTCTTAGTTCCGCCATTTTAAAGAAGAAATCAAAACGTAGAGAGAAGTGACTTGAGATTAAAAATGTAAGGTTGGGCTGGGTGCAGTGGCTCACACCTGTAATCCCAGCACTTTAGAAGGCTAACGTTGGTACATTGCTTGAGCCCAGGAGTTTGAGACCAGCCTAGGCAACACAGTGAAACACCATCTCTACGAAAAATGCAAAAAATGTAGCTGGGCGTAGTGGCACGTGCCTGTGGTCCCAGCAACTCAGGAGGCTGAGGTGGGAGAACTGCTCGAGCCCGGGGGTGTTGAGTCTGCAGTGAGCCATGATCACGCCACTGTGAGATAGGAGGCAGGACTTGACGACACAGGCAGGGCTTGGACACCAGACCAAATTAAGGACTACCTAAAACAGGGCTGGGGCAGAAGAAGCTTTCCATCAGACATGCCCACCAGTGTGCCATGTGAGTTTACTATTGCCAAGGCAACACCAGGGAGTTACTGCCCCTTTCCATGGCAATGACCCAATGACTCAAAAGTTACTACCCATTTTCTAGAAATTCCTGCATAAACTGCCCTTTAATCTGCATGCAATTAAAAGTGAGTATAAATGTGATTGCAAACTCTCTGCCGCTACTCTCTGCCACCAGGGTAGCCCTGCCCTACAGGAGCAGTCACAGGGCTGTAATGCTGCCTCTTCAATAAAGCTGTTTTCTTCTAAACCTCCGGCTTGCCCTTGAATTCTTTCCTGGATAAAGACAAGAACCCTCAAGTGCTATTGAGAGGTGACAGCATGCTAGCAGCCCTCGCGCTCACTCTCGGCGCCTCCTCTGCCTGGGCTCCCACTTTGGTGGCACTTGAGGAGCCCTTCAGTGCACCGCTGCACTGTGGGAGCCCCTTCCTGGGCTGGTGGAGGCTGGAGCCGGCTCCCTCAGTTTGCGGGGAGGTGTAGAGGGAGAGGCGCGGGCAGGAACTTGGACTGGGCACGGCGCTTGTGGGCCAGTGCGAGTTCCGGGTGGGTATGGGCCCACTGGGCCCTGCACTCGGAGTGGCTCACCGGCCCCGATGGACCCGGGCAGTGAGGGGCTTAGCACCTGGGCCAGCAGCTGCTTTGCTCAATTTCTCACTGGGCCTTAGCTGCTTCCCTGCAGGGCAGGGCTCGGGACATGCAGCCCGCCATGCCTGAGACTCCACCCAACCCGCCGTGGGCTCCTGCGCGACCTGAGCCTCCCCGATGAGTACCGAGCCTCCCCGACGACCACAGCCCCCTGCTCCAGGGCACCCAGTCCCTTCGACCACACAAGGGCTGAGGAGTGCCAGCACAGGGCACGGGACTGGCAGGCAGCTCACCTGCGGCCCCCGTGTGGGACCCACTTGCTGAAGCCAGCTGGGCTCCTGAGTCTGGTGGGGACTTTGAGAACCTTTATGTCTAGCTAAGGGATTGTAAATACACAAATTGTCACTCTGTATCTAGCTCAAGGTTTGTAAACACACCAATCAGCACCCTGTGTCTAGCTCAGGGTTTGTGAATGCACCAGTCGACACTCTGTATCTAGCTAATCTAGTAGGGATTTGGTGACCTTTTGTGTCTAGCTCAGGGATTGTAAATGTACCAATCAGCACCCTGTCAAAACAGACCAATCGGCTCACTGTAAAATGGACCAATCAGCAGGATGTGGGTGGGGCCAGAGAAGGGAGTAAAAGCAGGCTGCCCCAGCCAGCAGTGGCAACCCATTGGGGTCCGTTTCCACACTGTGGAAGCTTTGTTCTTTTGCTCTTTGCAATAAATCTTGCTGCTGCTCACTCTTTGGGTCCACACTGCCTTTATGAGCTGTAACACTCACCTCGAAGGTCTGCAGCTTCACTCCTGAAGCCAGCGAGACTATGAACCCACCGGGAGGAACAAACAACTCCAGACGCCCCACCTTAAGAGTTGTAACACTCACCTTGAAGGTCTGCAGCTTCACTCCTGAAGCCAGCGAGACCACAAAACCACCAGAAGGAAGAAACTCTGAACACATCCGAGCATCAGAAGGAACAAACTCTGGACACGCAGCCTTTAAGAACTGTGACACTCACCGCGAGGGTCCGCGGCTTCTTTCTTGAAGTCAGTGAGACCAAGAACCCACCAGTTCCGGACACACTATGCTCCACTTCGGGGCTCCCCTGCCCTGCGTCAACTGCACTCTGGCCTGGGTGGCAGAGAGAGAGACCCTATCTTTAAAAAAAGAAAGAATGTAAGGTTAAGTGCTGCCCCCAAGCCTGAGTGGCTGATCATTATACAGAGTACACGAAGATCACCAAAAACGTCACCACAGAGGCCCCCTGCCGCTGGTTCTCATTTGCCCATATCAAAAAATATGCAAGTCTGTTCATACAAAGACACACACAGATGCTCGTAGCAAAACTATTCATAATTATCAAAAGGTGGCAACAACGCAAATGCCCATCAACAACAGATGAATAAGCAAACAAGTACAGTCCACCCGTGTGATGGAACATTAATCAGCCACAATATGGAATGAAGGGCTGATTCATGCTACAACCTGGATACACCTTGAAACCATTAGGCTAAGTGAGAGAAGCCAGACAAATATTAGATGATTATATATATATATTACACACATATATATATATATATATATATATATATATATATATATATATGCCCAGAATATGAAAATCCAAAGAAACAGAAAGTAGATTAATGGTTGCCAGGAGCCAGGGGTGGGGACAGTCAGGGGGAAATAAGGGGTGACTGCTAATGGATACAGGGTTTCTTCTGGGGTAATTAAAATTTCTAAAATTGATGGTGATGATGGCTGCAAAACTCTGAGAATATATTAAAAACCACTGAATTATGCACTTTATTTATTTATTTAGAGAGAGGGTCTGGCTCTGTTGCCCAGGCTGGAGTGCAGTGGTGCAATCTCTACTCACTGCACTCTCCACCTCCCAGGCTCAAACCATCCTCCCACTTCATCCTCCTCAGTAGCTGGGACTACAGACACACACCACCATGCCCAGCTAATTTTTTTGTATTTTTGGTCAAGACAGGGTTTTGCCATGTTGCTCGGGTTCATCTCAAACTCTTGGGTTCAAGCGATCCTCCCACCTCAGCCTCCCAAAGTGCTGGGATTACAAGTGTGAGCCACCATGCCCGGCCAAATGATACACTTTAAATGGGCAAATTGTATGGTATGTGAATTATCTTTCAATAAAGCTGTTATTAAAAAGCAGCTTTAAGGGCCAGGCATAAGGGCCATGCCTGTAATCCCAGAACTTTGAGAGGCCAAGGCAGGAGGATCACTTGAGCCCAGGAGTTCAAGACCAGCCTAGACAACATGGCAAAACCTGGTCTTTACAAAAAATTTAAAAATTAGGCTTGGCGTGGTGGCTCACGCCCGTAATCCCAGCACTTTGGGAGGCTGAGGTAGGTAGATCACTTGAGGTCAGGAGTTCAAGACCAGGCTGGCCAACATGGTGAAACCCTGTCGCTAATAAAAATATTTTTTAAAAATTAGCCAGGCATAGTGGTGGGTGCCGAGGCTGAGGCAGAAGAATGGTTTGAACCCGAGAGGTGGAGGTTGCAGTGAGACGAGATTACGCCACTGCACTCCAACCTGCTGGGTGACAGAGCGAAACTCCATTTCAAAAAAAAAAAAAAAATTAATAATTAAAAATTAGCCAGGGGTGGTGGCTCCTGTTTGCAGTCCCAGCTACTCAGGAGGCTAAAGTGAGAGGATTGCTTGGGCCCAGGAGGTTGAGGCTGCAGCGAGACAAGATTGTGTCACTGCACTCTGGCCTCAGCAACAGAACAAGACCCTGTTTCACAATTTTAAAAACAATTAAAAAACAAGCCTAAAGAAAACACAAAAACCAATGCTAACTGTGAGACATAAATGAGGTGGTCTATTTTTTGTTAACTACCAACTAACAATTCATGGCAGAAACAAAGTTTAAATGATGCTATAGCCGGGCGCTGTGGCTTATGCCAGTAATCCCAACACTTTGGGAGGCTGAGGCGGGTGGATCACCTGAAGTCAGGAGTTTGAGACCAGCCCGGTCAACATGGTAAAACTCCATCTCTACTAAAAATACAAAAATTAGCCGGGCGTGGTGGCGGGTGCCTATAATCCCAGCTACTCGGGAGGCTTAGGCGGGAGAATCGCGTGAACCCCGGGGGGGCAGAGGTTGCAGTGAGCCAAGATCGCGCCATTGCACTCCAGCCTGGGCGACAGAGCGAAACTCCGTCTCAAAAAATAAATAAATAATGAAATAAATGATGCTATAAACCTCATGTGAGGGAAGACTGTCCCAGGTACAGCTTGAAGAACCCTGGCTGTGAATAAGAGCCAAATGCGATAATTCTGTTTGCAACTTGCTTGTTAGCTTGTTGCAACTCCACAGTGTAACAGGTATGAGAAAACTCATGGGGTTACTGTTTAGTGTTGGTGGAAATATTCACATTAAAATACAACAGTTTATCACCTAAGGTATATTTTATCCCTCAAGTGGCCCGGAACACTGTGATTACTGCACACCAATCGCATGCCCATAGCTAAGGCCTTGCCAAGGAGAAATTCCACAGTCACCTGGCCTATTTGTAAACCTGGTTTATGATGTTTTGTAACAGGATATCTTGACAGTAGCATGAGGACATTTAACGAGACAAGAACATTCCCCACTGACCAACCAGACAGTTTGAGGGAACAGGATGCTGTGCTCAGTTTAATCTTCTGCTGAACCGACCATTAGGCAGAAAATCCTTTGGGTCAATGCCTGTCACTGAATCCACTTCTCATCCTGTCCACCTGCCTGCTTTGCAGTGCAGAGTAAAGTGGGCCTTCCTTGGCTCTCTTCAGGGACCAATGTGCTTGAGGCCATCATGAGGACATTCATTCTTTTTTTTTTTTTTTTTTGAGAGAGTCTCGCTCTGTCGCCCAGGCTGGAATGCAGTGGTGTGATCTCAGCTCCCCACTGCAACCTCTGCCTCCCAGGTTCAAGTGATTCTCCTGCCTCAGCCTCCTGAGTAGCTGGGATTACAGGCACGTGTCACCAGGCCCAGCTAATTTTTCTATTTTCTGTAGAGACAGCGTTTCACCATGTTGGCCATGCTGGTGTCAAACTCGTGACTTCAAGTGATCCACCTGCCTCGGCCTCCCAAAGCGCTGGTATTACAGGTGTGAGCCAATGTGCCTGGCCAAGGGCTTTCATTCTTCATGGACTGCTCCATAGCCTCAGAGACAGTCAGACTGGTTTCTTCAACCAGAGCGGAGCAGACAGGCAATTTCTCCATCCACCAGGCCAAATATTAGACCAACTCTTCAATGTACAGAGAACATCATATTTCTTATATGGTAGAATACCTGTTGGTCTAAAATATAAATAAATAGTATTGTAGCCAGCCACAGTGGCTCATGCCTATAATTTCAGAGCTTTGTGGGGCTGAGGCAGGAGGTTCACTTGAGGTCAAGAGTTTGAGACCAGCCTGGGCAACATAGCAAAACCGCCCGCCCCTCACCGCCACCTGCCATCTCTACAAAAATTAAAATAATTAGCTGGGCATGGTATTGTGGGCCTCTAGTCCCAACTACTTGGGAAGCTGATGTGGGTGGATTGCTTGAGCCCAGGAATTTGAGGCTGCAGTGGGCTGTGACTGCATCACTGTACTCCAGCTAGACCTTCTCTCAAAAAAAAAAAAAAAAGTGTTGCAACTGACATTACTTTATCATTTGAAAAGAAGGACAGACAAGAAAGGTATTTGGTATTTACCAAGCAATTACCCAGAATCCTCATCCCATCCTACACCCACCCTTCCCCTAAAAATATATGTATATGTTTGTATAACATAAAAAATACATCTATTTGGCTCTGGAACCAGATTGCTTGGGTTCAATTACCTGATCTAGCATTTGCTCCTGATGACTCAGTGCAGACAAGCTCTGTAACTCAGTTTCCCCAGCTGTAAAATGGGGAATGGCGCCTTTACTGGGCTGTCATGAGGGTAAAGGAGGTAACATATATTTATAAAGCATTCAGAACAATTCATGATACATAGTAAGCTCTATATATTTGAGCTTATTATTACTGTCAGTACGATTATCATCATCGTGCTGTTTCCAATGGGTACGCTTTCTACATTCTCTTTCTTAAAGACCTTTAAATCCTTGGTATTCTCTCCACCACCACAGAGAGCAGTGTCCTTGTAGTTTAAATTTTCAAAGACTTCATGGATCCAATAAGCATGACATTAACTAAGGGACAGTTTTCTTTCAGTGGCTTGGAATCTAAAAAGGCTTTTTTATTGTTATTATTGGCCAGGCTGGTCTCGAACTCCTGACTTCAAGTGATCCCCCCACCTCACCCTCCCAAAGTGTGCTGAGATTACAGGCATGAGCCACCACGCCCGGCCCTCATTCTCTTCTTTTATAAGGACACCAGTCATTGTATCTGCCCCCTCACCAGCAGCCCCCAATCCAGGATGACTCATTGTCACTTGATTACATCTAGAAAGACCCTATTTCCAAATAAGGTCACATTCCTGGGTACTGAGGATTAAGATTTCAAATTTTTTCCCTGACTCAATTTTTTTTTTGAGTCAGGGCCTCACCCTGTCACCCAGGCTGGAGTACAGTTATGTGATTATAGCTCACTGCAGCCTCAAACTCTTGGGCTCAAGGGATCCCCTGACCTCAGCCTTCCAAGTGGCTGAGAATACAGGTGCACACCATCATGCCCAACTAATTTTTTTTTTTTTTTTTTTTTTTGTACAGGTTAGGTCTCACTCTGTTGACCAGGCTGGTCTGACCTCAATCGATTCTCTTGTCTTGGCCTCCCAAGGCAGTGGGATTACAGGCGTTATCCCGTGCCTGACCCTCTTTCTACATCTCAATCATTGTATCATTAGCCTGAGCTGCCCATATTCCTTATTCTGCCCATCCCTGATCAATCTCCTCCTTTAACAGAACTTCCATCTCGATATCATGGGGCCTGCTGGGCACTGCAAACAGCCTAAGGAAAGTGGAAATTTTACTTCACCTGAAATTCTATTACAAATTCCACATTGAACTTAATTTATATTTGAACTATAAAAATTTTCTGTAAGTTGAAACATGACCTATAAAGGTCTCTACACCCTGAAGCAACGTTTTAGAAAGAAATCAATTGGTCCTTTTCTGCAGAAACCATTAACCATAGGAGAGATAAAGGAAAAACTTCAATGCACTGATTGAACTTCCATGCCCATAGCTTAACTTCTAAAAGGTAACCATTCCATACTGTTAAACTGCCTTAGGTTATCATTACTGTTCTTAAAGAGGCCCTCAAAGCCAGCAGTTGAATCTTGACTGTAGCACTTGCACGTACACGCACACTCTTGCAACTGAAACCACTCAGATTGTCCTAAAGCTGCTCCCCATAGCAACACCACCTGGAATTTTACATTTGTTTTTAAGCATCAGTCGTAATCTTCACTTGCACCCAAACACACCGCACCTGTGAGAGCCACGTGACATTAAAAAAATCCCTTCAGTGAGGCCGGGCGTGGTGGCTCACGCCTGTAATCCCAGCCCTTTGGGAGGCCAAGGCAGGTGGATCATGATGTCAAGAGATTGAGACCATCCTGGCCACCGTGGTAAAACCCTGTCTCTACTAAAAATACAAAAATTAGCTGGGCCTGGTGACGCGTGCCTGTAGTCCCAGCTACTCGAGAGGCTGAGGCAGGAGGATCCCTTGAGCCCGGGAGGCAGAGGTTGCCGTGAGCTGAGATTGCGCCACTGCACTCCAGCCTGGCGACAGAGGGATACTGTCTGAAACAAAAAAATCCCTTCAGTGCCTTGATCCTTCCAGATTCAGATCCAAGAGAGATGACATTTGTCCCTCACCAGACACTGCACACCAAGATAAAGATTTCTTCTGGCCAGGCGCGGTGGCTCATGCCTGTAATCCCAGCACTTTGGGAGGCAGAGGTGGGTGGATCACCTGAGGTCAGGAATTTGAGACCAGCCTGGCCAAGGTGTTCAAACCCTGTCTTTACTAAAAATACAAAAGTGGCCAGGCAGGGTGGCTCACGCCTGTAATCCCAGCTCCTCGGGAGGCTGAGGCAGGAGAATCGCTTGAACCTGGGAGGTGGAGGTTGCAGTGAGCCGAGATCGCGCCATTGCACTCCAGCCTGGGCAACTAGAGAGCAAAACTCCGTCTCCAGAAAAAAAGAAAAAAAGATTTCTTCTGTGTGCATGGCTCAGCTCTGTGGTCCACTAGCGTCCTTCCTCAATCTGCTTCCAATCTGTGGACTCAGGAAAGACTGAACCAACCTAGATTTATTAATATTTTAGTATAACATAATACAGTGTTACTTACTATGGCATTGACCGTATATGCCCTTTTGCTCCTTGGAGGAAAGACAATAGCTATTATGTGAGTTAATAAAATAAGCCCAGGATTTATCAGTATAACTAACCTGTTCCCGTTGGTTTTTCTTGTCTCCTTCAGGCAGAGAGCTGATCAAAACAGCAAAAGCAAAGCAGTGCCCCTGGCCCAGTTCTGAAGCCAACCTTCCTTAATCACCCAGACCCATCCCTGGTTAGGACTTGCTGTGGATTCTCAGGTGACTCCATCTCAGGATACAGGGACTGAGAAGGTGTATGCAACATCTCAGACCCAGAAACCGTTGATTCTGTCTAAAAACACAGCAATAACCACATCCCATCCTCTTGATTTAAATGAAAGTGTTTGGAGGAATAAAAGATGAACCTTTTTTTTTCTTTGTCAGATCTTGCGCTCATTTGGTTCTGGTGGGGAACAACAGCTATAAGAGAACAAGTGTATTCAATTAGAATTAATTCCCCTCTCTTATTCTCATAGCTGAGCAGGGCTCAAGTGCCTCTCATCTGAAAGAGGTAATAAGATTTTATCTGTCTCCTCATCTACCTTTTGCAAGTATACTTAACAAATTAGCTCTCGGGACTCTTCCAAATGGAGTTTGATGAGGAATTTGCTAAGGTAAACGTTTTAGACTTTGAACACAGTTCAGATTTCAGGAGCAGTACTGAAATCTAAGCTGTGTTGCTAACTGCCCTGCCTTTCAACTCAAGACACAATAACTTTGAACTAAAATAATTATATTTTTGTTGTTTTCCACTCTGTCCCCACGTCTATATCACCACCACCCCCAATCCCACCCCGCAGGAGCTAACTCCTCCTTCCTGTCCCTGCAAGATCAAAACTCCTCCTGCAAGCCCCGCTAGCTCTGTCTGCTCACCTTCGTGGTAGATATCGTTATCGTACTTTTATCCTCATTTGTGTGATAAGTACTTCAATGTCCACTTCTTCCACGAGCACCTGAGCCCCTGAAGGGCCTGGACCACACCTAGTTTTTCTCACCGTTACATCTCCCTTGTCAGGCACATGGTAGGCGCTTAAAAAGTATTTGATGAACGAATGGCTTGTTTAGTGACAGTCCAAAGGCTGGGGGACAGAGGGAAAGCTCCCTCCTTTCGGGCCCCAGACGGGTGGCGCTGATGGAGAGGAGGCTAGGATAAGGCCTCCAGGACCGAAGCATGCACCCGTAAGGCCCCTGCTGAAAAGACCTTCCTGAAGGCGGAGGAACTGCGAGAGTGCCTACGTTAGCCCAAGGCCTGACCCGACGATCCCAGGGACCCTCGCCCTAACTGGCCCCGCCTCCCGGGCCCCAAACCTGGACTCGGCCCCGCACGAAGCTCCGGATCCTGGGCCCCGCCCCTGGCCCCGCGTCGGAAGACCATGGGCTCGCTCCTGGGCCTGCCTCAAACCCTCCGCAGGTAACGCCTCCCGAACTTGAGCCACATTCCGATCCCCTCCTCAAACCCCTCCCCGTTTCCCACACCCTGGACCCCTCGCTCCGTCTCGGCCCCGCCCCAAGCCCAGCTAGGTCTCGGCCCCTGAGCCCAGCCCCAACCGGCCTCCCAGTCCCTGGGTCCCTCCCAACACCGGCCCCTCCCTAAGCTCCGCCTCCCAGGGCCCGCCTCCTGAGCGCAGCCCAGCCCGGACTCGGCCCCGCCTCCCGGGCACTGGGCCCCTCCCCAAGTGGGCCCGTCCTAAGCTTCGCCTCCCAGAGTCCGCGCACCGCCTGGCCATGTTCTACGACATAGTCAACGCCCCGCCCCTGCCCCGCCTCCTGAGCCCTTCTCTGGGCCTGGCCTTAGCCCCGCCCTAAGACCTGTCTCCTGGGCTCTGCTCTGGGTCCCGCCTCCTGAATCCAATGGCGTTTATCCGCGCCCTAATGCCCGCCTCCAGGACTCTTATCCTGCCCCCACGCAAGGCACCGCCTCCAGGACGCCACCAACCTGGACGCTTCCGAAGCCCAGCTTCCAGGATCGCCCTATCCTGGCCCTGCCCCAGGAACCGCCAACCTGGACTCTACCCAGGACCTGCCCCGATGTCGCTTATCCTGGCCCTACCCCAGGCCCCGCCCTCCTAACGCTCATCTTGGCCCCGCCCTAGAGTCCGCCCCCAGGACGCACCTCCTGACCCTATCCCCAGGCCCCGCCCCCTCTCTGCCCCCGCGCTCTGCCCTCGGCCCGCCCCCTCTTCAGTCCAGGCCCGGCTTCCTCCAGGTCTCCCGGCAACGGCTGCGGCCTCGCCCACGTTATGGCGCCCGAGGAGAACGCGGGGACCGAACTCTTGCTGCAGGGTTTTGAGCGCCGCTTCCTGGCGGTGCGCACACTGCGCTCCTTCCCCTGGCAGGTGGGCGGCGGGGCGAGCGGAGAGGCCCGCGGGGGTCGCGGGAGTCCAGGGGCAGACGGGATGGGTCTCCGTGCTGAAACCCCCGGCGCTCCGGCCACGTGAGTTCCTGGGCTCTCCTCGGTCAGGGCCGCGAGACCCGGTCCCCGTCCCTGGGGCCTGGCCAGAGTCGCTCGCACCCCTTCTGCCCCGCGAGCTGGCGGCGGAAGCTGGGGGCGTCTCCACCGCCTTAGGGGGTAGACGCGCGCTCCGTGTGGGGTACGGTTCACGATCATTTTCACGACTTTTTAAAGGCAGTAATCGTTCTGGTCACTGGGACACAGCTGCACTCGCCCATTCTAAAAAGTCAGCGCCCTCAGGCCCGCGGGTAACCACCTCCTCCTGAGCGCGGTGACCAGGTCACAGGCTGTCCCTCGTGCCTCAGTGTTCTCATCTGTATGTCGAGCACTGCACAGAATCGGCTCATGCGCTGAGGCTTTCACGCCTGTGATGGAAGAGACAGAGAAGGGGGTGGCCTCTCCTCTCCCTGGGGACCTGCCATTCTCAGCACAGGCACATGGCAGGCAGCAGCCTCCCTTCTGCCAGCAGAGGGGCTTAATGCACCCCGTTCCATTTGTAATTCATGTGCATTGAGCTCACTGGATGAGTCAGTTGGGATATATATTCCTCCCTGGGTCTGCCCCATTTTATGGGGTGTTGCTTAATCATTTGTGTTATTCCATTGACATAAAATATTTAGCACTCAGAGATCATTTCTGGTCAGGAGAAATGTGTGCATTTTTAACCCAAAATAGAAACCTTCATAAAAGCATCATAGGTCTCCATTCAATATTGACTATAATTGTTCACATGCCCACACTGAATGCTAACTTGGGCTCACCCTCAACACCCACCAGGTGGGTACTATTATTATCACTCACATTTGACCAGAGGGATTGTTTGATTAGGGTGAAGTAGTTGAGAGTTCAGACCCAGGAGACAGCCTGCCTGCTTCGAATCCTGGCCCAACCCCTGGCCCTGTGTGACCTTGGGCAAGTGACTGTATCTCTCTGTGCTATTGTTTTCTTATTAATAAAATGGGGGATATAATGATACCTACCTCTTAGGGTTGTTCTCAGCGTTGAGTACAAATGCCTGCGGATCAGTGCCTGGCTCATGGTAAATGCATGTCGGTGTTAGCTAGTGTTTTCTTCAGTCTCAAAATGTTTAATAAATGCCTTCCGTGAGCCAGGCACCATGGATCGGCAGTACCCATGATAGATGAGGCTCTGCTTGCATGGGAGAGACAGAGAATAAATGAATAAACAAGAAAAGACCAGATGAGAGTGGCTTTAAAGCCAATAAAACAGGGAAATGGTGAATGGAGCAACTGGGGAGAACTGTCACCAAAGTCAGGGAATCAGGGAAGCCTTCCCCAAAGAGGTGGCATTTGAACTGGGACCTGAGTGGTGAAGCAGCCAGCCATGGGAAGGGTTTGGGGAACAAGATATGCAAAGGCCCTGTTGTGGAAATAAGCCAGCTGTGGTTGAGGAACAACAGCAAGGCAGCCAGTGTGGCTGGAGTGGAGTGAGCAGGGTGGGCCAGTGGTGAGGGAGAACAGGCCAGAGAGGGGGATTAGCAGCAGGCCTTGTAGGGCCTTTTATGGCATAGAAGGAGCTCTGAAGCAATGAAGTGCCTTGCCATGTGTCACATACCAGCCGAGACAGTCTGCCTAACTCGGGAGCCAAAGCTCACTGCTGGGCTTGAGGCCCCTGTAAGAGGACAATGTAACCCAGGCTGGTATGGGCACATTCTGCATTTCCACTTAAACTCAGATGGCAAGCCCATCAAACCTTGGTGCCATGGCTGCCCTGGTAATTCCTGGCTGACCAGTGTAACCAGGGAGCTGGCCCATGACCTGGGTGGCAGCTGAGTAGCCAGGACTAATGCGACCAAGAGTCAGCCTTCTTCCTGTGACTCATCCAGGTGCACCCTGCGACATCTGAAGGTCAGGCTTTCAGCCGCTGTGGCTTCCACTTCCAACTGGCTCCACGTCCCCAGGGAGGGATCACATAGAGCTTTGCCAACACATTCTATTGCGTGTTTAATGTTCCTGTGAATGGGCCCTTGAGATTTCTCTCTCTCCCATCCACACAGAGCTTAGAGGCAAAGTTAAGAGACTCATCAGATTCTGAGCTGCTGCGGGATATTTTGCAGAAGGTAAGAATCCCAGAGTCCCTGGGACTCATGATCCTGCCTCTTGAATCTCTCCGGAAGACCTGAGAGAAGCAGCACAGGTGTGCTTGTACCCTTTAAAAACAGCCCTCTTCAAAGAACAAAACCATTGAGTCAGCACTTCAGGAGGGTGTCAGCACCTCCGACAGCTCCTACGGTTTCGTTTTCTATGTAAGACTTAGAAAAGACATCAGAATATACAAAATTCTGCAAGAGGGGGGAAATCTAGGGAATGTTTTTTAAACCATCCACAGCAAAAACAGAGATGACAGGTGCAAAACAGCTTCTAGCATTTGGTAGATGCTCAGAGACTTTCTTTTTTGCATTCATGAGGCCTGTCCCGCCCACTCCTGTCTCTTCTAGACCTAAATGGGCCCTTGCTTTGCCCAGGGTGGGGTTTGGACTCAAGTGCATCTGCATGCAAGTGAGAGCCAGGATCACCACCTGGCCCAGCCACAGGCTGACCTTGGCATTGAGGGCCAAGTGCAGATCACCCTGCATCCTGGGTCTTCACCTTCAAAGAGCCATGAGCCCTTCTGAAAAGACAAAGCAATAGACTCCCTCCCAGAAAGAAGTGCACCAGAATACATTTTCCATACAAACTCAGGGGAGGCAGACATCCTCCACGCCCACCCACCCAGCCCATCCTAGGAGCCCCGGTGAAGAATTCCTGTGCTAGAGATGAACCAAGATTATCCACGTGGAAAAGATGCAGCCACAGCAGGGAAGACTTTCGGGGCAATACAGTAGGTCAGGGCTTCGAGCATGGAGATACCTGAAGTTATCTCGCACCTTGCTCTGAGTTTCACCCTGAGCCTCACTCTCATAGGTGGTGAAGCATGAGATGTAGGGAGAGCTGCTTTAAAACCCAGCACAAGGCTGGTTGTACTGGCTCACACCTGTAATCCCAGGTCTTTGGGAGGCTGAGGTGGACGGATCACCTAAGGTCAGGAGTTCAAGACCAGCCTAGCCAACATGGCAAAAACCCATCTCTACTAAAAATAAAAAAAAATTAGCTGGGTGTGGTGGTGCACGCCTATAGTCCCAGCTACTCGGGAGGCTGAGGCAGGAGAATCGCTTGAACCCAGGAGGTGGAGGCTGCAGTGAGCCAAGATCGGGCCACTGCACTCCAGCCTGGGCAACAGAGCGAGACTCTGGGTCAGAACAAATGAAAAACCAGCAACAGCATGAAGAGCCTGTGTATTGCCTGGGGTACTTTGCTGCCCTTGGGCAGAATCTGCATCCCTCCCAGCCAGCAGGCGCTGCGGACGGTCTCCTCCCTCTCCCTCCAGGCTCCTGTTTTCCCGCCGTCCCCACTCCTGCTGCACCAGTCCCTCTGCCCTCCGTTCCAAGTGCCAGCCCGTGGCCACCTCAGAGCTTGCACAGGCTGTTCCCACTGCCTGGAACTTGCTCATCCTGCACTTGGCTTCTCTCGGCTTTAGTTGGAGTCACCCTGAGCTTCCCCTCCCCTCCATCCTGTCCCCAGGGACACACGCTCCCAGAGAGCAGTTGCTGAGTGGGCCTTCCCGCCTCTTCCATAAAGCCAGATAGTTGGCGACTGACCTTACTGCAAACCCTGGTTCACACTGGCTCCCCTGGGAGGGAGGTGGTTTGGGCCCACATGCCCTGTGTTCCTGCTCAGAATGGGCATTAGAAATGCTGCCATAGCCTGTGCCACTGCAGTGGAAGCATTTTTAGGAAACGGCTTATATCTTAAGACAAACTTCAGATGCATGGGGCCAGAACGCTGTGTCCATCTGCATCTTTGCTGAGGGATCGGGTAGCCTGGAGTTTGCCCTCTGCTGTGTTGGCTTGAAGCTCATAGGAGACTTAAGACGGGCTCTCAAGCAACCAACGTTCTGTCCTTTGCCGTAGACTGTGAGGCATCCTGTGTGTGTGAAGCACCCGCCGTCAGTCAAGTATGCCTGGTGCTTTCTCTCAGAACTCATCAAAAAGGTCAGTTATAGGCAGTGTCCGCCCAGTAGCTGGACAGCATAGCCACCGGCGTGCTGCACACTCCGTCCTTCCCAGGCCCTGGGCCTGCTTTGCAAACCCCAGCATGGCAGGGCCCTCCCCAGGCAACTGGCTGCAGCTGAGTGTGACCCATGGGAGACAGTGCAGGGTGGGAATAAGGGGAGGCCAGCATCTCTCCCTGAGTCTGCCCTCTGGGGTTTCCACAGCAGCTGCTTCTCTGGGGCCTCAGCTCCTAGCATATGGATTCTCATTCCTACCAGGCTGGACCAGCCCACAGCACTGGAACCATCACCCACACCCTCTGTCCTGCCCACCAAAGGGTTTGGAGTTTCCTGCTCTTGTCCATCTCTGGGTTGCCCCACGGGCCCCTGTTGGAAGTTTTAGCTCTTGCCATACCTTTGGAACTAGTTCCTCTGGTGAATTCTCTGCATTGATCCTGCTGGAATGAGCTCTTTCCTGACTGATATAGGATGGATTTTATTTTTTACTTATTTATTTATTTATTTATTTATTTATTTATTTATTTATTTATATATTTTTTTTGAGACAGAGTCTCACTGTGTTGCCCAGGCTGGATTACTGTGGCACAATCTCGGCTCACTGAAACCTCTGCCTCCTGGGTTCAAGCAGTTCTCGTGCCTAGCCTGCTAAGAAGCTGGGACTACAGGCACATGCCACCATGTCTGGTTAGTTTTTGTATTTTTAGTAGAGACAGAGTTTCACCATGTTGGCCAGGCTCATCTCGAACTCCTGACCTCAGGTGATCCGTCTGCCTCGGCCTCCCAAAGTGCTGGGATTACAGGCATGAGCCACCGCACCTGGCCTAGGATGGATTTTAAAGATGGGCCCGAACATGCAGGGTTTGACATGAGGATGTCGAGAGGCCATTCCTTAGTAGGCAGTAGCAGACCTGCTGAGTGAAAGGGCCACACTTTTAACAAATAAACAATCCCCTGCTTCTCCAATACCTGCTTTCTCCCTAGTTCTCCCCAAAAGGGTGCATCTCTGGTCACCAGCAGGTCTGCCCTGTGCCACCACGAGAGGGCAGCAGTCACCCAGTGTACCCTGCTGCTGCCCTGTGAATCCTAGGACTGGGCCAGCTGTGGAGAAGCAGCCTGCTGACAGCCACAGCCTGCAGCATGGGCCGCCCTCACAGTTCTGCCTGGGCTCACTTAAAAGCACCTTTTGTTTTCCTCCTCTCTGTGTTTGATCCAAACACAGAGCTCTCTGTCATGGTCATGTGGCAGCTCTCACGGAATCCTTGTCTCCTGCCCTAGACTACACCTAACCCTACCCTCTCAACACCTCTTGTTGAAAGCCCTCCCATCCAGGTTTCCCTACCAAGTGGAATAATTTTTTTTTTAGAGACAAGATCTCTGTTGCCCAGGCTGTCCTCGAACTCCTGGGCTCAAGCAGTCCTCCCACGTCAGCCTTTAGAGTAGCTGGAACTATTCGACACACACCACCACGCCCAACGAAGTGAGTATTTTATATACCAGCTGGCCGGTATTACACCATTCCATCCCAAATCTCCCCTCCAAACTTGGTGAAAATCATCTGGCCATTTTTACAGATTAGAACGAAAGCAAACAAGCTCTCACTCTGTCTGCCCCCAGCACGAGGCTGTCCACACGGAGCCTTTGGACAAACTGTACGAGGTGCTCACGGAGACTCTGATGGCCAAGGAGTCCACCCAGGGCCACCGGAGCTATTTGCTGGTATGAGAAAGGCACCCTCCTCCCCCTCACAGCCCAGATACCCTTCCTGCACAGACAAAGTGAAAACGTGGGTGTGGGTTCAAATCCTGACTCACCCATTCTGCAGTCTTAGACATGAGGTCCATTAACCTTCTTTAGCCTCAGTTTCCCTGTCTGTAAATCAAGCACTTCAACAACAACAGCATGTCTCGTGGGGTTGTTGGGCATTTGTCCAATAGGTGACACACACTACCTGCTTCACAAGGACCTGGTGCCCAGTCCTCAAAGAATACTTGACAGGGCTGGACATGGTCTCTCATGCCTGTAATCCCAGCACTTTGGGAGGCCAAGGCGGGTGGATCTGAGGTCAGGAGTTCGAGACCAGCCTGGCCAATATGGTGAAACCCTGTCTCTACTAAAAATACAAAAATTAGGCCAGGCGTGGTGGCTCATGTCTGTAATCCCAGCACATTGGGAGGCTGAGGCAAGGGGATCACCTGAGGTCAGGAGTTTGAGACCAGCTTGGCCAACATGGTGAAAATCCATCTTTACTAAAAATACAAAAATTAACGGGGTGTGGTAGTGGGCGCCTGTAATCCCAGTTACTCGGGAGGCTGAGGCAGGAGAATCTCTTGAACCCGGGAGGTGGAGGTTGTAGTGAGCCGAGATCGTGCTATTGCACTCCGGCCTCGGCAACGAGAGTGAATCTGTGTCTCAAAAAAAAGTACAAAAATTAGCTAGACATGGTGGCACACGCCTGTAGTCACAGCTACCTGGGCAGGTGAGGCAGGAGAATTGCTTGAACCCAGGAGGCAGATGTTGCAGTAAGCCAAGATCGTGCCACTGACTCCAGCCTGGGTGACAGAGCTCAAAAAAAAAAAAAAAATGAGATAAAACATAGATACAGAAAACCACAAAGGAAAAACATAGCATATTGAATCATCACAAGGCAGCCACCTCTTCATAGCCACACCTGGCCCCTGGCCACCACTGACCTGTGCTCCATCGCCAGAATTCCGTTGTCTCAGGAATGTTCAATAGATGGAATCCTGTGTGGCCTGAGATGAGTGTCTTTCATGCCGCGTGACACCCTTGAGGCCCGTGCAACTGTTGGTATGTCAACAGTTAGCTGCTTCTCATTGCTGAGTGGCGATTGGTCCTGTCATGGTTTATTCAGCCATGTGGTGGATGGCTACTTGTCTTCTAAGCCACTTGCCTTCTGATCGCTGGACTGACTCTCTCGCCCTCTCTTGGTGCAGTCCTCAGGAGGCTCAGTCACACTCTCCAAGAGCACAGCCATCATCTCCCACGGTACCACAGGCCTGGTCACATGGGATGCCGCCCTCTACCTTGCAGAATGGGCCATCGAGAACCCGGCAGCCTTCATTAACAGGTGACCTTGGGGCACAGGGCAGGGCACCGAGGCAGGCTTACCCTGGTGCAGTCGAAAACACGGTCCCCTTTCCTCCCGCCAGGACTGTCCTAGAGCTTGGCAGTGGTGCCGGCCTCACAGGCCTTGCCATCTGCAAGATGTGCCGCCCCCGGGCATACATCTTCAGCGACCCTCACAGCCGGGTCCTCGAGCAGCTCCGAGGGAATGTCCTTCTCAATGGCCTCTCATTAGAGGCAGACATCACTGGCAACTTAGACAGCCCCAGGGTGACAGTGGCCCAGCTGGACTGGGACGTAGCAATGGTCCATCAGCTCTCTGCCTTCCAGCCAGATGTTGTCATTGCAGCAGGTAATGCCCAGCCCCGGGCATCCTGTGCAGGCGGTGTCCTTGCAGCTCTACCCAGCTCTTGGCTCTGGGAAAAGGGAACAATGGACACTGTCGGGCATGGATGTGATGGGGCTTCCAGAAGAGTTACTCTGGGCCTCCAGGGTGACATCAAAGGACAGGGGTGCCTCTTAAGGTGACCTTCAAGCCACAGCCCTGTTGTTGGAGACAGGCATACTACAGTTACAGTCGTCACCACATGGCTCTGTCCCAGAGCCATGCCCTGTGTCCTTCAGAGACCGCAGGAGGAAAACAACCACTTCTGGTACGAGGTCAGGGCCCTTGAGAGAAGGTGCTGTTTGGCTGGGCCACCGAAAACCCCTCACCCCTGTGAGCACACTCAGTCCCCTCTCTGGTGGAACAGAACTCTGCCTGTAGTCCTGGGTCCCAGCCCTGAAACCCACAGGTCCAGCGGTGGCCAGGGACACAGGCCCACCCCTGCAAGCCAGCAGACCAATCGGCAGACACCTGAAACACGAAGTTCACGGCAGGGTCAGGCTTTCTGTCATTGAAAGCCCTCTAGACAGGCCGAGAACCAGAGCTGGTTTTTTAAGGACACCAGTGAGTCTGGAGATTTTTTTCTTTTGCTTCGGTCTTTTGCAGCTTTCTCTAATAAGGGTTCTCCTTTTTCACCCAAATAATTGCCTTTCCATCTAATGGCCCAAATGGTCAAATGGCATCTAATAGTCTCATATGACCGCTGCCTCTCTGGCCTCGCCCTGCTGCTGAGGTCAGCATGAACTGGAACTTTCCACTTGTCCCTTTCAGTAACCTGAAACTTTCACCGTAGACGTGCTGTATTGCCCAGAAGCCATCGTGTCGCTGGTCGGGGTCCTGCAGAGGCTGGCTGCCTGCCGGGAGCACAAGCGGGCTCCTGAGGTCTACGTGGCCTTTACCGTCCGCAACCCAGAGACGTGCCAGCTGTTCACCACCGAGCTAGGTGAACCCCCACGCCCACCCGGGCCTACATGGTGCCCGAGCTGTCCCTGCAGGACTCCAGTGGAAGTGAAAGAACTGGGCGCTGGGGAAAAGCTAGGATGCTCCACACTCCCACACTATGCGGGGAACTCGGGCAGAGGCCGGTGAGCAGGGTGGGCTCGGGGCGTGGGGGGCTTGAGGCAGGAGGAGGACACCTCAGCACAGGGAGGGAGGGTCTGAGCCCAGCAGCCCTACTATGTGCTTCAGAGCAGGGTTCCCTAAGCCCTTGGGCCTCGGTTTCCTCATCTATAAAATGGAGGTGGCGGGAGCGGCAGTCGGGGTCAGGGCTGGACACAGCTGTGGACTGCAGGACGCTGGAGCACAGGCTGTACAGGCGGATCC
Source organism: Homo sapiens (assembly GCF_000001405.40). Taxonomy (NCBI): domain Eukaryota; kingdom Metazoa; phylum Chordata; class Mammalia; order Primates; family Hominidae; genus Homo; species Homo sapiens. The sequence goes on along the minus strand of NC_000008.11, from coordinate 12,184,995 downwards.
ACCACGCCACTGTCCTGAGCACCCAGTTGATGGAAGACGAGCAGGGTGACTATAGAGAAGGGAAACTGGCCCCGTAGTGGGCCAGCCACTGTCCTCAGACCTGACATTTGTCAACCCCCAGCACCTGTGAGGGTGTGCTGTCATTGTCCCATCTCACCGACAAAGACACTAGGACACACAGAGGCCAAGTGACCCCCGAGCTCCCGCAGACTGCAGCCCGGCCACCTGGCTCTCGTGCCTCCACACTACACCCAAGCCCCCCATTGCCACCAGCCTCTGCCCCAGCTCCCCCTGAGCACAGCCCCTCCTGGCAGCCATGTGCACAGATGTACCCGCAGCAGCCTCTGCCTGTACACAGAGACATGGATGACCCAGTGCCTGTCCACGTGGGGCAGCCCATTAACTACAGAGTCAACAAACAAGCCAGCACATGAAGGCATACTGGGTTCCATGACAGAGTCCCACACAACCTCGCACAGGAGGCTGGCCGGGCGCGGGGCTCAGGCCTGTCATCCCAGCACTTTAGGAAGCTAAAGCAGGAGGACTACTTGACCCCAAGTGTTCAAGACCAACTTGGGCCACATAGTGGGACCCCATCTTCACAAAACATACAGAAACTAGCCAGATGTGGTTGCACACACCTGTAGTCCCAGCTACTCGGGAGGCTGAGGTGGGAGGATGGCTTCAGCCCATGAGGTGGAGGCTGCAGTGAGCCCTGATCTCACCACTGCACTCCAGCGTGGGTAACAGAGCAAGACCCTGTCTCAAAAAAGCAAAAAAGCAAAAAAAAAAAAAAAAAAAAAAAAAAAGGAAGTCTTTCTTCAGATACTTACGTGAAAAAAAACCTGCAATATCTTTTAAGTGAAAAAAACAGTGCCAAGCAGCACACATAGTATAAGCCTCAACCAACCTTTTTTTTTTTTTTGAGACAGAGTCTGGCTGTGCCCGGCCACTTTCTAAGCTTTGTGAAGAGTGAGTTGACTGAGCAGCCAGGGAGATGTGGGTTCAGATCTCTGCTTCTGTCCTGCTGTGCCAAGTGCTGGGGCAGACGCAGGCACAGAGTGGACAGCGGCATGGTGCCTGCTGCTAGCCATTTCTATGCAAAACCAGAGTTCTGGTCCCATCCTGGAGGCGAATTCTAGGTATGTGGGTGGGCCTCGGAACCTGTGAACCAAGTAAACTGACTTAGACACCCCCCACCCCGCCAGGCCTGTCCTAGCAGCCCCACACAAAACGCTCATGTCCTGTCCCCAAACACCGCCATCCTCAAACACGTGCTTTGTTTCCAGGCCGGGATGGGATCAGATGGGAAGCGGAAGCTCATCATGACCAGAAACTGTTTCCCTATGGAGAGCACTTGGAGATGGCAATGCTGAACCTCACACTGTAGGACTCACACATGACTCCAAAGGGATTGTGAGAATCAAGTCACTCTCGTGGGAAGAATTTTTATATGGGAAAGTGGATAAAACTTTCATTGGACTGGAATGTTTGGAGATTATTAAACTCCAAATCAGGAATCAAAACTGCCCTCTAATAAGACATTAGCTGTCTAGGCGTGTGGGTGCCCCCTTTCTGCCAGCAGTTCTGGTTCTCAAGAAAATCATCATAAATCAGACATGAAAATTCTAGCTCCAAAAATAGCATTTTCTTTCTGCAAATAAAAACGTGTGTATCAAGGATGACGTTCCCCCAACGTGGACACACTCGGTTCCTCAGAAAGCCAAGCCCGCTGCAGCTGCCACATCCCTGGACACACTCGGTTCCTCACAAAGCCAAGCCCGCTGCAGCTGCCACATCCCTGGACACACTCGGTTCCTCACAAAGCCAAGCCCGCTGCAGCTGCCACATCCCTGGACACACTCGGTTCCTCACAAAGCCAAGCCCGCTGCAGCTGCCACATCCCAGGGCTTATGGTGCAGCAGGCGCTTTTTTCAAGACAGGAATGAAAGTGTTAGGAACACGGCAGAAAGGTGACACCTGGAGACCAAATGCAGGATGAGGAGTACTGCAGAGGTCACAGGGAAGTCACAGAACAGTAATACGCTAGCAGGGGCATGGGGCATGAAGAACAGAAGACAGGAAGCATTTCAGAGACTCCAAAGAAGAAATCAGGGCCAACCACAGCTTCCCGGGTCATTCACCAGGTGACACCACTGCCGTCATTTCAGCTTCTGGCCACTGGGAGGCGCTGCTCGAAAGGCTTTGCCCTGAGACTCCAAGAAGCTGCGGGAAGGACAGCAGGGGCCCTGGGGTTTTAGCCTCTGGCCCAGGAGTTATGTGTCCATAACCAAAGGGAGCACAGTCTGCACCCAGCTCTCATCCCATCAGAGCTGCTGAGACTCTTGCAGGTTCTTCCAGAACTGGCTTAGCTTGCCTGCAGGATCAGAAAAGTTTGAGAAAAGCATCTGCAAAATGCTAAAGAGCAGAGCTTAACTCATTGCCTGTCCCCACCCCATCCCAGGTCACCACTTGGATGACCCCAGGTCCCCGACCCAACAACAACCCCTCCCAAGTCCCTAACTCCCTCACTTGGACTTGAGACCCTTCACAACCCCCCTCACTTGGACTTGAGACCCTTCACAACCCAGCAGCGCTCCACTTCCAACTTGACATCATGCTTTCTGGAAACTTCCCCGTATGTCCCACTTTCCCACACTTGGTGCCCTGGAGCACCTTCCGGCCTCTACATGCTGTACGTTCCCCTGTGAGCACCCTCCTCTCGGCCTCTGGCCAACACAGTCCCACCCATCTGTGGGTAACAAGGGGGTGTGGGTGTTCTTTTCAGCCTTGCTAAACTGTCTGAATCAAGGATCACAAACTACAGCCTGCAGGCCAAATCCAGCCCACAGCCTGTGTTTGTAAATAAAGCTTTGTTGGAACAAAGCCACACCCCTTAATCTACAGATGATCTGTGGCTACTTTCACACCACAACAGAGTACCATGGTTCTGACAGAGACTGGGGTACCCTGTCTAAATGACTTCTGACCTGGACATTTACTGAAAATCCTCCCAATCATTCTGTTGACAAGAATGATGTATTACTTTTTGCAATAAGAAACAAGTAACCTTTGCAGAATTCCACCCATCTTTCAAGGCTGGTCCCAGAAGTTCCCTTTGCCCACGCACCTACCTGATCCGATCACTTCCTAAACTGCAGCCCGGCCCACCCGGCTCCAGCATCGTTTATGGAGTGTCAGCTCCATAAATCCAGAGGGCAGGTGGGGTTGTGTCCTAACTTTCCCGAGCCTACTGTACCGAAATGGGACAGCAGAGTAGGAGGCCTCTGTGACTTCTGCTCCCCCACTAGCTTTTCCACCAGACCCCCCATGGTCCCACCCTGGCTGTGGGAAGCAGGGATCAGGGAGCGTGGCTCGATGCCAGTCTCCAGAACCCTGCCCACCCTGGCGTGGTGGCAGACATGGCTACCTGCAGCTGAGCTGCCAGTTCCTCTGACTCCTCAAAGATCAGGCCATTTTCTACATGTTTCACCAGCTCATGTAAACTGCAGACAGAACCAAGGGAGCCTGAGAGCTGCCTGGGGAAGACACCAGACTCCTGGGGTGCCCAGCTGGGATCCCACCCACCCCACGCTCAAGCCAGGCTGGGGTTTGGAACAGGGGGTGTGGTTTCTGGGAGCTGGTTCTTAGATTTGGCATCTGAAGGGTATAAAGGCCTGGGGGGGTGCACATCAAAATGACCAAACCGATTTGAGGAGGGAGCCTTAAGGAAGGTTTGTACCTTCTGTGCTGGATGCTCTTCAAGTACTGAAGAATTACTTTTGCATGTTTTTCTTAATTCCATGGCCATGGAACAAGTAAAGGCAACCCCCTGGGGACTGGTTCAGCACATAAAAGATGACTTTTCTAGGACACCAGATTTGATCCCCACATTCCCTGAGCTCAGCTCACACGAGGGGCTCGCATCCCTGAATCCCATCCAGGAGCCGGCTGCTGAGCAGGGGCCAAGGGCTCAACTTGTGCTGGGGCTACTGCTTCTAGAATCTCCTCTAATGCCACCCTTCCAAACACCCGTCTATGCTGGGTGGAGTGAGGCCACAGCATGACACTCATTTAACTCATTCAAACCCACCATGTGAGCTTGGCCAAAAGGGACATGGTGGGAGAGAAAAACAAAGAAAACCATGTAAGCCTGCAGGCATTTCCCGCCAATTCTACTCTAGGAGCAAAAGCCCCGAGTGGAGTTCTAGTATTTAAGGTGCTTTATTTTTTTTTCATATTGGGTTGGTGCAAAAGTAATTTTCAGTTTTAATGGCAAAAACCGTGATTACTTTTGTACCAACCTAAATATAGCATGAGCTCTAAATGGAAGCACCTACTTCAGTGAGGCTCAGCCCAGCCACAGTAACCGCAGGGCTCCTCCTCGTGGCCTCCAGTGTGTGCTGGACTGACCAAGGGGCAGGGCCTCACTTTGGGCAGCTCACTCTGCACTGCTTCCCCGTCAGCGGTGGATCTGTGAAGCTATCCCCAGAAAGATTCGGGTTCTGCTCCTACCACTTGAAGTTCACGGCACACGCAGGCAAACAGCACCTGAACATGTCCACCACCTTCATGGGCAGGTCCAGGCCACTGGAGGATGTGTCCAGAGAGACACCCAGGTCCACCAACCCTGCTAGGCAAGAGGGGTGGGTCAGAGTGCTGGTCTCTGCCCTGGGAACACAAATCCTCCCAGCACAGTGAGACAACATCCCCCGAGGGGAGTGAAAATTGGATAAGGCCCCCGACAGCCCCAAGCACAAGTGGCTTAAGCTGGCCAAGCAGCCACACGGCCTGGCTGGGACATCTGAAAATGTAAGTTGACACTTTTTCTACGTAACCACAATTTGTTTTTTTGTTGTTGTTGTTTGTTTTGTTTTGAGACAGAGTCTCACTCTGTCACCCAGGCTGGAGTGCAGTGGCACAATCTCAGCTCCCTGCAACCTCCACCTCCCAGGTTCACCTCCCGCCTGTAATCCCAGCATTTTGGGAGGCCAAGGCGGGTGGATCACCTGAGGTCAGGAGTTCAAGACCAGCCTGGCCAACATGGTGAATCCCCATCTCTACTAAAAATAAATACAAAATTAGCGATGTTAATCCGTGGCATGTGCCTGTAATCCCAGCTACTCAGGCGGCTGAGGCAGGAGAATCGCTTGAACCTGGGAAGGCAGAGGTTGCGGTGAGCGAAGATCGCGCCATTGCACTCCAGCCTGGTCTACAAGAGCGAAACTCCGTCTCAAAATAATAATAATGATAATAATAATAATAATAATAATAAACCATAACACACCCACCACAAACCAGCTGTCAGTGTGAAAATAAAGCCAAATAGCTTAACATTTCTAAAGACTACCTGGGGCCAGGCATGATGGGTCACGCCTGGAATCCCAGCACTTAGGGAGGCCAAGGCGAGAGGATCACTTGAGGTCAGGAGTTCAAGACCAGCCTGGACAACATGGTGAAACCCTGTCTCTACTAAAAATACAAAAATAAGCCAGCTGTTGTGGTGGACTCCTGTAATCCTGTAATCTACTTGGGAGGCTGAGGTGGGTGAATCGCTTGAACCCAGGAGGCGGAGGTTGCATGAACTGAGATCGTGCACTCCAGCCTGGGCAACGGAGCAAGACTGTCTAAAACAAAGACTAGCTGGAGAATCCTGCCAGGAAAAAGCCCTCAGACTCCAACTGTTCTGCTCACTGGAAGGTGGAAGATGCAGCTCTAGAGACGCATCAGGACCAAGCCACGACTCCCCACTTGGAGAAATCAACGGGGAAAGAGATGCAGGCAAAGGAGAACCATCTCACTGGGAGAGGCGACGCTGTTTGACACATCGTCCCTGTTCCTCCCAAAGCCACTGCCCTCCCACACCTGGGCAACAGTGGCCCCAAACCCAGGCCCAGCCCTCCTGCAGGAAGGAAGAGGACTGAATGGAGGGCGTGGCAGACTGAAAGGACGTGGCCTCCTCAAACCCCTTGGTAAAGGGCCTCTGGGGCGACCTGGCAGGGAGGGGCTGGCACACCAGGAAGTAGCCTCCTCCCGGGAGTTCAGCCAGAGCCCATGTCCTGTCCCCAAGTGGCCTCCAGAGCCACCTTTTCAGAAAAAGTACATCATGCCCACCCCTGCTCCCCCTGCTTAAGGCCCCGCCTCCTCCCTGAGCCTCCTGCTGGCCTCTCACCTAGAAGCGGGGGTAGTCCTTGGCCCTGCAGTCAGGGGGTGCAGACCTGGATCTGCTGGAAATGCTTCTGGTGGATGAGGCGGCTGTAATACTCCCTCAGAGGCCTTTTGCCTTCACAGAGAAGAGCAGACACTGCCATGGACCCGTCTCTGTCCCTGCCACGTGGCCCCAGGCCCAAGACACTCCCCCTAGGAGGGATCCTTTCCCCAGAAGCTCCACCCCTCGGCAGCTCCAGTCAGGCCCCATCTGTGCCCTTCCAGAAGCAACCCAGGAGCCCCGAGACCTGCAGGGATGTGTGCACCCTGACCCCTGACGCCTAGTCCTGCACCTGCAGCCAGCTGGCCTCGGGCTGCAAACATGGCGGGGTAAGCACTGGCCTGGCACCCGACCGCCCACTGGGTGGACCCAGCCTTCTGTCTGTGTTGTGCGCAGGGGACACGAGGACTCCCCCTGCCCTGGCACAGCCCCCAGAGCACATGGCGCAGGTTCCAAGCTGCCCCTGCCTTGCCACAGCCCCCAGAGCACATGGTGCGGGTTCCAAGCCGCGCCTGCCTTGCCACAGCCTCCAGAGCACACGGCGCAGGTTCGAAACCACTCCTGGGAGCCTAGAGGCCAAAGGAGGGAGGAGAGCAGGACCAGCAGCTGGCCCAGACCCCGCCTCTTCCCACACCACTTCCGCTTTTCTCCCTCCTCACTGACTCACCTTGAAAGGGCTCAGCAGCCGTAACTGAGGGACAGGGGCTCTTCCGTTTGAAAAATTAAAAGAGGCTTGGTTAAGGCACCAATGACATGACCGGGCCCAATGGCTCATATCAATAATTCCAGCATATTGGGAGGCCAAGGCGGGTGGATCACCTGAGGTCAGGAGTTCAAGACCAGCCTGGCCAACATGGCAAAACCGTGTTTCTACTAAAAATACAAAAATAAGTTGGGTGTGGTGGGCACCTGTAGTCCCAGCCACTCGGGAGGTTGAGGCATGAGAATTGTTGAATGTGAGACGTCGAGGTTGCAGTGAGCTGAGATCACACCACTGCACCTCAGCCTGGGCACAGAGATTTTGTCTCAAAAAAAAAAAAAAAAAAAAAGACACCAACGAAGAAACAAGAAAAATAAAAGATGCTTGGAAACTACTGAAAAATTAGAAAGTTTGGTATCTACAGATTCACATCTGGGCTCCCTGCCCTGCTGTGAAACTCTCTGAGCCTCAGTTTCCCACATGTAAAGCAGTATAAGACTCTATGGCAGAGAACTGCAGTGAGGATTAAGGAGACAAGATCGTGGCAAGCACAGGGTAAAGGCGACGTACCCCTCCCTGGACTCCAATACCTAGAGTCGCAAGACGAGCTGAAAAAGGAGCCAGGCACTGAAGGACAAAGCGGTGTTGACTTTGTTCATCTGTGTTTCCCAGTGCGGTCCAATTGACGGTGGTTTCCAAGCGCCTCCTGGAGGAGAAAACACATGAGGGTGTGGTCAGGGTTCTCTGCTGACAGACCTACCGTGGGGAAGAAAGAGAAACTCTGAAGATGGATCATGGCCATGACTGCATGTCAAGGAGAATCTCCTTGAAGACACTGAGGCCTACGTCGAGGTAGAGTAAATATGGTCCAATTAAAAGGTGTCTATTTTACCACATTTTTTAAAACAAAACAAAACACAAAAACAAAAAAGATGGAAAAAAAGACAAGGGTACAGGCACCAGTGTTACATGTCTGACGGGGAACATCTATTCTTCAAAGCTTGCAGCTGTACACGTAGGTTTTAGAACGTCTGTCAGCAGTGGACATGATCTTAGAGTGGGCTGTGCAGATAGACCTTTCCGGGACATGTAATTGGATTAAGTTAATTGCAATTAACTTACATGTAACTGATTAGGTTAGGGTACGTTCCACGTCAGGTGACCAGAGGCAGTATAAAAGGCAGCCTGGAAAGCAGAGGTCCTTCTCCGCCCCTTCCTCCGTCTTCCTGGATGCTGCATCACTTCCAGGGGGGCTGCTCCAGCACCTGCCCATCTCAGCGCCAGCCGGTGAAAGAAAGTAGACGTGTAATTTCAGGTTAGTTTCACTGTACAGTTGTTTTTTTCACGCAATCCCTGAGGGGTGGGTGGGAAGAGACAAAGGACGCCGAGAGAAACCGATCACACTGGGCCTTGCTGATGGGGTAGGATGTGTTCTCGTTACTAGTAATTCTTGGAACAGAAAACGAGAAAGCATTTCCGTCTCCACGTGTGGGAGAAGACCAAGATGGGAATGTGAAAAGAAATGTACTGCAGCATGCTGAATTGGTGGGTAAATGGAAAAAGGACTTTGGAAAAAAGGGTGGTTTGCCCTTCAGCGGTGTAAGACGTCGATACGATATGGCACTTATTCACCGTTTGTTTAGATGAATTCGTGTGGCACGTGTAAAATACCAGAAAAATAAATAAAGAGGGGCTGGAGCTAAAGCCAAAAAGATAGAACAGGAAAGACCATCACCTGCTAGTGTGGTAGAGAGGAAGATAACTTCTCTCTATGAATTTGTGTTTGGAAGTCGCCTAATGAAATGGCAAGAGTAGCGATTCAAGTTGTGACAGGAAGCATCCCTTATCCCAGATTTCAAACAGACCTGCCAAAGGGTGACAAATGCCATGCCCTGTGGCTTCGATCATTCTGTCCGTCAAGGGAGATAGAATCATCGTGTCTTCTACCGGAGTGAATCGTAATAGACCTAAGTCCAGTCTCCAGAATCAGTTGTTAGTTTGGAGTTGAAAGCTCAACTCCCCATACCTAGGCCACAGGCCCTGTGGCAGGCGAAGTTTACTCTTGGACTAGGTAATCATGGCAGAGGAACACACAATATCTGAGGATGCACACAGCACATTGTGTTCCACAGATTTGACCGACTGGTGGTGAGGTCTCCTCATGACCACACCGGCAAGGAGTTAGCGGGGGGCTTCCTGTGGGTGTGTGAATATCCAACGTGCTTAACCATCCACATGTGTGTGTTTGTGTGTGTTTCAGGTGACCCAACAGTCAACCCCTGAAAAAGGCGGTCACAAAACCCCCAGGAGACGAAGATGACGGCACGTCGTGACCCCAAACCTGGGGCAAAGAGACTGGTGAGAGCCCAGACCCTCCAGAAGCAGCGGAGGGCCCCAGTTGGGCCAAGGGCTCCCCCGCCCGATGAAGAAGATCCCAGGGTAAGTCTAGCCCTGGATCTCTTGGGTATCGGGGTGGGGGTGGGGACGGGGGGAGGGGCTATCACACGGTCCTCAGAGACTGGGTTGGATTCCAAAGAGTTCTGTCACCACCACCCAGGTTGCTTTTCCCATCCAAGGTGGGCGTGGCTTGGGACCTCCTCCGCGGCCCGATAGGCCCCTTGAGAGACTCTTGGGGGCAACCTCCCTTTCTATTTAGAGTCCTGTGTAGCCACGTTTGGCTGTGCTGTTGACATCGGGTTCACCATCGTGCCCCTTAGAACCTTGAGTCCTGCCTTTTAGAGTTCCTCCGTCACATGGGCTTTGGGAGGGAACATCGCATCCGAACTCTCCCAGCACTTAATGGCCCCCATGCTGGTGTCCCCTCTTTGGAATCCTTATTCAGCTCTGAATTCACAATCCGTCTCAATGTTGACGTGGGATCGCTGCCTGTGGCTTCAGCTCACTCACTGACATCACTTCCTTTCCACCCACAGCTCAAGTGCAAAAACTGCAGGGCCCTTGGCCACACGGTCAGAAGTACCAGGTGCCCCATGAAGTGCTGGAAGGCAGCCCTGGTTCCACCGACCTTGGGGAAAAAGGAAGGGAAGGAAAACCTGAAACCATGGAAGCCCCAGGTTGAAGCCAACCCGGGGCCCTTGAACAAGGATAAGGGAGAGAAGGAAGAGAGACCAAGGTGAGCAGTGGGAGGGGTTTTCACCACTCTTAGGGTACTGCCTCCTAAGGACATGGTGTCTCTGCACCTGCACACCGTGTGCCTTTCCGTCTCCGGGCCAGGGAAGGAACGCTGCAGAGAAATAGGCCGGAGCTCCGTGTCCTCCGGCGTTCCACACCCAGGAGTTCCTTTGGCTCTGGGAGATTCAGGGACGGGGAGAGGCGGGGGTGCTTCGTGCAGATTCCCCACGACAGGGGGAAAAGCGATGGAATCCAAATCACAGTCCTTAGTTAGGAAGCCTAGAGGGCCACCTGGAGGATGGGAAGGTTGGCACGTGAGGGAAGGTGCAGAGGCGGAAAGGGCACCAGATGTCCATTTCTGTATCACAAAACACGGAATGGGACTGAGCCCCAGACAGGGTTCTCCCTGTCTCCTGGGGAAAACCAGGGGCCATGGCCTGACCTTTTTCTGTTCTGCAGGCAACAAGACCCGCAGAGAAAGGCTCTCCTCCACATATTTTCCGGGAAACCTCCAGAGAAGCTGCTGCCAAATCGAAAAGGATCCACGGAATCTTCTGTTTTTCTGAGGGTGAGTGTCACCCTGGGCCCCTGGTCTTTTTGTCCTCTAGGTCACCCTGGTTGATTTCCTTTCAGCTTCCCGTCTGCGGGAGGGAATCGGGGAACCCCTCTTTCTTGCCTTCTTGGGGTCAGGGACTTCACGATCCTTCCAGGTCAATTTGATTCCAGGCGAAGGCATCTGAAGATGCCGTATTTCCTGTTGCTTTCTTTCTGTCCAATTATGGCAAGCCTGCCAACAACATGTTCCTAGCGGCATGAGGAAATTTGTCCCTCAGAGGCCCCAAACATGGAGAAGGCTAAACTCTGGAACATGCATGTGTTCAGAGAAGACGTCCTGAGTACCCTTGAGCCACCAACCTGCCTTCGGAAGGGCATTAGTCTGTTCCACTTCATGGAAGGCTGAGTGGAGGCGCTTTGATCCAGTTAATGCCCAAGACGCGATCTTTTGAACAATGGTGTGCTTAGATCAGCTACACATAGCTCGAGAGCGCATCGTTCATGTGTCTTGTCCTGATCAGCACTCAGGTGGAGGGTCTGTCTCTACTTCCAAGGACCGCCTGTCGATACTGTACTAAGAATTTCATGGCGTGTGCACCTTGTCTTTGGATGTGCTTGATTTTCACGTTGGCTCCATGCTGAGGAACTTCTAACCTGTGTTGTTTCCTCTCTTTCAGGTTGCAAGCCGGCCAATGCCGGTCCACACAACAAGTAAGAGGCCGTGCGTGGACCCTGAACTCGCTGATCGCTCAGCTACCGAAATGTCTGGCAGAGGCTCCGTCTTGGCTTCACTGTCTCCCCTCAGAAAAGCCAGTCTGAGATCCTCCTCAAGTCTTGGACCAAAGGAAAGACAGACAGGTGCTGCGGCCGACATCCCTCAGCCTGCAGTCAGGCACCAGGGCCCCGAGCCTCTCCTCGTGGTGAAGCCGACACACAGCAGCCGTGAGGGTGGCTGCCGAGAAGTTCCCCAGGCTGCCTCCAAAACCCACGGCCTGCTCCAGGCTGTCAGACCCCAGGCACAAGACAAACGTCCTGCGGTGACCTGACAGCCCGGCCCACCAGCCGCCACACACAGCTTGGGCCTAGGCTCCAATCTCAGCTTCAGACCAGGAGCCAAGAGACCTGCCCAGGCTCCGATTCAGGGTTGCCTGAACTTCCCCAAGAAACCGAGACTGGGTCCCTTCCAGATCCCCGAAAGCGCCATCCAGGGAGGTGAGCTGGGGGCCCCGGAGAATCTCCAACCTCCGCCAGCCGCAACCGAACTTGGACCAAGTACGTCGCCCCAGATGGGCAGGAGGACACCCGCCCAGGTGCCCGGCGTCGACCGGCAGCCTCCGCACAGCAGACCTTGCCTGCCTACTGCCCAGGCCTGCACCATGTCCCATCACCCAGCGGCCAGCCATGATGGGGCCCAGCCTCTCAGAGTGCTCTTCCGGAGACTAGAAAACAGACGCTGGAGCTCCAGCCTCCTGGCGGCCCCCTCATTTCACTCTCCTGAGAAGCCGGGAGCCTTCCTCGCTCAGAGCCCTCATGTGTCAGAGAAGTCTGAGGGTCCCTGTGTTCGTGTCCCACCGAACGTCCTCTATGAAGACCTTCAGGTTTCCTCCTCCTCAGAGGACAGCGATTCTGACCTGCAGTGAGACTGCAGGTGGCAGGGGCTCCTTGGCCTCCAGCTCCCGTGACTTGGAGGGGACTGTGGGACTGAGGAGAGCAGAGCAGAGAGCACACTCTGTGCGGTGACTCCGAAGCTCCCCGGCTGTGGCGCTTCTGTGGATGTGGGAGCCCAGGCCAGGCAGGGAGCAGATGCAGGGACTCTGCCTCATTGAATTCTGGTGAGGGACGTTGTAGTTGGCGTGGTTCTCCGGAAACGCGCCAGGAAAAGCTTCCGTGCCAGAGATTCGTTGCCTCAGAAACTGCGTGACGCGCAGGAGTCAGACTTCCGCTGGGACGTCAATAGGAAACTGGGGAATTACTGTGTATTTGCTCTCTAGATGACTGAATAAGGGAAAAGTTAGGGAACCCTGAGAGGTGCAGCCCTTCCGCTGTGCCCCGCCCTGAGAGCAGTGTTTCGGACGCTGGGAAGCGTGCTGTGCGAAGCGCTCTCGGGGTCTTTCCTCAGCCTCGAAAACTGGGCTCTGGAATGCCTTTGTAAACAGGTGTGTTGAATTTGTTTTGAAGTGAATAAAATTCTCAAAAAGATGACGTATTGTCTTTTGACTCTCATTCCGTGTTTGTGTGTAACTGATTTTCCAAGTGAAGGGGTGGCCTGCCCCTCCACACCTGTGGGTGTTTCTAGTCGGGTGGGATGAGAGACGGAGAAGAGAAATAAGACAGAGAGACAAAGTATAGGGAAACAACAGTGGGTCCAGGGGACCGGCACTCAGCACACCAAGGACCTGCACCGGCCTCTGAGTTCCCTCAGTTTTTATTGATTATGATTTTCATTATTTCAGCAAAAAGGAATATACTAGGAGAGCAGGGTGATAATAAGGAGGTCAACAAAAAACATGTGAGCAAAAGAATCTATATCATAATTAAGTTCAAGGGAAGGTACTATGCCTGGACGTGCACGTAGGCCAGATTTATGTCTCTCTCCACCCAAACATCTCAGCGGAGTAAAGAATAACAAGGCAGCATTACTGCCAACATGTCTCGCCTCCCTCCACAGGGCAGCTTTTCTCCGAGCTCAGAGTTGAACAAATGTACGATCGGGTTTTACACCGAGACATTCAGTTCCCAGGGGCAAGCAGGAGACAGTGGCCTTCCTCCATGTCAACTGCAAGAGGCTTTCCTCTTTGACTAATACACCTCAGCACAGACGCTTTACGGGTGTCAGGCTGGGGGACAGTCAGGTCTTTCTCATCCCACGAGGCCATATTTCAGACTATCGCATGGGGAGAAACTTTGGACAATACCCTGCTTTCAAGGGCAGAGGTCCCTGCGGCTTTCCACGGTGCATTGTGTCCCTGGTTTATTGAGACTAGAGAATGGCAATGACTTTTACAAAGTATACTGCTTGTAAACATTTGGTTAACAAGGCACGTCCTGCACAGCCCTAGATCCCTTAAACCTTGATTTTATACAACATAGGTTTTTGTGTGCTCCAAGTTGGGTCAAAGCGGCTGGGGCAAAGTGGCTGGGGCAAAGCTACAAATGAACAACATCTCAGCAAAGCAATTGTTTAAAGTACAGGTCCTTTTCAAAATAGAGTCTCTTATGTCTTCCCTTTCGACATAGACACAGTGACAGTCTGATCTCTCTTTCTTTTCCCTACATCCAAGGACTTGAACATTTCTTGACTTGTTAGCAATCCAAATCGTTATGTCTCCGAAACAGAGTTGACTGAGGGGACCGCAGGGCTGGGCAGGACCTTTGACTTCCTATACATCCACAGGAGCAAGAAAACCTCAGCCCCGCTCTACCAACACGCACCTAGTAAAATTCCGCCAATTGAATCTCACGCACGCTAACACGTGGGGAGCGTTGCTTGCACCACGAGTCCCCATTTGGCTCAACCGCCGATGCCAAGTGTGTGGTTCCGGTTGCGACGGCTCCCCGTGAAGTGGCTTCCGGATGTGCGAATGAACCAGGCAGAGTTTCGCTGGCCAAGTAGACCCCAGCAAAGCTGAAGTTAACTCCCACATTTGGGATGTACTTCAGAGGTGAAACATTCATCCCTCTTCTTTCCGGATGTCTGACACCGGGCCTTTCCATGGTTCTCCCCCTGATCCTAAGAGTAGCTGAGGTAGAGACTCACTGAAAGATCTAGGCAGGGATATCCCATCATGCACAGGCTCTCTCCATTCTCTGACCTGGGAACAACTCTCAGCAGGATTGCATACCTAGGCGGCCTCGGAACTCAGCGGGATTTGCTGAGACACACCAAATGGCTGCTCCCTTTCCGCCGCTTTTGAGGGTCGTTATCTTGATTATCCAGATCACCTACAAAGTATCCGTATCCAGAATCAATAAGATCAACTCTCTGCTCCTCTGACAGCAGAAGGAGCAGGACCACAAGGAACCAAAGAGGGTGGAAGGAAACGATGTGACCGGAAAGCTCGGAAAACGGCCACAGGGGGTCGTCAGCAGGCCTTCCAACCTGAATCATGAATAATTAATGAAGCACAAATCAAAGGGGACTCGAGTTTCAGCAGATGCAATTCATCCAACGGGAGATCGCCGGAGGGCCAACAAGATTGAGAAACTGGGAGTCGGGTGCAGTGTCAAGGGGGACGCGACTGGTTCCAAAGCTCAAGAAGACCATGGGGTCACTTGGGCTACATGAGAAAATGCCCCAGTGTGCTGGTTCATCATTCCGACTCCTGCCTGTCTCTTCCCGTCCAAGGAACATGGACCCTAAGTCGTGCAGGTGCAGATGACCATGGGCAGAATTAGGGGACATGTCACAAAAGTTGAGGGACACGGGAGTTCCACAGAAGGTCCGGTTAATCTTCGCAAATCCAGAGACATGACAATGGGACCCAGGGAATTAGAGCCTCACAGGCGTCCAGGAGACTTTTCAGGCATAATGCCTGGAGTCGCAAGACGAGCTGAAAAGGGAGCCAGGTACTGAAGGACAAAGCGGTGTTGGCTTTCTTCATCTGTGTTTCCCAGTGCAGTCCAATTCACTGTGGTAGAATTCATGTATTTATTTTCCGTCGGCTTGTAGTTGCAAACTTTTGATGTTATTGATTTTTGGTTGGAGAGTTTTGGTTTGAAAAACTAGATATTCTTAAGATGGAGGTTGTCCAAGATTGCATCTCAAGGTGAGTCTACTTGATGCCAGCGAAGCATACTTTGACATATAATGCATATGTTTGAATTATATTTTGTCTTTTTTACCATATTTTAAAAAATCACTTCGTGAAAAATGTCAGAGTTAGATACACCAATGTTAAATTTCTCATCACATGTCCAGAGGCAGTGTAAAATGCAGTCTAGAAGGCAAAATTCCCAGCCACTTCTATGTGGAACTTTCTGCAGAGTGGGATTGTATCCAGCGTTTTCAGGGGGCGCAGGTGTGGTAATAGCTGGTCCTTGGCTTCCTGCTGAAGTTGGAATCCTGCAGATTGCTTAGGGGCGGTTTCAGCCTGTCCCTTCTTTCCAGGTCATCACTAACCTTTCCTGAGCCCCCATGGGGACTCAGAACTTATCTAGAGTCACAGGCCGGCCTGGGATGCTGCCCTTGAGCCTTTGTGCTGTCCATGATGGTTCCATGCCACTGATCTGCTGGGACACATTCTGCAGAAGGATGGGCTGGCAGGAGCTGTCCCTGCCTTTCTGAAAATCACAGAGATTTCTGCTGTCAGAAGCCACAGAGAAATATCTTTGGAGTCTCAGGTAGGCCAGGGATGCCATTCACAGGCTCCTGTTCTTCCTCTTAATGGTAGCAAGAGTGATTTCTGAGTTTCCTAATTGACTTCGAAATAATTTTGTTGATTTCGTTGTGACAAAGACCACTCCTCTTTCTGTGGCATCCAGTTCACCTGTAGTGTTTTTTGGGATTATGTGGAAACTCTTGCATTTTTCCAGAGCCTCACTTCATCCGGGATGTTCTCAGGAATGCACGAGCTGATCCCTGCCTTGGTGGCACCTTGGAACATTGAGGGAGGCCCCTTAGGTCCAGAAGGCACTAGGAGGTCCATCAGGAATTGAGAGGGCATGTGTCTGCCCATCTGTAGCTGGAACTTCTATTTGTCTTCAGAATGCAGATTCTTCCTGAACTAATAAATTATCTTCATCTTGGTGTAAGTAGCTACAATATAATAATTCACAGTAACTCTATTAATAAAAATAACTGAATATCAACAATGAAGATAATAATGACAATGTTAATTGTTATAATATTAATAGCAAAAATAAAAGAAAGTCATTAGGGATTGGAGATTCCCTTAAGTGAAGGACAATGTACAGATATAGGGACACTTGAGTTGTTTGGACTCAGAGTCAAATGAAACGTGTTCCTCAAAGGCAAAGGACATGCAGCATAAGGAAAACACAACGTTCATGGATGACCACATGGGGTACCTTGGAACTCATGTGGAAAGACTGCAGGCAAAGTGTACCTGGTACAGGGACCACCCACCAGCCAGCACCCACCCACCTTCATGAGGTAGGACAGCAAGATAATGGGGAAGGGGTCCATGCAAGGGATGCAAGGCTCGTGTCACACCTGATTCAAAGAAGCACTGCTTCTGACAGATGTTTATCTCCTAACACTGTGTCACCTCTAACTGCCTGGCTGCAAGTCTGCCAACTGTTCTTCTTAGGTCACAGGAGTGACAGACATTACTGTCCACCTATCTGCATACAGAGCCATTGGAGGCCATTACCCTTGTTGCTTCCTCTTTGGAAAGGGGCAACATACCTGGCAGATGCCATTCTCTGTCTCTTTGGAAAGCTTTGTCAGCACATTTAAGGTTTTCTTCAGCCACAGAAAGCCACCTGCTTCAAAGTCTCATCCTCCACAAGTGGCAAGCACACAATCATTAATGGAGGCAAGGGGTACATAGGCTTTGCCATTTGATTCAGTTGGGACAAATAGGGGAGGACTTCTTAGCTCTACAGCTCTGTCCGTGTGGCCAGGTGACAATGTCAGGCTGCACTGCCATTAGACTTGTCCCTTTGCACATAAGGCTTCCCTCCAATCCTTTCCACAGATGTGGATCCTCACATCACTTCCTAATAAACATCCTGCACACTAAACTTTATCTATATCCAGTTCCCTGGGAACCAAACCTGTGACAAAAGTGAAAAGTTTCTAGGGAAAATAGGGTTTCCTTATCAGACAGGAATCAAATTCTGCTGAGCTAGAAAATAAAGTAAAGTCTGACGCCATCTCGTGATATTTTTTTATTAGGACATTACCACTGCCAGCAAGAATTATGTGCATCAATTTGTGGGGACAAACATCATACTGGAGTGGAATGAGGTTGTTGTGAGTTGAGGAGAAATGCTGATGAATGGACTTTACCCTCAACTTGGATTCAGGAGAGGACATAAAAACAGCTGGAAATAAAAGGTGTCCGAAAACATTTTTCTGGTTTTTCAATTTCAGGTTGGGAGACACTCTATGTTTAAATTCTAAAGAGATGTAGCATACTGAGAAGAAATAACTGTAGACAAATTGTCCATTTTATGAATAATACAATTTATGGTATGACAGGAGACCAAGGGACATAACACAAATTTGGAGTTAAAGAAATTAACAGACATTCTCTATAATTCCTCCGCTATTATGGCAGAGATGCTGGAACAATGGATGTCCATGTAGCGTACTTTTTTTTTTTTTTTTTTGGCGGTGGGGGACGGAATCTCACTCTGTAACCAGGCTGTGCTGCAATGGCGCAATCTCAGCTCACTGCAACCTCTGCCTCCCGGGTTCAAGCAATCCTCCTGCCTCGGCCTCCTGAGTAGCTGGGACGACAGGCACACACTACCACACTCAGCTAATTTTTGTATTTTTAGTACAGATGGGGTTTCACCATGTTGGCTAGGATGGTCTCAGTTTCCTGATACCGTGATCCACCTGCTTTGGCCTCCCAAAGGGTTGGGATTACTGGTGTGAGCCACCATGCCTGGCCCTTGTAGCAGTACTTTTGAACTTATTGGCTGAAAGCATCCACCTGCAAACTTACGTATTATATCTGCAAAAGAGTACAAACCATGTGATGAATTTTAAAGGGAAGACAAGCCTGTGGGAATTCAACAGCCATGGCAATGTTTTGAACTTCTTTTTATTAAACATGTAAGAAGTAAGTGAAGTTCAAGACCTAATAGAATTGCCAGGAATTATCTGAGGAATTACCAAGATGACCATAGACACTATGAAATCCTTACGATGCCCTCTGCTGGAGTTTCCTCCTACAGCCAGTGATTTTAAGCCAGAAGCAAATGTATCTGCAGGCACAAGAATTCAACCCAAATGTGCTATTCAATTTTAAATGAGATGACAATGAAATTATGTGCTATATAGCAACAACTTTTTTTTTTCTTTCAGACAGAGCCTTTCTCTGTTGCCTAGGCTGGAGTGCAGTGGGGCACTCTTGGCTCACTGCAATCTCTGCCTCCTGTGTTCAAGTGATTTTCCCACCTTTTTCACAATGTATCCTTATCCTCAAACTCATCCTCCTAAGTAGCTGAGATTATAGGCCTGTGCCACCATGTCTGGCTGATTTTTGTATCAGCAAAATTATTTCTGGGGTGGAGAGTTAGGAATCTTTTTCTCCCACACCCATAACATGTTCTCCAAATGATCTGTCATGAAGAAGGTTCTCTTAATTTTCAACACAAGTTATGGGCTAGGCACTGTGCTAGGTGCTACAGATACGCACTAATATACCCACAATAGTTTTGCCTTATTGCCTTCTATGTTCTAATAATGCACCAAAAGAAAAGTATAGATTAGCTTTTTATTTTTTTGAGATGGAGGTTAATTCTGTCACCCAGGATGGAATGCAGAGGTGGGATCTTGGCTCACTGCACCTTCTGCCTCCTGGGTTCAAGTGATTCTCCCGCCTCAGCCTCCTGAGTAGCTGGGATTACAGGCACGTGCCACCACACCCAGAAAATTTTTGTATTTTTCAGGAAGACAGCTTTCATCATGTTAATCAGGCAGGTCTCAAACCCCTGGCCTCAAGTGATCCACCTATCTTGGCCTTCCAAACTGCTGGGATTACAGTCATGAGCCATAGTGCCCAGCCAAAGAGAGTAGCTTTAAATAGAAAATATGAAACTAAAAGAAATGTATGCTCATCAGTTTTATACTGTATTTGGCCAGGTGCAGAATATCGACATGTAGTAATGTAAGGGAATAAGGTCAATTCACATCTAATTGTTTGGAGAAGTCACCAGAAATCAAAAGTTGGAGGAGTTGTATCTTTTGAGGTGGGTTGCACAGGCAAGCAGCAAGTTGCTATCTCTCCAAAGTCCTAAACTGTTCTATTTGTCCTACTGTGGAAAAATGAGTCTTCAACTTGATTTCAATTTATATAGGAAAATGCTCAATAAAACTAATAAGGGCTACATTCCAGGACACAGCCAGACCACCATATACTGAACCTTGATTCTAGAGACACCTCCTGTTCAATGTAATTGGATTTTCAAGACAACAAATATATAACCCTGACACAATATTGGAGAGCCAAAAGGAAAGGACATTTTGGGTTGAAATTTTTTCTTTTAAAAATGTGTCCTTGAGTTCTATTAACAATAGCTGAAGCCTGGGAACAGCTCAAATGTCTATTGAGAGGAAATTGATAAATTATATGCATATTATGGAGTAATATTTATCAATAAATGGGAATAATCAACTCTATGAATCGACATCATGATCATGGATCAATATAATCTTTCTAACCCCGAGTGGGGAAAGCTAAGCTAAAAAGTGTCCTATAATATAAATAAATGTATACAAAATTCTAGAACAGACAAACCTAATATAAGCTAAAAAAGTTCAGAAAAGCCAGGTGCACTGGGTCATGCCTGTTATGTCAGCACTTTGTGAGGTGGGTGGATCGCATGAACTCAGGAATTCAAGACCAGCCTGGCCAACATGCTGAAGCTACCCCATCTTTACCAAAAATATAAAAATTAGCCCAGTGTGGTGTGGTACGCAGGAGCAGAAAACCAAATATTACATATTCTCATGTATAAGTGAGAGCTAAACATTGGGTTATACACTGTTCAGCTCTCACTTATATGGAAACAACAGACACTGGAGATTCTTAGAGGGAGGAGGGAGGGTTGGGTGCAAGGCCTGAAAAACTACCTATTGGGTATTATGTTCACTACATGTGTGATGAGATCATTCATACTGTAAACCTCAGCAGCACACAATACATCCATGTAACAAACCTGCACATGTATCCTCTGTGTCTAAAATAAAAATTAAAAACATAAAAATGAACAAAGATATATGAGCAAGCATTTGTCGAAAAAGGAGATACAAATGGACAACATATATATAAACAATTCTTACCCTCTCTAGTCATCACGGGAATGCAAATGAAAACAACCAAGAAATATCACCTCACACCTGTTAGAATAGCTATTATCAAAAAGATGGATGATAACAAGTGTTGGTAAGGATGTGGAGAAAAGGGAACCTTTGTATACTGGTGGTGGGAATGTAAATTAGTATGGCCACCTTGGAAAACAGTATGGAGGTTTCTCAAAAATTAACAATAAAAATACCATTTTGTTCCAGCAATCCCACTTATTTTATATATAATATATATATCATATATATAAATATATATATATGAAGTCATTGAAATCAGTATGTGAAAGAGATATCTGCGCTCCTATGTTCCTTTCAACACTGTTCACAATAGTCAAGATCTATGAAGAAGACATACATGTTATCATTCATTCATGAATGGCTGAATTAATGTTATACATATATATATATATATATATGCACAATGGAATATTATTCAGTATTATATAATAATGAAACCCTGTCATTTGTGACAACATTGATGCATCTGAAGGGCATGAAGTCATGTGAAATAAACCAAACACAGAATGACAAATACTGTATGATTCCACTTGTATTTGAAATCTCAAAAAAACAAACTCAGAAGCAGAGGGTAGACTGGCCAGGAGCTGTGGTGCAGGTAAGTGTGTAGGTGTGATTACAGTACAAAGTTTTAGATATACCACATAAATAAGTTCAGGAGGTCTAATTTACAGCTTAGTGCTTATAGCTATGAATACTGTATTGCATACTTAAAATATAATAGGAGGGTGAATTTTATGTTAATTATTCTTACCAATAAAAATAATAATTAGAATGGGAGGGAGAACTTTGGGAGGTGATGAATATGTTTATAATCTTGATGGTAGTGATGCTTTCACAATGTATCCTTATTCTCAAACTCACTGAGATATACACATTAAATAGGTACAGCTTTTTGAATGTAATCATGTCTCAACAAAGTGTTTTTAAGGGGGGTTGGTTAAAAAATTTAAAAAGGAAGGGTAGATGTTCCTTTGCCATTCTCTCATGCCTTTTTTCTCCCTGCTGTCTAGAATTCAGAAATAATAGGTGGGAATTTAGCAGCCAAACTACGACCTTTTCTAAAGTATAGCAGAGCAAAGAGCTGGAAGGGACCTGCATCCCTAATGATATAAGAAAGAATCTGTACTAGCCCTGAATGGTATAACTACAGGTTAATTTTAAGTGAAAAAGAAATCAACTTCTGCCTTGTTTAAGCAAACTTATTCAGGCATTAATTTTATAAACATGTAGAGAATACATACTCCTTATGAGCAGAAACAATGTTTATGCCATATGCTCCATGATGGGTATTCAATAATGTGTGACGATAATAATGAAGACAATAGTGATAAATAAAAGAAAATAAAAAGCAGTGAAACAAAGTGGTTTAATAGCTATACATAGATATTTTGTTGAAAGATTCTGCTGCTAATATTATTCAATATTTTTGTATGCTGGTGCAAGTAAGGAAAATTACATTGTCTAATAAAAATTATTTATCAATTTATAAAACAGTAAAAATTTCATAGAATGGGGCTAAGAATCTGCATTGCAAACTAACTCTTTCAGTTGATTTATGCACAGTAATTATTGAGAATCCCCTTATCTAGATCCAACGGATCTGGACCTACATAGGTGCTATCAAGACTTAAGGAAGAAAATTTTCCTGACTCTATCCATACCTCCAGTTAGTAATAGATCTAGAGATTTAGAACTGAAATCCAGACCTCCTGCTTCCATGTGCAGTGACCTTTCACTGTCCTGTTTTGCTTCACTTGATGAAGAGGATTTGAGAATAAATGACCACTTGATTCAACTCCTCCTCAACTCTGAGGAATATAGCCCTGTCCTGGCAAACAAGAAACTCCTGCAGTAGTAGAGGAGGCAAATATACGTTCACTAATCTAACATACAAGGCAGTAGGCACTGTACCATAAACAAGGCACTGTGGGGGTTCAGACCAGCGGCAAAGTGGGGATTAATAGGGCTAGTAAACTCTGGGAAGGTTCACTAACAAAATGTCTAATCATTAACTAAACTAAAAGGTTTCTCAACATGGCCTAATTAATTGTAACTTAACATAAATGGTTGTTTGTTCATAAACCTTAATCTTTTGCCAAAATATTGGTAGCTTATGTTCCCATTTAACAAGGTTTTCTGGTCAAAACTGTGCACCCACATCATTCTAATGAACTTAGTGTCCAATAAAACATGGACTCTCAGTCATCCTATGAAGGTTATTTTGTGTGCATAGTACATCTCTGTGAATATGCGTAATGAGGTATGGAAGGACACTTATTATCCAAACAGAGACATTCCACTGGTGCTAGAGAGCCACAGACGGAAGTTTTCTCTGTCTACTGGAAATAAAGCCAAGCTTTCTTCTTTCCTCAGCCGTGAGGATTGCTGTCCTCCTCTTTATCATTCTCGTTTTTTTTTTTTTGTTTTTATGAGCCAAGCTCCACCAAATAACAAGATAAACTTTGTGTAAGACTTGGTAAGAGTAGAGTGTCTGACACCTTATTGTGCTATAACACTCAAAGCAAAAGCAAAATCGCCTATGACCAGAAAAGGGAGTCACATAGGAAATCTAGAAGACCTATTGGCTGAGAGACCTGCAGCCTCATAGTTCATTAGCTCTCCATAGCAACTCTCACATGAAATGAAGTCAGTGGTGTTTCAAGTGGTTGAAACCCTCTTTACTCTACTTCTAAATGTGAATTAATTAGGCAAGTTTACTAGCAGTTACTAGACCTCAAAAGCAAAATAATCAGGCATTATTCTATTAAATATTGGTCTCCATAACTCCTCTATTTTCTTTTGGAAAAGTTAGTTAGTCTAAGACATTTGGCATAAAGGCTATGCCAAAGCTTTGGTGGGGTCAGCCAGGAAGGATTCGTGGGGCCTCCTTGAAAATATTGCAATAATCTAAGAAATCTTCAACCTATTGCCCCTCAATACTGTTGGTCCCTTGTACTGGACTTTTCCCCTTAAGTTTGATTCCATTTCCTAACATTATCCTTCCCTCTTCCTCCTCAGCAACTAGTCTTCTAAATTAGAACTTAAACACAATGACCAGATATGACCCTGCAACAGAGCACGCCCTTCTGCATTGAGCATGCAATCATGAATCACAGGTATAAGACCCCTTGAACAGACATGGTTTTGGTGATTCTGTGTAGGACTTATTGCTTTTACCCAAGAAGATGATCAGGCATTCTAAGTAGATCAGAAAATTTTCTGGAGCTCTTGAATGTGTGTAGGCAAGAAAGATTAAGCAACCTGTTGCCTTATATGAGGCAAACTGTCTTCTCATATTTTCTTTTGAATTCAAGATTTCAAGGTTGGGGAAGGAGTGGGAAAGTAGCCATGGACATGTGAGAATGTGGATGATCCTTGTACATTGTCAGGGATGGTCAAATTCTATGCTTCATGTTGTTTGCTAAAAGACACTTTCCAAAGTTTTCAACAGAAAATATGGTGGCACACATGCCTATTCTTCGTGAACCCAGACATTTCTATCTAGTCTGTGATAGTAAATTTAAAAGGACGGCTTAGGGTAAATGAATCCTTCAAGTTATAAAGATGAAGGGCAGTTTTTGGACAATTCCCATTTTGCTGTAGGAAAACTAATCTGGAAGAAGTAAAAGGGAAAGATTGAAGTGGAGAGAACGGAGATAGAAAATGAGTTCAGTTGATCAAATTTTTGTTAAGCGCCCACTGTATGTGGGACCCTTACAAGGAAACAAGCAGACAAAGAAAAAAAAAAGCATGTGATGGCCTTGCTCTTAAGAAGCCAGAGGCCAGTCACCTGGATTGCTACATATCAGGAAGATGTCAACAAGCCCCTACAATACAGCACTGGCATAGGATGAAGAAGAGGTTTCTTTCTATGAGATAAATAGCACACAACCAAAAAAGAAAGCCAAAAGATACACAAGGCTCGAAAACCTAAGGCACCAACCCTTAAGAGATCTGATTGTTGGTGGTAACTTTGGAAGGAAAATTATTATTAGGATTATTTTAGTACTAAGAGTTTTGAGCTGTCTATCCAAGATTGTCATCTGCACCTCTGCCTTAGGTAATACTGTGTGTGTGTGTGTGTGTGTGTGTGTGTGTGCGCGCGCGCGCACGTGTGTGTGCCTTTGCATGTGTTTGAAATATATTCTGTATCCCACACTCCACATAGGTTTGGGGCTGATCTGAAACTATACTCTTAGGGATGGGGTTAAGCTACTCTGTCACATTGTGAAGAGTTGATATGTAAGAGACTCTTAACCTTTTATAAATTACCTTTAAAATGTTTCCTTTTCTGTGAAGGGAAGAATAACAATTTGTAAACAAATGCAAAAATAACTTTAACTAAACAAAAGAACAGTTTGTTAGCCTTGTTATGATTAGCAGAGAGGATAGCTGCAGACACTGTAAAATCACTCAGCAACAAGATTTGACAAAACCTTAAATATGGCTCTATTTTTCCTGTTTTATAGAGGAAAATATTAAGGCTCTGGGAACTGAAGTGCTTTTCTCAACAGTGGAGTAAGTGTCAGAGTCAAGGCTGGGTTTTACATCCCAGCTTTCCCTATACATTCCACCCTATGGTTCTGTTGTGCTGTTCCTTTGTGTGACTCCGTAAAGCCTGCTTAAAGGTGATACCATATCAAATTGTATTAACTCAGTAGCACATAACGCCAGGGAATTGATTTATAAGATGTTTATCCTTGTGGCGTTGCTGAAGACCCATCTGATTAGTAGTTATCAAGTAGTCATCCTGGATAAATATATGGGTTTGATTTTTAATTTTGAAAATGAAAAATATTTTAAAATATATGTCTTACATCCATATCCCAGGAAATTCTAATCAAGTTTTAAAACTTCCAAATTTAGATAAACTAATGGTTTTTTGTTTTAATTTTCTCTCAATGAAAATAGAAGAAACTAATTGGATGGAACAGCACAGCAGAAGCATTACTTATAGCCAAAAATGGGATACAACAAGACTGAAGAAGAAAATGCAAGACAGTGCTTAAAAAAGCAGTCTAATGAAAAGTGAGGTCTCCTCTGGATGTCCTTAGGTAGACATTGCAGCAGAACTGTAAAGTTTTTCTGGAAGGCTGGGGAAGAGAGGAGGAAACAGAGAAGGGGCAAGAGGAGAAAATAGAATGAGGCTCAGAATACCAAGCCTTAGTGCTGTCCCTATCGCCTTCCTCGCTAGATCACTGGGTGATCCTGCGCAAGTTTCTTCCTTTCCCTCAGCTCATTTCCTCATCTCTAATGTAAGTGACTAGACAAGATAGCCTATGCTGTTCATTGTAACTCTAACTTTTCTTCCCAAAGCAAATAGCTGGAAAAGACACTGTGCTTACAATATGCAACAAATAAAGACAAAAGATTTTTAGAAACCCCTAGTGTAACTTGAATTCTTACAAATAAGCAATGGTACATCATAATTTTACAAAGCCCTTTTGTGATTTCATTTTTAAAATCACGTCAAGTTTTATTTTACTTCATAATAAGATAATGGGAGATAAGTGTTAAATGGGTTCATGAAGCAATGTTTGTAAAAGACACAATAATCCAAAATAGGTAATTGTTATATTAGTAGTTCCCTTTACTGGGGGGGAACAGATAAAAGAGTGTTAGGAAAAGCTTCATAAAGTGGATTATATAGAATGTGCTTTAAAAGAGTTTGGTGTTTTATTGAGTGGGGAAAGAGCAATATGGGGAGTTATTGTTCAAGGGTTAAAGCTATACAAAATGAGTCAATTACAGAGATAGGCTCCAAAACATAGTACCTATAGTTAACAATGAGGTATTTTGTATTTAACAATTTGTTAAGAGGGTCGATCTTAGGGGTTCTGACAACAACAACAACAACAACAAAGGGACGTAGGAAACATTTGGAGGTGATGGATATATTATTACCTGGATATTGGTGTGGTAACAAGATAATATATATGTGCAAACTTGCCAAACTATATCCATTAATTATGTACTGTTTGTGTATAACGATTTTACTTCAGTTCCTACTATATTGCCTGGCAAACGATAGATGTATAAAGTGAGATCAATGATTATTGCATGTGCATTTCAAAAATAATAAAGAAAGCAGGTGACAATAAAGACATCCTGAATCTTTGGGAAATAAATTGCATTCACCTGCTTTCTCATCCATTGAGATATCACCACATTTATGTACTTGTGTGTCCCTGGAAGTTTCCTGTGGGAGATTTAGTTATTCTCTTTTCGTTAGGCTTTACTGACCAAGAACAAATCACAGACTCAGAGAGCATCATAAAAAGGCCTAGACCCACGATGCCCAGAGACTCCAGGCTCAACCCACATTGATGCTGGCCCTTCAGCCATGAGACTCCATTTGCTTCTCCTTATTCTCCTTCTTTTTTAAATTCTCTTATCCCCAGGTAAGTTGGTAGCTGATTACTATAAGGTTCTGCAGATCAGAAGGCTATATCTCTGGCCAGACAAGATACTAGAATCAGTCCTGTGGGTTCAAGAACCTAATATTTACAGCTTCACTAGGATTATAATAGGGAAAAATAGAAAAGGGACTCATTTAGCAGTAGCTCCTGTTGATAAGATTCCATCCATGTCTTTTGACCTAGTGAGTGGATATAATAATCGATGCTGCTGAAATTCAATCCTATCAGATGAAACTGCCTACATGTAAATTTCCATGCCCCACCAAGCACCTCAAGATACAAAGTAAAGATACAACAGAATGTGACCTCAATGAGATGCCTTTGCGGGACATGGAAATTTATATGTAGGCAGTTAGATCTGACAGGATTGAATTTCTGTGGCATCTATTATTATATTCACTTACTAGGTCAAAAGAGATGGATGGAATCCTATCAATAGGAGCTACTGTTTAATGAGTGTTGACAAATCTGAAGGTTTTATTTGAAGAGACAAACGGAAAAATTATAATCCTAGAATAAGTGAAAATTATATGAGAGACTTTTCAAAATAAATTATGTTTTATGCGGTTATGAATAAAAAATGATTTGCAAAGTGAAAGTGAAAAGTAGAAAGGAAAGTTAAAGGAACTTCAGACAAGTGAATTAATAAGGAGCAAAGACACCAAGAAGTGCTGCTCATGGTATATTACAGGTAACCACACAGAAATGGGTAACATAACTTTCGATACAAAAATGGCTAAAATTTAATGGGCTAAGCATGCATTTTGGGGGCTTCTGGGAAAAAAAAACAGCATAATAACCCTAAAGAAGATAAAGGGAAAATTATAAATACAAAATATAAATTAATGAAACAAATGAGAAAAAACTAGTATTTTTAAAAATGTTTTTCAAAAAGTCTAATACACTTTATAATAACCTGGCAACACTGAACAAGAGAAAATGAGAACATGCTTAAAATAACTATTGCAGGAATGAAAGGTTAATATCAAAACAGATGTTTCAGAGATCCAAATAATTTTTAAATTTGTGTATTATATTCCCTCTTCGCTGTGTACCTGGGGATTTTCCTGTTGCAGTTCACTATATCATGACCGTGTCATTAATTTTGATGCTAGTAAATTATTACCATCAGCATACAAATATGCTGTTGTTTTTCTGATCTAAGAAAAAGAATTTCCTTGCTTTTCTTCTGATGCCAGCTGTCATCCCATTTTTTGCTCTACTTTTCAACAAAACATCTTAGAATAGTTGTCCATACTCTCTGTCTTCAATTCCTCTCCTCTCATTGTTTCTTAAATATATCCCAATCAGGCTCTTTCTCCCTTTTTCGATCATGATATTGACACCACTTTTGTCAAAGTTACGAATAATCTCCACATTACTAGATCCAATGATCATTTTTCACTACGACTTTAATCGGCCTATTAGCAGCATTTGACACAAATAATCACTTCCTTCTTCACAGTATACTTTCTTCAGTTGGCTTCCAGGACGGCACATTCACTTGAGTCTCAGCCTGTCTCACTGGAGCTACCACTTCGGCTTCCTTTGTTTCTTCCTCATCTTTTGCATCACACCTCCTATAGGAGAGCTGCAGAGCTCAGTTCCTGGTCCTCTTCTCTTCTCCCTCACCACACACTCTTTGGAGGGGCTCAGCAAGTCTCATCCCTTTCAATTCTCCTTTTGGACCTCCTTTTGAACTCCAGGCTTAAATAAATTATCCAACTGCATAACTGGTATATCTACTTGGACACTTGATTTCAAAAGTAATATATATCCAAAACCAAACTCACGATTTTCCCTCATAAACCTCTACATACACATTTTTTCTCTTCTTGCAGAGTGCCATGGTCAGCATTGGAGCCTCTCTTAGCTTTTCTGTCCACTTTCATCCTCAGCAAGCCTCTATCTCTGCACC
The DNA here is from genome assembly GCF_000001405.40 of Homo sapiens. NCBI lineage: Eukaryota > Metazoa > Chordata > Mammalia > Primates > Hominidae > Homo > Homo sapiens. The sequence continues at coordinate 12,156,039 of NC_000008.11, read as the reverse complement.
TCAAGAATCTCTCAGGGCTTCCATCCCTTGCCCAACCTCGGGCAGTAGCTGCCTCACACTCAGTGAAAGACCAGAGAATCTACTTCTCTCAGCTACCTGTCCTGCCCTGCCTTCAGACCTCATCAGGCCTCTCTTCTTATGCACCTGTGAGAACAGAGAGTGAAGGGGGTTTCTCTCTGCTCCCCAACCCACTCCCCAGTAACAGAGGATTTTCCCCGATTCTCACAGTGCGACCTCTACCTTTCTTTGATCTCTAATTGCAGCAGTTCCTACATGCCTGTCCCTCAAAAGTGTCTCAGGTAGTTCTCCTGCTCTCCATCTGATCTTACCTAGGAGCACACAAGATAGGTCATGAAAAAACAATTAGTGGGGCCGGGCGCCGTGGCTCACGCCTGTTAATCCCAGCATTTTGGGAGGCCGAGGCACTGTAATCCCAGTACTTTGGGATCACGAGGTCAGTGGCTAACACGGTGAAACCCTGTCTCTACTAATACAAAAAATTAGCAGGGTGTGGTGGCACGTGCCTGTAGTTCCAGCTACTCGGGAGGCTGAGGCAGGACAATCGCTTGAACCCTAGAGGCGGAGGTTGCAGTGAGACGAGATCGTGCCATTGCACCCTAGCCTGGGTGACAGAGTGAGACTCCGTCAAAAAAAAAAAAAAGGAAGAAAGAAAAGAGAGAAAGAAAGAAAGAAAGAAAGAAAGAAAGAAAGAAAGAAAGAAAGAAAGAGAAAGAGAAAGAAAGAAAGAAAAGAAAAGAAAAGCATTAAAGCATTAGTGAGTGAGTGAGTGTGTTTGGGCCCCTACTGCTGCTAAACTATCACAAGCCCACATTCAGCCTTTCAACATTTGCTTGAGGTTCACTTGTTTCCTTCTTATCTCCATCAAGGGCAGCTTCCTCCTGTTTCTGCTGCTGCAACTCAGGTACACACAAATCATCTGTGGATCCGTTCTTTTTTCAGTAGGCTTTCATTACTCTGAATTTAAGTTAATTAGCTTTTTTTGAGACCTCAGCTCTGTCTTTTAAAATGAAATCTATGATCTATAGATTATCCAGCTTATTCTCTTGGTCAGGGCAAGAGCATTTTTCTATAACTTTCTAAATTCTAAACAAAAGTAAAAGTTCACTTCTTTTCAGGATCCCCCCCATGTCAGAAAGTATTACTATTATCATCAGTTTAGTGATATTTATGGAATTCCAAGTTGACTCTGAGATCAGCTTTTGGGTTAAATTCTTTCTTCCTGATATATAGCCTTTGAAATTTTATTTGCTGCAGATCTCTTGATAGTGAACAATTTTAGTTTTTATCTGTCAATTTCATATTTTTATTTTTGTTCTTGAAAGACAGCATTACTGAGTACCCAATTCTATACTAACAGTTATTTTCTCTCAACATTTGTTGATACTAGTTTACCCATTTTTAGTTTTTGCTTTACTATAATAATCAGATAAATATTATTTCATGATAAATTGTCCTTTTTTCAATGTTTATATGGTCTGGTGTTTAGTTTTAATGTTTTATAATTTATAATTTAACTAATGTGAATTTATTTTTATATCATCTGTTAGAAATACGTTCTTTGAATCAATGGATTTATACTTTCTCCTAATTTCTTTTTGAGAATCTCTTGAAACGGTGAATCCTCTTACACTTCTCTCCCCCCATATTTGAATTAAATAAATGTTAGACCTTGTGTTTCCATGCTACATTCTGGGTATATCATTTAAGCATTTTTTTCTTTACTAATTATCCTGTTACCTATATCTAATATATCATTAATAACTTGCATTTATTTTTAAATTTTTTTTTAATTCAGACCTGCCTTTGTGTTTTGTTTTGTTTTTTTGGAGACAGAGTCTCACTCTGTTGCCCAGGCTGGAATGCAGTGGTACAGTCTTGGGTCACTGCAACCTCCACCTCCCGGGTTCAAGTGATTCTCCTGCCTCAGCCTCCTGAGCAGCTGGGACTACAGGTGCCCACCACCATGTTCAGCTAATTTTTATATATATATATACTTTTTTTTTTAGTAGAGACAAGTTTTCACCATCTTGGGCATGCTGTTCTTGAACTCCTGGCCTCGTGATCTACCCGCCTCGGCCCCCCAAGGTGCTGCAATTACAGGCATGAGCCACCACGCCCAGCCAGATCTGCCCATTTTTTCTATCATCTATATTGTTTTACTATTGATTTTACATCTTTGTAATAGTAGACTGTTTCTTTAAACAATCAATACACAGGTGCTTAATTATTTCTCCACATTGACAATTTCAACACATTTAGTTTTCAAGGATTTAAATGTGCTATTCATTTCATTAACTTTTATTCATGCTGTCTTGCTTACCTGATCATTTTTAATACTGAACTCATTGCTCTTCCTTAATCTGCCATCATTCTACGGTCTGAAATGAGAATGCTATTATCCAAACTTCCTCTGTGAAACTGACTCAATGCTTTATCTCAATATGGAAGTTCCAGGATTAACGAACTGGAATTTCTGATGGCCCAAGAGTCAGTAGTACCACCATTAGCATTACTGATAATAGCAGATCATCCTAGAAGATCTGGGAAACCCTCACCCACCTCCATCAGCTAGCCAATACAAAGTACCCAGTGCTCAAGCTCCAGTTCACAGACTATTTTTTGTATTTGAAAGAGGAGATATTTTAAGAACTTCCCTAACCATTTTCAAGGATAGAAATGTTTCAAAGAGATCCTCTAAAATGTATTTGTTCGATAGCAGCAGTCATTTAAGAACAGCTAACTTGCAATCATGGCCAAAAGCCTAAATCTTTCTTTCATTCTAATCACAGATATTTTGTATCTTTTGGAGATATCTCAGATTCAGATGTATTCATACTATTCTATGATTTGGGACACTGCTATAGATTCTTCAAAATGTTACAACATTCCAGTGGTATTTTGGGAGGTATGGAAGGAGAGGAAAAACAATGGGCTCAAGTCTCCCCTGACTTCTCTTCTTACAACATATTTCATTGTCCAGAACTTTTAGAACTATATTAATACAACATTGACAGTGGGTATTCTTCTTTTCCTTCTGATTTTAATAGGATTGAAGGAAGTGTTTTGCTATGAAATTGCTATATGCGTTGTATTCAGACAAATTTTGACTTTGTAAAGGCAATATTCTTCTCATTAATTTAAAATGTTTACCAGGATTCACAGTATTATTTTCAATTCTCCCCATTCAAAGGCATATTTAAATAACTTGATGAAAGGGGAATATTATATATGTTACTCTACTATGGAAACAGAAAAAACCACCACCAAATTGTATTCTAGATACTTTGTACACCAATTGCACCATCTTTTTTTATCTAAGACATTCAATTCTTCCACAGGCGGAAGCACATGAATTAGCATCATTTACTACTTGTAGTTTTCACTACAGACTTTCAGACCTATGGTACCTAAAGGAAATAGAATGCTTCTAGCTGGGTTTAAAAGCTACAAATAAACAGAGGAAATATACACTATTTTGAAAGTACCACTTGAGTGTTCTGTATGTATTTCAATATTATGTTGCTAATTTTAATTGTTCAAGGTTAAGGAGCTTAAACCTCCTCCTCATACATTCCTGAATCATCCATTACTCCCACACATACATTGTTTGATACAGCATAATCCTAAGTAAGTAAAGAGGTAGCAAAATGAAAAAAAATAAAATAATGTGATACCATTCTCATCTAGGAATGGCATCAGTGGACAGATGTGAATAAAAGTAATGTGATTATAATTTTAAAAATCATATTTAATAGGATCCATTTATTATTAAATGAACATTAAATTACTTAATGTATAATAAATCCTTAACACAATGAAAACTCTTAATGCAGAGTGAGACCAAAATGAAGGTATTAACTGTTTTCTTCCTAATCCTTGCTTTAGTTGTTATTTCCACCAGACCGTCACTTTATTTGAAGGATATTGTAATAGCACAAAGCCCTCAGCTTTACCATTAGAGAGATCTTCCTTAAATTATCTTTGTTGTAATAAAGGTCATCTGGAGGAAATACTGGTCTGAATACAATAATAAATGTTAAGCTTTCTAGTATTTTCCACTTTTAGACACAAATTGAAAGAATCATTTATAATGTCAAAAACACTTTTTTCTAACTAATCTATTCTATGCCTAAGACACTACTAGCAATTAAAGTAGATAGATCAAATCTAAATGTGGAGAGAAAAAGTAATTTCTACTTATGTTTAAACAGATGAAAGCATGAATAAATTGAAAGCCTGAAATATTAGCTTGGGGGAATAACGTCACTTTTGGGGAGCAGGAGCAGGATATACCAGCCTTTAGCTCTACACCCTCCCCGCAAGAAAAATATATATAGATAGTTATGTACAAACCAAAATAGCCCTGGCAGGGTTCAAGGGACCATTTAAGAAACTATGGCAACACAGTGAAGCCAACAAAAAAAAAAAAAAAAGAGAGAGAAAGAGAGAGTGAAAGAAAAAAAACTAGCCATATAGAAAAAACAGCTGCTGAAATCAGCATACCTGAGATGCCAGAAACATCTTTTTTGGCTAGAAACAAAAACAGAAAGGGACTATCTGTATCAGCCACAAGGTGGAACCACCAAGGCCCTCAGTAACCCACTCTGGCAGAAGACACTGGCATTTTTTGCCACTGGAGTAAGCAACATCCCTTTCTGACAGAAAACCCAGAGAAAAAGATGAAGAGGTACCATCTCCTCCCACATCCCTTTTCCCCACCAAAAATGCAGTGACTGTTGGGCCAAACCAGGATTGGAACTGCTACCTTTCTTAAACTGCATGTGTCTCTGACATATGAGCAGCAACCATTTCAAGAGCTCCCACATAAAAACGTTCATACTAAATTTATTCTGTTACTTAAGAGTGTTTATGGATTTACATTCCATTTGTGGACTAATTTTCTCACTGGATCTTCTTTCCTGCAGTAAGAGGTGATTTGGGTCCTGTGGAAGGTCATTGTCTCAATTTGTCTGGTGTTTGCAGAAGAGATGTCTGCAAAGTAGTAGAAGATCAAATTGGTGCCTGCCGAAGAAGGATGAAGTGTTGTAGAGCATGGTGGATTTTAATGCCAATTCCAACACCACTTATCATGTCAGATTATCAAGAACCCCTTAAACCTAAGTTGAAATGAAACTGAGACAAAATAAAAATACATCAAAAGTGAAGTTATTTGCATCTAAGAACATTAAAATATACATATTAAGTAATTCCATCTTGATAACCATCTTGCATTTTCACTTATCAACATAAATGAATAAATACTAATTTCAAATATACCCAAGTACTATTTCTTTGTGAGTCATTAACAGATCTTAACAAAACTTTTAAAAATGAGAAAACTGTTACTTTCGTTTTCCAAGATGGTGGATTGAAGGCATTGTTAGTTTGCCTCTTGCACTTGAAAAGACAAAATGGCATGTAGAGACTCACACTGTGAACTTTCTTTCAAGAAGCAACACAGGAATTTAACAGGAAAATTGAAATAAGCCACAGACCATTTGAAAGAAACGGCAGGATGCAGCTTACACCATAAGCTAGGCAGAAAATTGTAAGTTTCCAGGGTGTGACAGGAGGGTAAACTGACTCTAAGATATACACTTCCACTGGGAAACCTATCAATCCAGGCCGTGAGGGAAGGCCTTAACCCTACTCAGCGCTGGAGCTGATTTAGGGAAGAGTGGTGAGTATATGAGGAGTGGCATTGGGATGTGCTTTGAATCTCCAGCACATTCCCAGTTTCTGGTAGAATGGAGGGAAGCCATTTCTGATTCTACCTCAGACAGGACCTCCTAGAAGTCTGCCAGCTAACTCAGATGGTGGTCACAGGTTGAGACAACCTCCCAACTGAAATGTGTGATATAATCTTGACTGGGGACAAACTCCCCAGGCCAGAACTGAGAGGTGAGTGGGAAGTGTGCTGCAGCAGCAAGCACAGGAGCTGAGGGCCCCTGCTCTGCAGGTGGATCAGGAAGGGTGTGGCCTGAAGTTTGCAGTTGCTGTCTCTATAAGGGAGTCTTATGGTATGGGTCAGTTTTGAGTTCTGAGCTCAGACTTCTTGAAACTTAGCTAGCTACTCCCATTGGAACACTGTGGGTGTGAGACCTGCCTTGCCAAGTGTGTGGGAGCTGGATGGGGCTTACTACCAAGCTGCTACTCCCCATTCCTCATATGGACTCTCCTTGTACAGAGGCAGAGACAGCTTCACTTCTCTCTGGAAAATTACTCCAGTGGCCCAAGAACTGCCTTCCAATTCCCACTGGAGCCACTGCTTGTCCCACACATAGACAGCCAGAGCATCACCTTACCTGACCTAGTTCCCACCTGGCTTTGCTCAACCACCTACCCTGGTAGATTAACACAAATAACAGAAGAAACTTTTAGAAGCTCTATGGCTCCACCTATTTCCTGAGACACCAGAGTGCCTCCCATGGGTAACATAAGGCAAGTCCAAATCTCACCACTACCACCACAGCTGGCAGTCTTTTGGAAGCACCACCTCCTGGCTGAAGGCCTACTGACAGTCCTTTACAGCATCTGCAGGTAGAATAACATAGCACCCAGGAAGGAGAAAAGTTGTGAGTGACCACAACTGTTACCATTGCTTGCATCATTCTGGCTAAGCAGGAGGCCATGAGTCTGTCCATGTGATGAGTTCATTACTACTACAACTGGCATTTGAGAAATCCAATACACAACACACTAGGACTATTTATAACCAAGGAATCTTTCAGAGTCTACATCACTCCCCTGCCATCCCCATCTGATCAGCTGCTGATACACACTGCTGTGAGACTTGAGGACAGATTATATCACTGGATCCATTGCAGATATTCTTGAGCACCAGCCTGGTGTGCGGCAGCCCCACTGGGTAGCTAGACCCAGAGAAGCAGCAGCAGCATATGCAGTAATCTGAATTTCAGGGACTCCTACTCTGAGGAAAGAGGAAGCACACCACATCAAGGGAGCACCCTGGGGACAAAATAATCTAGATGACCTTGAGTCCCAGAACATTCCACTTGTGGGAAGTTGTTTGGTGGTTTGTTTGTTTCTGTTTTTTTTCCAGCAGAGGAACATGTGCATGCTAGGCTCAGCGAGGAAAGTCTGTAGCTATAGCTCAACAATCAGGCAGCCTTGATGCTCAAGAAGAGTCTTGGAGAATGGAGACTTATTTTCCATCTCATACACTACTGCAGACACAATAGTACTGTACTCAGAGCCAGTGTACTGAGGTGAGTGGCCATAAAACCTACTGAGACACCAGCCAGGACAGCTAAAGGAGTACTTGCATTACCACTCCCCCAACCCCAGGCAGCACAGCTTGCAGCTCCAAAAAAGACTGCTTCCTTCTGCTAGAGGAGATTAGAGGAAAGAGTAAAAAGGACTTTGTCTTGCATCTTGGATATCAGTTGAGCCACAGTAGGATAGGGCACTGGTCAGGGTCATGAGGCCCCCACTGTGGATGTAACTAACTTTTTTTTTTTTAATTTTATAGGCTGATAGGCAGAAGGGACTTGTCTCAAATAAGACTTTGGACTTGGAGTTTTGAGTTATGCTGGAATCAGTTAAGACTTTGGGGGACTGTTGGAAAAGCATGATTGGCTTTGAAATATATATAAAAGACATGAGATTTGGGAGGTGCCAGGAGCAGAATAATATGGTTTGGCTCTGTGTCCCCACCCAAACCTCATCTCAAATTATTATCCCCACACATCGACAGAGGGACCTGTAATCGCCATGTGTCGAAGAAGTTTACTTCATGTTATCCTCATGATAGTGAGTGAATTCTTAGGAGATCTGATGGTTTTAAGAGTAGGTGGTTTTTTTTTTTTTTTTTCTGTGCACTCACTTCTCTCCCTGCCACCTTGTGAAAAAAGGTGCCTACTTCTGTCTTGCCTTCCACCATGACTGTAAGTTTCCTGAGGCCTCCCCAGTGATGCAGAACTGTGAATTAATTAAACAACTTCCCTTTGTAAATTACCCAGTGTGGGGTAGTGTCTTTACAACAGTGTAAAAATGGACTAATACAGGTTCCCTGAAATATTCTGAGTCCCTTTGGAGGCAAGAATCTCTTTATACCAGCATGGTATACTGATGAAGTACATCCTGATCTCATGGTCTGAGAAAGAATTTATACATACCCTTTATGTGTCAGCAACTCTATGTGAAGGCTTTTGAGCCCCAGAATGGGCTTTCTTGCCCCATCTAGTCTATCTAACATTTTTCTAAGCCAACTCAATGTCTTTCATCCACACTGGGATAGGTCCTAAATTGCTGTCTGTTGCCCACCTGAGATAATGAGATGTTAAATCAGGTGTGTGTGACCCAGATACATCTATCTGAGTGGCAGGAGAGGGTCTATCTGTTCACAAGAGTCTCTGCAACATTTTCTAAGTCAGTTCAGAAGCTTATTGATTCACGTTTGCAGGAAACGTAGCCATGAGAAAGGTCTCCAAAAATTCCTGACCTTTTGGAAATTTTTAAAGTCTCCACAGGTTTCCAGAGGTGACTGTAGCTGCACTGAAAGTCACTGCCTGGATAACTGGCCTGTTAAAGCAAATGCAAAATACGCTAAGCCCACTAAGGATACCCAGAAGCCATGGTATTCAATTAATTTTTGTCTTTCTTGCAGGTGGGAGAATACTGAGGATTATGCCCTCCTATAGCCAGTGAAGGTTATTCCAGTGCCTAGATGTACCAGTCAAGAGAGGTCATGGGAGAGCAGATGGCAGAAAGGGCAGCCAGGTCCTTTCGCTGGGGTTTACTGTTTGTCATGAGCTCTGCTGCTGGGCAGCATGTGTGATTTCTGACTCCTGCCATGTCCTCAAGAAGCCTTGCCCCATCAGCCAGCTGTACTACCTCCTGAAAGCTGGTGCATGTTTGTTAGCATGGAGATCCAGAACAAGAGTCACTTTAGTATTTATCCATAGAGTCCCAATGTGTGCACATGCTTACCTGCAGGTTGTTTTTCCTATTTTCTGAATGTTAATCCTTGCCTTCTGGAACTCAACATTACCCCCTGTGGCCAAATATGGGATAATTGTAAGGGGAAACTGCTGTTTAGGTCCCAAGTCCACAGGGTTGTATTATTATCAATATTAAAATTGTTAATTATGGATATTAGTATCATAATAATCATCATCATTCCTGTTAATACTCATCAATATGTTTATTATTACTATCATTAAGATGGTTTATTAATGTTATTATTCAGTAATAAATGTTTAGTTTCTCCACTCACTCAGTCAAACTGGAATCTGACTCCCGATATGACTATGGATATGACTGCATATGACTATGAGGGTTACCCTGCAGATATAGACATGAACCGCTGTCCCAGAGACAGCTCTTGCAGGCACTAATTGCTCTTTCATAGGATGAGTTCCTTACAGGAGAGAAGGGCTGATCTCCATGATGTGGTTTCCTCAGGGTCTCATTAAGGGCTGGTGATACAGGAGCACTGCCTACCCCTCTTCCTCAAGTGAGAGTGGTACATTCTCTGTTGTCATGGCTGGGATGGCTCCATCTTGAACATATAAATTCCAGGTTGTAGAAGCAAAAAAGCAAAAGATGCATTGGATCTGCATAGGGAACTGCAAGCCATCCTGCAACCTCAGGACACACTCAGAAACAACCACGTGGACCACATCGCCCAAGCTCAGCTGCATGGCTCTCCGTTGGGGTAGGACAAGGACCTCTTCCACCAGGCTCAACTGGAGTCCTATCCCTGGTCCCAGGACCACAAGGAGCATCTCTTTTTTTGGAATCACACTGCTCCATTCGAAGGACAGCCCTCAGTTCTCTGTCTTCAAAAGAGGCTGCAAATGGTGCTGATTGGCAGGGAGCCGACAGCAGCAACACCCTCTACAACTTTAAAATAAAAATGTCTCCCAGGGTGGGATATTATGCTGACCCTACCTAAAAGCACATTCCCTAGATGTTGCTTGTTGCCTGGAGTTTGAACAGCATTGTCCAAACTTTGCCATTGAAGAACAAGGAAACTTACCTGGGGTAGTTGCAGGAGTAGGCCTAAATCCAGGTGTGAAGATCCTTGAACTGGGGGTGTTTCTGTACCTGTAGAGATTGCAGACTGGGAAAGGTAAGGCTCTGGTCCTGCCAGACTCTCTAGAGGTTAAGAATGTGATCTGCAGAAAGACATGAACTAGCACAGGCAACTGTAGAACATCTGCCCCCAAGAATCATAAATGCCTTTTCACTCATCCTGCAGAATGCACTCTCTACTTTAATGATCGTGTGGGATGTGACTTTAATTTGTAGGCATGAGGATTGATCTTAAGAAAAAGCAGGGAAAGTGCCTTACCTGTTCTGGGACTCTGCTCCACTTGCCAACATTTGAGTGGATTCATTTGTGTTGTAGTCAAGCTACAGGAAATAAAGGGACCAGTCAGTCTTCCACACAATGACACAGAGGCCAATTATCACAAGTCCAAATCTCCATTTGTCATCCAGCTCACATTCCCGTTGTGGCACAAGGACACATGCACTCGTGTCCAACTCCAAATAGTAGCTTCACATAGTATGTCAGCACTCTCCCACCATCATCTCTTCTAGAAGGTCTTCCGCTGGATTGGAAATGGCCTGGGATAAAAGATAATGACCACAGGAAGCAGTTGTTTTTTTAGGATCTGATCCACATGAGAAGGTAGGACATCTAATTTGGTCTGAGGACTTTAGCTATGCTAATATTTCAGGTAACTGTCCCCTGTGTCTATAGAGTTACATTGTGAATGGAGTGAGAGATGATGAAAACTGTTTTCTTTCCTAGTGAGTATGAGGTAGAACCCTTATATCATGCTCTCTGTTGCCTGTTCTCCATACAGAGCCATCTCCCATTTAGAGAGAAGACATGGATTGTCAGTGGGAGCAAGCCTGAGACATGCCCACTGGCAGCTCCCAGAAACCCCTGAAACCTGGCCACATCCTGAAGTTTCCACTGTGGGTCTCATGCCTCCCTTGGTATCTTGAATTCAGAACATTTAATGTCATGGCAGGCCAGGGAACTTCCTCTGCTCTAGTTTGGCTCTCTATCGCACATTCACACCCACACACACACACACACACACACAGTCACACACACTCACACATCAACCTACTGGCAAACCAAGGTAGAAACACACACACATACCTGCTCAATCCAGGCCAATATCCCTGATGAACATTAATGCAAAAATTCTTAATAAAATACTAGCAAACGGAATCCAGCAGCACATCAAAAAGCTTATCCACCACAATCAAGTCGGCTGCATCTTTGGGATGAAAGGCTGGTTCAACATACACAAATGAATAAATGTAATTGATCACATAAACAGAACCAAAGACAAAAACCAGACAATTATTTCAATAGATGCAAAAATGCCTTTGATAAAATTCACCATCCCTTCATGTTAAAAACTCTCAATAAACTAGGTACTGATGGAACATATTGCAAAATAATAGAGCTATTTATAACAAACCCACAGCCCACATCATATTGAATAGGCAAAAGCTGGAAGCATTCCTTTCAAAAACTGGTACAAGACAAGGATGTCCTCTGTAACCACTTCTATTCAACATAGTATTGGAAGTTCTCACCAGGGCTATCAGGCAAGAGAAAGAAATAAAATGTATTCAAATAGGAAGAGAGTAAGTGAAGTTGTCTCTGTTTGCAGATGACATGACTTTATATTTAGAAAACCCCATCATCTCAATTCAAAAACTTCTTGAACTGATAAGCAACTTCACCAAGTTCTCAAGATATTAAATCATTGTGCAAAAATCACAAACATTCCTTTACATCAACAATAGTTAAGCAGAGAGCCAGATCAAGAATGAACTCCCATTCACAATTGCTATAAAGAGAATAAAATACCTAGGGATACAGTTAGGAGTACAAGAGATGTGAAGGACCTCTTCAAAGACAACTGCAAACCACTGCTCAAGGAAATAAGAGAGGACACAAATGAATGGAAAAACATTCCATCCTCATGAATAGGAAGAATCAATATTGTGAAAATGTCCATACTGCCCAAACTAATTTATAGATTCAATGCTGTACCCATCAAGCTACCATTGATATTTTTCACAGAATTAGAAAGAACTATTTTAAATTTCATATGAAATCAAAGAATACCCTGTATAGCCAAGACAATTGTAAGCAAAAATAACAAAGCTGGAGGCATTACGCTACCTAACTTCAAACTATACTAGAAGGCCACAGTAACCAAAACAGCATGCTACTGCTGCCAAAACAGACATATAGACCAATGGAGCAGAACAAAGACCTCAGAAATAACCCCACACATCTACGACCATCTGATCTTTGACAAACCTGACAAAAACAGGCAAGGGAGAAAGGATCTCCTATTCAGTAAATGCTGCTGGAAAAACTGGCTTGCCATAGGCAAGAAACTAAAACTGGACCCCTTCCTTACACCTTATACAAAAATTAACTCAATATGGATTAAAGACTTAAATGTAAAATCCAAAACCATAAAAACCCTAGAAGAAAATTTAAGCAATACCATTCAGGACATAGGCATGGGCAAAGACTTCATGACAAAAATGCCAAAAGCAATTGCAACAAAAGCCAAAATTGACAAATTGGATCTAATTAAACTAAAGACCTTCTGCACAGCAAAGAAACTATCATCAGCATGAAAAAGCAACCTACAGAATGGGAGAAAATTGTTGCAATCTGCCCATCTGACAAAGGTCTAATAACCAAAGTTGACAAGGAACTTAAACATATTTACAAGCAAAAAAACAAACAACCCCATCAAAAGTGAGCAAAAGATATGAACAGAAACTTATCAAAAGAAGACATTTATGCAACCAACAAATATATTTTTAAAAAGCTCAACAACACTGATCATCAGAGAAATGAAAATCAAAATTACAGTGAGATACCATCTCACACCCGTCAGAATGGCGATTATTAAAAAATTAAGAAACAATAGATGCTGGTGAGGCTGAGAAGAAAGAGGAAGGTTTTTACACTGTTGGTGAAACTGTAAATTAGTTCAACCATTGTGGAAGACAGTATGGCGATTCCTCAAGGATCTAGAACCAGAAATACCATTTGACCCAGCAATCGCATTACTGGCTATGTACCCAAAGGAATATAAATCATTCCACTATAAAGACACATGCACACGTATGTTTATTGCAGCACTATATACAATAGGAAAGACATGAAACCAACCCAAATGCCCTTCAGTGCTAGAATGGATAAAGAAAATGTGGTACGTATACACCAAAAAATACTATGCAGTCATAAAAAGGAATGAGATCATGTCTTTTGCAGGCACATGGATGAAGGTGAAGCCATCATACTGAGCAAACTAACACAGGAACAACAACAACAAAAAAAACAAATACCGCATGTTCTCACTAATAAGTGAAAGTTGAACACTGAGGAAACAAGGACACAGTGAGAGGAACAACACACAACACAGCCCGTTGGGGGCTGGGGGTGAGGGAAGGAAACTTACAGGATAAGTCAATAGGTGCAACGAACCACCATAGCAGAGGATACCTATATAACAAGCCTGCTCGTTCTGCACATGTATCCTGTATTTTTTAAATTTAAAAAGAGGAAATACGTACATACGTACATACATGCATACATACATACATACGTACGTACATACTTTTGAAAAACGTCTATACAGCTTGGATCTTCATTCCTGATAAGCCAAGGAACCTGGAGAAACACCAGAATTCTGTCCCTCTGAGAATGCCGGACAGGTTTACCTTCATCACCATAAAATTTTGGAACAAATGTGGTAACTGCAGGTTCTCCCCACAATGAGTAACTGAAAATTGAGGCAGTATTGCAGATCCTAAAAAACTGATGAAGTAATTCACCACACATTTGGGTTGTTTTTGCCTTTTCCTACTATGAAGATTGCTAGTAGGAAGAATGGTGTACAAGTATCTGTTTGATTCCCTGCTTTTAGAATCCTTTGCTTGTTTGTGTGTTTGTCTGTTCCTTCTTGAGACAGGATTTCACTCCAGTCAGCCAGGCTTTTCCAGTGTGTAATTTTTGTTGTTTCCTTTTGTCAAGTTTTAGAAGTTGTTATTTTACTTCTATTGAATTTTAAGGCATTTTTAGATATGTATTAAAACATTATCACACATGCCGTGTGTTACATTGCAATTATCTTCATCGTTCCTTTAAGAAACAAAAGGTTTTAGCTTAGATATCTTCCAATTTGTGAAGCTTTTCTGATTTTGACTTTTTTAAAAATGATGTCATATACAAGAAACCCTTGGATTAAAAATGCCATGAATATTTCTCTCATACACACAAACTGTTTAATATGTACACAATTGTTAAATAGCATTGTTATATATGAAATAAGGCAAATGTTTAGCTACTATCCTAGCCCGGTTCCACACCTAACATATTTGCTCATAATACTGACAAGTAAATCTGCTTCAACTCTTCCATAGTCACAGTGTAAGCAGTGTCCATTAAATTCTCTGAGGAATGCAAGAGGATACAACCTAAGACAAAAAACTTAATTGAATCCTGATATATTATTAGTAAATAGGGTAATTGATGGATAAATGTAATGGTCTCGGTGGGTGGACAGTAGTTATATAAGGGCTGATGCAGCAAGATAATTATTTAAAAGAGTTTGAAAGAAATGGAAACAGAAGAGTGGATGTATTCAGCTAAAATAAAATCCGGAAGCCCTGAAATAAATCTCATTTTGGGTGTAAAAAAATGGCATTAGAGGAGATTCTGGGTCAATCATCAAGCTGTGAAAGCTGCATCTTGGAAGCAGGATCCCTGTAATGCAACGAGACTTGTATATCAGAGGTGGTCTTTCAGTGGAAAAGATTTTGAAGAATGGACCCTTCCTTTTGTGTATTTGACGATTAGACTTCATGCCAAATCTCGGGTTTAAAACTCTATTTAAACATTAACAGAATTAATTAAAATGGCAAAAAATCAAGAAATTTTTTGATTAGGAATCATCACATATTCATTTCTTGTTAGGTACAGTTATCAAAGATGACCTACCAGAGAGAAACGATTGTGGAGAATGGCCCCTTACTTTTGTATATTTGCTGATAAGATTTCATAGTCCATTTATCATTAGGTACAAAGATCAAAGTTGACCTACCAAAGAGTTGAGATGTCCAGGACAGAACTCAGGGCTCGGTAGAACCACAGAATCTTGGGTGAAATATTGCTCAAGAACAAAAATGTGCTTATTCAGAGTGTTTGTGTGTGACATGTGTGTGAATTAAAGTGCAATGAGCATGACACGCAGGCAGGACATCAATTCGGCTCACCTCAAAAGCAGTTATGAGCATTAAAGGACAACAATTCCTAGGTCCCGCTTAAAGAGATAAGACCATCCAACACCCTGTGTGAAGCCACGGCATCTGGATTGCTCATGTTTCTGGGGAACATTCTTCTGAAAATGGCGGCTCCTTTCTCCCTGTGGAGCATCTTTCTAAGCAGTGCTCCTTTCTTCCCCCAGGACACTTTACATCGGGCATAGGAAGCCTTCTGATGAAGCACACCTGGCCCATGAAAAGACAAAGGAAAGAAACAGGGCCAAAGGTCACAGCCCACTCATTTCATCACCATCCTTAAAATCATCCTAATTTCATGGGCCATGAAGCCAGGGCTGTTTCTTTACACCCAGAGGCCTTGGCGCCGGGCCTCAATTCTGCCCTGTTCCTTACTGTCTAAGACATTTTGGGAAAATCCCTAGAGCCAGGATCTTCATTCCTGGTAAGCCAGAGAGCCTGAAGACACACCCAAATGCTGTCCCTCTTAGTTCAGGGAACATGTCCACTTTCGTCAGCATTACAATTTTTGCATCAAAGGTGCTAACTGCAATTCCACCATACAATGCATAACTGGAAATGGAGGGAACATCTCAGAGCATGAACAACCGATGCGAGAATCCAGGAGATACACGGTTTATTTTTGCCATTTCCCAGTGAAACAAGAGCCAGTATTAAAAAGGTTATGCTACCCTCTGTTTCACTCACTGCTTTTAAACGTCTCCGATGTTTTCTTCTTCAGACAGGGCCTCACTCCCGTCACCCGGGCTTTTCTACGGTATAATTTTCCTTGTTTGCTTTTGTCAAAATTAGAACTTTTTATTTCATCTCTATGAAATGTTGATCCATTATCACGTAAGTATGGAAATAGTATCACCCATGCTGTGAGATACGTTGTTTTTATTTTCATCAGTTCTTTAATAAACAAAAGCTTATAGTTGGGATACCTTTGGATTTCTCAAGTTTTTTGTTTCAAGTTTTCTTAAACTGCCGCCGCACGTCCGAAACCACTCACTATACAATGTCAGGACCATCTCTCTTTTCTGGCACACATAAATTTGGGGAATGTCATCAATTAGTCTCTCGGTGATTGCATGATTTCCCCAAAGTCTTTCACAGCCTACTTTGTGCACTGAGTAACTCTTCAAACTTCAGTGCATGTTTCTACCATTTGATGCTTTATTATTTGGCAGCCTAGCTTCCACAAGAGCATTTCATGCAAAGACTTGTCTTGTTCTCCACTGGCCAGTAATTTCACTCGGATAGAGAGTCAATAGGCTGAACGTGGAAAGGTTATCCCTGGAAGGTCTGTTTGATGCCACGGATATCTCCTTTATTATTAAGGAAGAAAATACGCTGTGCTAAATACTATACTTCATTGACTATTCTCAGGTCAGAAAGCGCACTTCAGACTTCTTGTCCTTCCGTCGATGAGAGGATGACGGTAGCTGCCAAAAGTACATACTTGGAAGTTCATCCCAGCACAAGCACACACACACACACACAAACACACACACACACACACACACACAGAGAGATACACACACGGTTTCATAGGTAAAGATTTCTTCCCTGACATTCTTTTACCTAAAATAAGGCAACTGTGTGGCCACTGTCCCAACCCGGTTACACTCATATTATATGTGCCTATCACCCTGAGGAGTAATTTGATTCAGGTGTTCTAGAAGTCATGATGTGGGCTGTGTCTGTTGAATTCCCAGCGATGCAAGGGGACACACCCTGTGACTCATTCCTTAATTGAGTGCTGATATTTGATTGGTTTATCGCACACCTGATGGGTGGGTGGGGTGTTCGCGGTTGGTGGGGGTGAGTTATATAAGGGCTGATGCGGCCAGAGAGCTCGTCATTTGAAGACTCTCTTGGAAGAGATAGCGTCTTGCTGCAACCTGCAGTCCCAGCAGAAAAACCTTGTGATCCTTGTTGCGGGCGACATGGAGGACGACTCACTCTACTTGGGAGGTGAGTGGCAGTTCAACCACTTTTCAAAACTCACATCTTCTCGGCCAGATGCAGCTTTTGCTGAAATCCAGCGGACTTCTCTCCCTGAGAAGTCACCACTCTCATCTGAGGCCCGTGTCGACCTCTGTGATGATTTGGCTCCTGTGGCAAGACAGCTTGCTCCCAGGAAGAAGCTTCCTCTGAGTAGCAGGAGACCTGCTGCGGTGGGGGCTGGGCTCCAGAATATGGGAAATACCTGCTACGAGAACGCTTCCCTGCAGTGCCTGACATACACACCGCCCCTTGCCAACTACATGCTGTCCCGGGAGCACTCTCAAACATGTCAGCGTCCCAAGTGCTGCATGCTCTGTACTATGCAAGCTCACATCACATGGGCCCTCCACAGTCCTGGTCATGTCATCCAGCCCTCACAGGCATTGGCTGCTGGCTTCCATAGAGGCAAGCAGGAAGATGCCCATGAATTTCTCATGTTCACTGTGGATGCCATGAAAAAGGCATGCCTTCCCGGCCACAAGCAGGTAGATCATCACTCTAAGGACACCACCCTCATCCACCAAATATTTGGAGGCTGCTGGAGATCTCAAATCAAGTGTCTCCACTGCCACGGGATTTCAGACACTTTTGACCCTTACCTGGACATCGCCCTGGATATCCAGGCAGCTCAGAGTGTCAAGCAAGCTTTGGAACAGTTGGTGAAGCCCGAAGAACTCAATGGAGAGAATGCCTATCATTGCGGTCTTTGTCTCCAGAGGGCGCCGGCCTCCAAGACGTTAACTTTACACACTTCTGCCAAGGTCCTCATCCTTGTCTTGAAGAGATTCTCCGATGTCACAGGCAACAAACTTGCCAAGAATGTGCAATATCCTGAGTGCCTTGACATGCAGCCATACATGTCTCAGCAGAACACAGGACCTCTTGTCTATGTCCTCTATGCTGTGCTGGTCCACGCTGGGTGGAGTTGTCACGACGGACATTACTTCTCTTATGTCAAAGCTCAAGAAGGCCAGTGGTATAAAATGGATGATGCCAAGGTCACTGCCTGTAGCATCACTTCTGTCCTGAGTCAACAGGCCTATGTCCTCTTTTACATCCAGAAGAGTGAATGGGAAAGACACAGTGAGAGTGTGTCAAGAGGCAGGGAACCAAGAGCCCTCGGCGCTGAAGACACAGACAGGCGAGCAACGCAAGGAGAGCTCAAGAGAGACCACCCCTGCCTCCAGGCACCCGAGTTGGACGAGCGCTTGGTGGAAAGAGCCACTCAGGAAAGCACCTTAGACCACTGGAAATTCCCCCAAGAGCAAAACAAAACGAAGCCTGAGTTCAACGTCAGAAAAGTCGAAGGTACCCTGCCTCCCAACGTACTTGTGATTCATCAATCGAAATACAAGTGTGGGATGAAAAACCATCATCCTGAACAGCAAAGCTCCCTGCTAAACCTCTCTTCGACGACCCGGACAGATCAGGAGTCCGTGAACACTGGCACCCTCGCTTCTCTGCAAGGGAGGACCAGGAGATCCAAAGGGAAGAACAAACACAGCAAGAGGGCTCTGCTTGTGTGCCAGTGATCTCAGTGGAAGTGCCGACCCACACGTAGGGGTGAACGCACACACACACACGCACAAATACACCCACAAGCGCGCACGCAAACACACACACACACACAAACACGAACACCGTCAATCCTACATAAAGTAATGAGGAGTCCAAGTTTCTGTCTCTACAACAGGGACAACTGGATAGTGATGGCTGCATCTCAGGATGAGCCCACACATGGGAAACATCAAGTTTTGGGGTCGTGAGTCTTCCGAACCTCTGGAGAGACTGTCTGTGTGTTTGTGTTCATGGTAGATGACATTCACTGTGTATTTCTGAATATGACCTACTGACGTGTAGGTTTGAGTGTGAGGTTATTGCAGGGGACTCGGTTTCCTATTTTCTCTTGGGGTGTGTTTCATTCGTCAGTTGTTGGGCGGCACGAGAAGGTGAAATTTTGCTCATGTGGCACATCCATGGATCATTCTCGCCACCTTGAATAGTGGAAACTGGAATGCATTTAGAAGATAGGAACGGTGCTCTTCTTTCTTACCCTGGCTCACCGTTTTTACATTGGTTTCTGAATGGACCTCAGGCGCCCTGGGACTTGTGCTCTTGCTGGAACCCACATAACGCCGGAAACAGACAGACCGACTTGCCTGTTTCACGATGTCCAATTCCAATGAGTCGAAATGGAAAATTTTCCCACTGGCATGTCAGTCATTTGGAAATAAGTCGTATTGATAATAAAGGAAATCAAACACAGGAGTGTGTGTATTCAACTGAAATAAATTCAGAAAGCCCTGAAATAAACCTCATTTGGTGTGCTTACAAATGGCATTTGGGGAGATTCCGGGTCATTCGTCCAGCTGCGAAAGCTGCATCTCTGAAGCACAGTCCCTGTCCTGCAATCAGACTTACGTATCCGACGTGGTGTTTCCGTGGAAATGATTGTGGGAAATGGCCCCTTGCTTGTCTGTATTTGCTGATTAGATTTCATGGTCCCTTTCTCGTTAGGTGCAGTGATCAAAGTTGACCAACCCCAGAGGAAAGCTGCCCAGGGCACCACTCAGGGCTCCGTAGAACCACAGAATCTTGGGCGCAACCCTGCTCAAGCACCCAAATGTGCATACGAACAGGGTCTCCGTGTGACGTGTGTGAAAACTACAGTGTGATGAGCATGACTCGCAGACAGGTTATCGATTGGGCTCCCCTCAAAATCAGTTAGGAACATGAAAGCACACCGATGCCCAGGTCCCGGCTGCAGGAATAAGACCCTCCGACGTCTTGTGTGAAGCCACGACATCTGCATTGCTCATGCTTCTGGGGATCATTCTCCTGAAAATGGTGGCTTCTTTCTCCCTGTGGAGCATCTTTCTAAGCAGTGCTCCTTTCTTCCCCCAGGACACTTTACATCAGGCGCACGAAGCCTTCTGATGGAGCACACCTGGCCCATGAAAAGACAAGGGAAAGAAACGGGGCCAAAGGTCACAGTCCTCTCATTCCATCATCCTCCTTAAAATCATCCGAATTTCATGAGCCCTTGAAGCCAGGGCTGTTTCTTTACACCCAGAGGCCTTGGCGCCGGGCCTCAATTCTGCCCTGTTCCTTACTGTCTAAGACATTTTGGGAAAATCCCTAGAGCCAGGATCTTCATTCCTGGTAAGCCAGAGAGCCTGAAGACACACCCAAATGCTGTCCCTCTTAGTTCAGGGAACATGTCCACTTTCGTCAGCATTACAATTTTTGCACCAAATGTACTAACTGCAATTCCACCATACAATGCATAACTGGAAATGGAGGGAACATCTCAGACCATGAACAATCGATGAGAGAATCCAGGAGACACACGGCTTATTTTTGCATTTTTGCCTTTTCCCTGTGAAACAAGGGCCAGCATTAAAAAGGTTATGCTATCTTCTGTTTCACTCCCTGCTTTTAAACGTCTCCGATGTTTTCTTCTTCAGACAGGGCCTCACTCCCGTCACCCGGGCTTTTCTACGGTATAATTTTCCTTGTTTGCTTTTGTCAAAATTAGAACTTTTTATTTCATCTCTATGAAATGTTGAGCCATTATCACATACGTATGGAAACAGTATCACCCATGCTGTGAGATATGTTGTTTTGATTTTCATCAGTTCTTTAATAAACAAAAGCTTATAGTTGGGATACCTTTGGATTTCTCAAGGTTTTTGTTTCATGTTTTCTTAAACTGCCGCCGCACGTCCGAAACCACTCACTATACAATGTCAGGACCATCTCTCTTTTCTGGCACACATAAATTTGGGGAAAGTCATCAATTAGTCTCTCGGTGATTGCATGATTTCCCCAAAGTCTTTCACAGTCTACTTTGTGCACTGAGTAACTCTTCAAACTTCAGTGCATGTTTCTACCATTTGATGCTTTATTTGGCAGCCTAGCTTCCACAAGAGTATTTCATGCAAAGACTTGTCTTGTTCTCCACTGGCAGGTAATTTCACTCGGATAGAGAATCAATAGTCTGAACGTGGAAAGGTTATCGCTGGAAGGTCTGTTTGATTCCACGGATCTCTCCTTTATTATTAAGGAAAAATATACGCTGTGCTAAATACTATACTTCATTGACTATTCTCAGGTCAGAAAGTGCACTTCAGACTTCTTGTGCTTCCATCGCTGAGAGGATGATGGTAGCTGCCAAAAGTACATACTTGGAAGTTCATCCCAGCACAAGCACACACACACACACACAAACACACACACACACACACACACACACACACACACACACACACACAGACACACACACGGTTTCATAGGTAAAGATTTCTTCCCTGACATTCTTTTACCTAAAATAAGGCAACTGTGTGGCCACTGTCCCAACCCGGTTACACTCATATTACATGTGTCTATCAGCCTGAGGAGTAATTTGATTCAGGTGTTCTAGAAGTCATGATGTGGGCTGTGTCTGTTGAATTCCCAGCGATGCAAGGGGACACACCCTGTGACTCATTCCTTAATTGAGTGCTGATATTTGATTGGTTTATCGCACACCTGATGGGTGGGTGGGGTGTTCGCGGTTGGAGGGGGTGAGTTATATAAGGGCTGATGCGGCCAGAGAGCTGGTCATTTGAAGACTCTCTCGGAAGAGATAGCGTCTTGCTGCAACCTGCGGTCCCAGCAGAAAAACCTTGTGATCCTTGTTGCGGGCGACATGGAAGACGACTCACTCTATTTGGGAGGTGACTGGCAGTTCAATCACTTTTCAAAACTCACATCTTCTCGGCTAGATGCAGCTTTTGCTGAAATCCAGCGGACTTCTCTCTCTGAAAAGTCACCACTCTCATCTGAGACCCGTTTCGACCTCTGTGATGATTTGGCTCCTGTGGCAAGACAGCTTGCTCCCAGGGAGAAGCTTCCTCTGAGTAGCAGGAGACCTGCTGCGGTGGGGGCTGGGCTCCAGAAGATAGGAAATACCTTCTATGTGAACGTTTCCCTGCAGTGCCTGACATACACACTGCCGCTTTCCAACTACATGCTGTCCCGGGAGGACTCTCAAACGTGTCATCTTCACAAGTGCTGCATGTTCTGTACTATGCAAGCTCACATCACATGGGCCCTCCACAGTCCTGGCCATGTCATCCAGCCCTCACAGGTATTGGCTGCTGGCTTCCATAGAGGTGAGCAGGAGGATGCCCATGAATTTCTCATGTTTACTGTGGATGCCATGAAAAAGGCATGCCTTCCCGGGCACAAGCAGCTAGATCATCACTCCAAGGACACCACCCTCATCCACCAAATATTTGGAGCGTATTGGAGATCTCAAATCAAGTATCTCCACTGCCACGGCGTTTCAGACACCTTTGACCCTTACCTGGACATCGCCCTGGATATCCAGGCAGCTCAGAGTGTCAAGCAAGCTTTGGAACAGTTGGTGAAGCCCAAAGAACTCAATGGAGAGAATGCCTATCATTGTGGTCTTTGTCTCCAGAAGGCGCCTGCCTCCAAGACGTTAACTTTACCCACTTCTGCCAAGGTCCTCATTCTTGTATTGAAGAGATTCTCCGATGTCACAGGCAACAAACTTGCCAAGAATGTGCAATATCCTAAGTGCCGTGACATGCAGCCATACATGTCTCAGCAGAACACAGGACCTCTTGTCTATGTCCTCTATGCTGTGCTGGTCCACGCTGGGTGGAGTTGTCACAACGGACATTACTTCTCTTATGTCAAAGCTCAAGAAGGCCAGTGGTATAAAATGGATGATGCCGAGGTCACTGCCTCTGGCATCACCTCTGTCCTGAGTCAACAGGCCTATGTCCTCTTTTACATCCAGAAGAGTGAATGGGAAAGACACAGTGAGAGTGTGTCAAGAGGCAGGGAACCAAGAGCCCTTGGTGCTGAAGACACAGACAGGCCAGCAACGCAAGGAGAGCTCAAGAGAGACCACCCTTGCCTCCAGGTACCCGAGTTGGACGAGCACTTGGTGGAAAGAGCCACTCAGGAAAGCACCTTAGACCACTGGAAATTCCCCCAAGAGCAAAACAAAACGAAGCCTGAGTTCAACGTCAGAAAAGTTGAAGGTACCCTGCCTCCCAACGTACTTGTGATTCATCAATCAAAATACAAGTGTGGTATGAAAAACCATCATCCTGAACAGCAAAGCTCCCTGCTAAACCTCTCTTCGACGAAACCGACAGATCAGGAGTCCATGAACACTGGCACACTCGCTTCTCTGCAAGGGAGCACCAGGAGATCCAAAGGGAATAACAAACACAGCAAGAGATCTCTGCTTGTGTGCCAGTGATCACAGTGGAAGTACCGACCCACACTGATGGGTGCACACACACACACACACAAACACAAATACACCCACAAGCGCGCACGGAAACACACACACACCCACACAAACACGAACACCGTCAATCCTACATAAAGTAATGAGGAGCCCCAGTTTCTGTCTCTACAACAGGGACAATTGGATAGTGATGGCTGCGTCTCAGGATGAGCCCACACATGGGAAACATCAAGTTTTGGGTTCGTGAGTCTTCCGAACCTCTGGAGGGACTGTCTGTGTGTTTGTGTTCATGGTAGATGACATTCAGTGTGTATTTCTTAATGTGACCTATTGACCTGTAGGTTTGCGTGTGAGGTTATTGCAGGGGACATGGTTTACTATTTCCTCTTGGGGTTTGTTTCATTCGTCAGTTGTTGGTCGGCAAGAGAAGGTGAAATTTTGCTCATGTGGTACATCCGTGGATCATTCTCGCCACCTTGAATAGTGGATACTGGAATTCAATTGGAAGATAGGAACGGTGCTCTCCTTTCTTACCCTGGCTCGCCCATTTTATTTTGGTTTCTGAATGGACCTCAGGTGCCCTGAGACTTGGGCTCTTGCTGGAACCCACATAACGCGGGAAACAGACAGACCGACTTACCTGTTTCACGGTGTCCACTTCCAATGAGTGGAACCGGAAAATTTTCCCACTGGCACGGAAGTCATTTGGAACTAAGTCTCATTGATACTAAAGGAAATCAAACACTGGAGTGTGTGTATTCATCTAAAATACATTCAGAAAGCCCTGACATAAACCTCATTTGGTGTGTTTACAAATGGCATTTGGGGAGATTCCAGGTCATTCATCCAGCTGCGAAAGCTGCATCTCTGAAACACAGTCCCTGTCCTGCAATCAGACTTATTTATCCGACGTGGTGTTTCTGTGGAAATTATTATGGGAAATGGCCCCTTCCTTTTCTGTATTTGCTGATTAGATTTCATGGTCCCTTTCTTGTTAGGTGCAGTGATCAAAGTTGACCAACCCCTGAGGAAAGCTGTCCAGGTCACAACTCAGGGCTCCGTAGAACCACAGAATCTTGGGCGCAACCCTGCTCAAGCACCCAAATGTGCATACGAACAGGGTCTCTGTGTGACGTGTGTGAAAACTACAGTGTGATGAGCATGACTTGCAGACAGGTTATCGATTGGGCTCCCCTCAAAATTAGTTATGAGCATTAAAGGACACCGATGCCCAGGTCCCGGCTGCAGGAATAAGACCCTCCGACGTCTTGTGTGAAGCCACGGCATCTGGATTGCTCATGCTTCTGGGGATCATTCTCCTGAAAATGGTGGCTCCTTCCTGCCTGTGGAGCACCTCTCTAAGCAGTGCCCTTTCTTCACCCAGGACACTTTACATCAGGCACAGAAAGCCTTCTGATGGAGCACACCTGGCCCATGAAAAGACAAGGGATAAGAAACGGGGCCAAACATCACAGTCCTCTCATTCCACCATCCTCCTTAAAATCATCCTAATTTCATGGGCTCTGCGGCCACGGCTGTTTCTTTACACCTCGAGACCTTGGCGCCAGGCCTCAATTCTGCCCCGGTGCTTACTGTCTAAGACATTTTGGGAAAATCCCTAGAGCCTGGATCTTCAATCCTGGTAAGCCAGAGAGCCTGGAGACACACCCAAATTATGTCCCTCTTAGTTCAGGGAACATGTCCATTTTCGTCAGCATTAAAATTTTGGCACCAAATGTGCTAACTGCAATTCCACCATACAATGCATAACTGGAAATAGAGGCAACATCTCATATCCTGAACAATTCATGTGAGAATCTAGGAGACACACCGCTTATTTTTGCCTTTTCCCACTGAAACAATGGCTAGTATTAACAATGTTATGCTATCCTTGGTTTCACTCCCCACTTTTAAATCTCTCGGATGTTTACTTCTTGAGACAGGGCGTCACTGCCGTCACCCACGCTTTTCTACGGTGTAATTTTTGTTGTTCGCTTTTGTCAAATTTAGAAATTTTCATTTCATCTCTATCAAATGTTGCTCCATTATCACATACGTATGAAAATATTATCACGCGTGCTGTGAGATACGTTGTTTTTATTTTCATCAATTCTTTTGTAAAACAAAGGTTATAGTTGGGATACCTTCTGATTTCTCAAGTTTTTTGTTTCATGTTTTCTTAAACTGCCGTCGCACGTCCAAAACCACTCGCTATGCAATGTCTTGACCATCTCTCTTTTCTGGCAAATATAAATTTTCGGAATGTCATCAATTAGTCTCTCGGTGATTGCATTATTTCCCCAAAGTCTTTTACAGTCTAGTTTGTGCACTGAGTATCTCTTCAAACTTCAGTGCATGTTTCTACGACTTAATGCTTTATTATTCAGCAATCTAGCTTCCACAAGAGCATTTAATGTAAAGACTTGTCTTTTTCTCCACTGGCAGGTAATTTCACTCGGATATAGAATCATTAGGCTGAACATGGAAAGGTTATCGCTGGGAGGTCTGTTTGATTCCACGGATCTCTCCTTTTTTATTGAGGAAAAAAATATGCTGTGCTAATTACTGTACTTCATTGCCTATTCTCAGGTCAGAAAGCGCACTTCAGACTTCTCCTTCTATCGCTGAAAGGATGATGGTATCTGCCAAAAGCACATACTCGGAAGTACATCCCAGCACAAACACACACACACACACACGCACACAAACACACATACTCACACGGTTTCATAGGTAAAGATTTCTTCCCTGACATTCTTTTACCTAAAATAAGGCAACTGTGTGGCCACTGTCCCAACCCGGTTACCATCATATTATATGTGCCTATCATCCTGAGGAGTAATTTGATGAAGGTGTTTTAGAAGTCATGATGTGGACTGTGTCTGTTGAATTCCCAGCGATGCAAGGGGACACACCCTGTGACTCATTCCTTAATTGAGTGCTGATATTTGATTGGTTTATTGCCCACCTTATGTGCGGGTGGGGTGTTCGCTCTTGGTGCGGGTGAGTTATGTAAGGGCTGATTTGGCCAGAGAACTCGTTATTTGAAGACTCTCTCGGAAGAGATAGCGTCTTTCTGCAACCTGCAGTCCCAGCAGAAAAACCTTGTGATCCTTGTTGCGGGCGACATGGAGGAAGACTCACTCTACTTGGGAGGTGAGTGGCAGTTCAACCACTTTTCAAAACTCACATCTTCTCAGCCAGATGCAGCTTTTCCTGAAATCCAGCGGA
The DNA here is from genome assembly GCF_000001405.40 of Homo sapiens. Lineage (NCBI taxonomy): Eukaryota > Metazoa > Chordata > Mammalia > Primates > Hominidae > Homo > Homo sapiens. The sequence goes on along the minus strand of NC_000008.11, from coordinate 12,129,194 downwards.
CTTCTCTCCCTGAGAAGTCACCACTCTCATCGGAGACCCGTGTCGACCTCTGTGACGATTTGGCTCCTGTGACAAGACAGCTTGCTCCCAGGGAGAAGCTTCCTCCGAGTAGCAGGAGACCTGCTGCGGTGGGAGCTGGTCTCCAGAATATGGGAAATACCTGCCACTTGAATGCTTCCCTGCAGTGCCTGACATACACACCGCCCCTTGCCAACTACATGCTGTCCTGGGAGCTCTCTCAAATGTGTCATCGTCCCAAGTGCTGCATGCTCTGTATTATGGAAGCTCACAGCACACGGGCACCTCCACCGTCCTGGCCATGTCATCCAGCCCTCACAGGCATTGGCTGCTGACTTCCATAGAGGCAAGCAGGAAGATGCCCATGAATTTCTCATATTCACTGTGGATGCCATTAGAAAGGCATGCCTTCCCGGGCACAAGCAGCTAGATCATCACTGCAAGGACACCATCCTCATCCACCAAATATTTGGAGGGTACTAGAGATCTCAAATCAAGTGTCTCTACTTCCACGGCATTTCAGACACCTTCGACCCTTACCTGGATATCGCCCTGGATATCCAGGCAGCTCAGAGTGTCAAGCAAGCTTAGGAACAGTTGGTGAAGCCCGAAGAACTCAATGGAGAGAATGCCTATCATTGTGGTCTTTGTCTCCAGAAGGCGCCTGCCGCCAAGACGTTAACTTTACCCACTTCTGCCAAGGTCCTCATCCTTGTCTTGAAGAGATTCTCCGATGTCACAGGCAACAAACTTGCCAAGAATCTGCAATATCCTGAGTGCGTTGACATGCAGCCATACATGTCTCAGCAGAACACAGGACCTCTTTTCTATGTCCTCTATGCTGTTCTCGTCGTCACCGGGTGGAGTTGTCACAACGGACATTACTTCTCTTGTGTCAAACTCAAGAAGGCCAGTGGTATAAAATGGATGATGCCGAGGTCACTGCCTCTGGTATCACTTCTCCTTTGAGTCAACAGGCCTATGTCCTCTTTTACATCCAGAAGAATGAATTTGGAAGACCCAGTTACAGGGTGTCCGCAGGCAGAGAACCAAGAGCTCTTTGTGCTGAAGACAATTGAATTGTGGTGAAATAATATGTCATGAATAAATCTTGCAGCAGATTTATTTGTCTCACTTTGTAATCAGTGAATGAGCTTTAACGAATATCAATGCCTAGTGCCTACCCCCCAGAGATAAGAACTTCCAGTTTCTCATGTGTAATCATGGCATCTGGATTGCTCATGATTCTGAAGATAATTCTCCTGTCCCCCAAAGTTTCAGAATCACTTCAGGTGGTAGAAAGAGATAACACATCAGTCCCTTTCTCTCTCTTTTCTCTTCACTCAGGAAAACTCTCACTGGATCAAGGAAAATCCTATGGTTTACTAGGGAGGAGTAGTTTTCTCAGCAGTGAAAATGGTGGCTCCTTCCTCCCTGTCAAGTCTCTTCCTCAGGATTGCCCCTTTATCTCTTCAGGACTCTGCTCATCAGGCCCGAGATGCCCCCTGGTTGCGCATACTTGGCCTATGAAGAAATATGGGGAAGGAATGGTTCCAAAGACCATACTATGCTCACTCCACCATCGCCTCTGACACTATGCTGACTTCATGAGCCCTGGGTCAGAAGCTGTTTTCTTTACACCTCTAGGCCTTGCCTCATGGCCTAAAGACGTCCCCATTTCTTACATCTTATAAATTTTGACAAAACCCTCAGGGCCTAAATCTTCATTCCTCATAGGCCAAAGGGAGATACACCAGAATTCTGTCCCTCTGAGACTGCAGGACATCTCAGCTTCCATCAACATGAAATTTTGCACCAAATATAGTTACTGCAGTTCCACCTCACAATGAGTAACTGGAAGTTCAGAAAACATCTCAGACTCTATACAGTTTCTGGCCAAGCTCATTTGGTTTAACAATGCTTTTACTCTATAAATCAGTTGTGAGAACACTTAGGATTCATATTATTTAGTATTTTAATCAGTCTGTTATTATTTTCAATGTGTTTACTAGACTTTAGTTTAATATTTCTGATAAACTTTGATGCAAAAATTCTCGATATAATAGTGGCAAACCAAATCCAGCAACATATCAAAAACCTTATCCAGCAAGATCAAGTCAGCTTCTTCCCTTTGGTGCAAGGCTGGTTCAACAAACACAAATCAATAAATATAATTCACCATGTAAACCGAACTAAAGACAAAAACCCCATGATTATTTTAGTAGACTCAGAAAAGATCTTTGATAAAATTCAACATTCCTTTATGTTAAAAACCTCAGGAAACTAGGTATTGATGGAACATATCTCAAAATAATAAGAGTCATTTTTGACAAACCCACAGCCAATATCATATTGAATAGGCAAAAGCTGGAAGCATTCCTTTTGAAATTCGGCACAAGGCAAGGATGCCCTCTCTCACCACTCCTACTCCATATAGTACTGGAAGTTCTGGCCGAGGCAATCAGCCAAGAGAAACAAATAAAGCATATTCAAATAGTAAAAGAGAAGTTGAACTGTCTCTTTGTTTGCAGATGACATGATCCTATATCTATAAAATCCCATCATCTCAGCCCAAAAGATTCTTACGCTTATGAGCCACTGCAGTAAAGTCTCAAGATACAAAATCAGTGTGCAAAAATCGCAAGCATTCTTATACACCAACAATAGACAAGAAGAGAGCCAAATCACAAATAAGTTCCCATTTACAGTTGCTGCAGAGTATAAAATACCTAGGAATACAGCTAACAAGGCAAGTGAAGGACCTCTTCAAGGAGAACTACAAACCACTACTCAAGGAAATAAGAGAGGACACAAACAAATGGAAAAACATTCCATGCTCACGGGTAAGAAGAATCAATATCATGAAAATGCCATACTTCCCAAAGTAATTCATAGATTCAATGCTATTCCCATAAAGTACCATGGACATTCTTTACAAAATTAGAAAAAACTACTTCAAAATTCATATGGAATGAAAAAAGAGCCCATATACCCAGGACAATCCTAAGGTAAAATAACAAAGTTAGAGGCATCATGCTACCTAACTTCAAACTATATTACAAGGCTACAGTAACCCAACAGCATGGTAGTGGTACAAAACAGACACATAGACCAATGGAATGGAATAGATATATCAGAAATAAGACTGCACATCTACAACCATTTTATTTTTGATGAAAACAAGCAATGGGGAAAGGATTCCCTATTTAATAATAAATGGTGCTTGAAAAACTGGCTAGACATAGGCAGAAAACTGAAACTGTACCCCTTCCTTATACCTTATACAAAAATGAACTGAAAATGGATTAAAGACTTAAATGTAAAACCCAAAACTGTAAAAAATCCAACCCCATATAAAAGTGGGCAAAAGCTGGGTACAGTGGCTCATGCCTGTAATCCCAGCAGTTTGGGAGGGTGAAGTGGGCAGATAACTTGAGGCCAGGAATTCAAGATCAGCCTGGCCAAGCTGGTGAAACCACGTCTCTACTGAAAATACAATAAATTAGCCGGATGTAGTGGTGCAGACCTGTAATCCCAACTACTCAAGAGCCTGAGAGAGAAGAATCGCCTGAATCTGGGAGGCAGAAGTTGCAGTGACCCGAGATTGTGCCACTGAACTCCACCCTGAGTGACACAGCAAGACTCTGTCTTAAAAAATAAAAATGTAAAAATTTCAAAAGTGGGCAGAGGACATGAACAGACACTTCTCAAAAGAAGACATTTATGCAGCCAACAAACATGAAAAAAAAGCCCAACATTACTGATCATTAGAGAAATACAAATCAAAACCGCAGTGAGATACCATCTCATGCCAGTCAGAATGGTGATTATTAAAAAGTCAAAAAACAACAGATGCTGGTGAGACTGTGGGGAAATAGGAGAACTTTTACACTGTTGGTGCGAATGTAAGTTAGTTCAACCACTGTGGAAGACTGTGGTGATTTTTCAAAGACCTAGAATCAGAAATACCATTTGACCCAGCAATCCCATTACTGCATATATACTCAAAGGAATATAAATTCTTGTATTATAAAGATACATGCATGGGTATGTTCATTGCAGCACTATTCATGAAAGCAAAGACATAGAATCAACCCAAATGCCCATCAATGATAGACTGGATACAGAAACTGTGATACATATACACCATGGAATACTATGCAGCCATAAAAAGGAATGAGATCATGTCCTTTGCAGGGACATGGATGAAGCTGGAAGTCATTATTCTCAGCAAACTAATGCAGGAACAGAAAACCAAATACACATGTTCTCACTTAATAAGTGGGAGATGAAAAATGAGAGAACATAGACACAGGGAGGGGAACAACACACACTGGAGCCTGTCTGTGGGTGAGTGGGGAGGGAGTGCATCAGGATGAATAGCTAATGCATGTGGGCTGAATACCTAGGTGATGGGTTGATAGGTACAGGAAACCACCATGGCACACATTTACCTATGTAACAAACCTGCGCATCATGCACATGTATCCCAGAACTTAAAATGAAATAAAATAAAATTTTAAAAAACTTTATTTTTTCTAACCTTCCAAAATGCAGGGATTACAGGCATAAGCCACCATGCCTGGCCCTGTTTTAACATATCTGAACAAGATTTAAGACATCAGTTTGAAAAGAGCCCCTCTATGGCAGCAACATGAATTCTGTCAAACCTGAAGCAAGAACAAACATCAAATTTACGGTGAAGCTGGGGTACAAAAAATGGTGAAATAAATTATTCTTTAAGAAAAGTCTATGGGAAAAATGACCTGAAGAATCAGTCATTTACAAACGGATACCTTATTCTAAGAAGCGATAATACAATGTTGAAGATGAAGTCAACAGAGGAGGGACATCCATACCAATTTTTGAGAAAAAAAAAATCGTTTCTATGCCTTCATTGAGGAGGATTGACAATTAACAAGAGATACTGTAGCCAACATCACAGACATCTCAATTGGTTCAGCTTACACAATACTGACTATAACGTGAAAGTTGAGAAACTTTACATTTGATGAGTCCCAAATAACCTTGTGCCTAGATCAGCAGTGGACAAAAGCAGAGCTATTAGTAACTATTTTGAGCAAGCGGAATCAAGATCCTGAAGCATTATTTTGAAGAATTTTAACAGGGAGTGAAACTGGCTTTATCAATAAGATCCTGAAGACAAAGCACAATTCAAGCCATGGCTACCAAGAGGTAGAAGTGGTCCAGTCAAAGCAAAAGCAAACTTCTCAAAAGCAAAAGCCATGGAGGTTTTGGGGATGCTCAAGGTATTTTGCTTGTTGACTTTCTGTAAGATCAAAGCACCACAACATCTGCTTACTAGGAGAGTTCTTAGAGAAAATTAGCAAATACTTTTGCAGAAAAGCGCCCTGTAAAGCTTCACTAGAGAGTCCCTCTGCACCACAACAACACTTCTGTTCCTTCCTCTCATCAAACATGGGTAATTTTGCAAGAGTTTTCATGGGAAATTATTAGGCATCAACATTACAGTCCTGATTTGGTTTCTTCTGACCTTTTTTTCCCTAACCTTAAAATAACTGTAAAGGGCACCCATTTTTCTTTAGTTAATAATAGAAGACTGCATTGACACGGTTAAATTCCCGTTACCCTCAGTTGTTTAGCAATGGACTGAATGGCTGGGATCATCCTTTAATGGAGTGTCTGGACCTCAGTAGAGCTTATATTGAGAAATAAAGTTTATATTTATATTTTTATTGTTAATTCCATTTTTCACTGACATTTTTAAATCCCTTCACAATTCACGTTTGTCTCAAAGGTATTTAAATTTAGAAATCATATCAAGTGTGAAATAAAAAAATTATATAGACAGAGGGAGAACAGAATCTATAAATATGCATGTTTGTGTACATACATCCATATACATACATATGTGTGTGCATGCAGTAATTTTATTGCCCTAAAGCAATGCCTCTGCCTTCCACCCTCACTGCACATGTCCTAGTCCTGTGATGTCCCTGGAACTGAGCACCTGATTTCCTTCTCTGCCTCCCACATGAACAGGGAATAGAAATGGAAACCACGTTCTGTGGTTGCTGTTGTGAAAATCCATGTTCCCCACAGGCTGAGTTTAGCATCTTACATTCTAGTTCTCATTGTAAAAAAGCAAGCAACAAACAAAAACTACAAAAGAAAAAATGAAATAGTTGAAAGTCTAGAGCCACAGAGGTTCCGGATCTACCCACCGCCCACGGTGACCTCCACAGCCCTCCAGGCCTGAGGACAGCTATGCCTGAACAGCCTGCCTCTTCACCATCCACGCAGGAAAGTGACTTTAAACTTCAATAGCTATTACTCTGTTCCACAAGGAACCAGGTCAACATTCAAAGTCAGTGGTCTGACAACTCTAAGCTTTGGCCGGAAAGTATTGGAAACATTTAACGTGCAGTGGATGAAGCAGCCCGGCCCCACTGCACACAACACACTCACAGGGACTCAAAGGAAGAGACTCAGGATCCGCTGGGTGGAAGTGAGGACAGACCCAGAAACACAGAGGGTGGGAAGGGGTCAAACCAGGAAGGCTCAGGACCTGACCTCCTCCTAGGCCCTGCCTCTCTAGAACTCGCAGTTTTTTCTGACCTAGAAGCGGATTTCACTGATGGAAAAGAAGTTCAGTATTTCTGTTCCAGCCCAGTAAGCTGCTCCCATTGCCCAGCCTTCCACACCCCTGCAGACGTCACAATCCCTGCACCCACTAACCTGACAAGGGAGCTATGCATCACCTGGAGACAGTCCTAGGCCTGCACTCCTGTGATGGGGTCCAGGGTCTGTGTCCATTTCTGGTTAAAATTGCTGTAAGGCTGGTCGCTGTCTTGGCCTTCCCTGCTTCCTCTCTGTTCAATTCTCCCCTCCTCACCCCATGTGAAGCTTTTACTCAGGAGATGGATTCTCACCCCTCTTGGAACATCAAGGATAGTGCCAGGACACCGCACCATCCCCTTGACCCTGGGATTCTGTAGACCTCAGTCTTCTCCTGAGGTCCCCTCCCTCCCTACCTCATTTTTTCCATACTTCTGGGGCCTGGGCCTGCTACACCTCAGGGTTCCTCTTCACAGTCACAGAGTGAGGGAGCCCCCTTCATCCTTGGGCTCTGGCCACAGCTCACCTGCTGCAGGACACTCAGCAGCTTTCAGTAGTTCATCCAGACATCCAGTTGGAAGTGGGATTTCCTGGAAGGAAAGCAGGAACCCAGAATTACACTGAATTTTAACACCAGGGCCCAGGTTCCCCTTCTGCATGGGAAACTAAGCTGCAAACACTACATAGGCACTTAATGCTCAGCTGTCCTTCTAACATCTGGTCCAATTGTGTCCCTCCTCCTTGGAATATCTCAGAAAATGTATCTCCACCTAGAGTTGTTTGAAAGCATCATCCTATGTGATTCCAGACCATCAGGGGGTGCAATGGGTCCTCACCAGAATTTCCACTCTGCTTGGAAGACTTAGAAAATCCTGAGGCTGCTCAGAGGGTCAGATTCCCATCGCTGTGTTTCAGTAAAACTTCAGTCTTCCCTGGACAAGTGAGGAGACAGAAAATGTCTAGTCTCTGGCACATCTTTTGCAAGCAATGGCAGCTCCCAGGAATCAATACTATCAACGAATATATTTTTGAGATTCTGGTCAAAAGAAGAGTCATCCTGCAATTTCAGGTAGGATGGAGTGGTTCTGTGGCTCCTGAGGTGATTTTGAAAAGATCTTGACTCTCAGAAGGACCAAGGAGGACATTTCTGGCATTTCCAGACCAGGAAGAGTGACTGATGGACCTCCAGTGTTACTTGGAAAAATTTTGTTGGACAGCTTTGTAATAAGAGGATCTTGCTTTGGCTTTCAGGCCTTCACATAGGTTGTTTAGATCATGGAAGTGTTTCTGCATTTCTGCATAGGCTCAGGATGCTTTCTCAAGTCGTCCCTGTAATTATGAGACAGTTGCTTTCTCCAGAGGTCACTTAGAATAATACAAGAGGCTTCACCCTCAAAGGGACACCAGACAATATAGCCACAGTCCAGCCAAGATTATCTGTATTTACATACCTGTAAAGTAACACTCCTAGTGATCTCCATTAACTTGGACATCTTTCATGAATAGGGAAATCTAGTGATTGTTATATAACAGCTGCCACAAAAATTAATCAATAAAAAGAAACGATATATGAAAAATAATTAATAATCATGATAATGAACTCAATAACCTAAATAGTACGAATTTTAATACTGGAGACAATATAAATGTAAGGATACAAAAATTAATGTGGAGCTTCCCCTAAATATATGAAAACTTCACAGACTGTGTCCTCCTTGTGTAATTTGGAGTCAGAGTCAAAGAATTTCTCTATGAAATGTGTTCCATGATGGCAAACATCAAAAACAGGAGGTGAAAGAAAAGCAAGCTGCAGGAGACCATGGGCTAATATGAACATTTGTGTGCAAACCTCTCTCATCAAGAACTACCAGCCAGAGGTGAAGGGACTGTGATTTGTGTCCTGCCCACCACTGGGCACACAAAAGCTTTCAGTAGTGCAACCAGATGGCTGGTTTGGCCTGGCTCCCTGCAAGGAAGACAAGTCTCTGATCCCCACCAGCCCATCAGTCCTGGAACTCAGAATCCTACATGCAGTAAACATGAAGCTCCAACTCCATAGCTGACTTTACCTCCTTACTGACCTTCTGCCATCTGGTGTTTCAGGTGCTCTCCAGATCTGGACTTCTTGGCTCCCCTACCTTTACCAAGTGAACTCAGGATGTATCATTCTCAGTCTTCTCCTGCCAGTCCAAAGTGAAACTCACCAATACAAGCATACCCTGGATGGGCTTTCTTGGAATATTTAGAAAACAATGAGCTTGCTCGGGGGTGGTGTGAGCTCTAGGAGTAGAGTTACAGTCTCCCATGGAAACCTGAGAGGACTTAGAATATTCCCAAAGGCCTAAGCAGTCCAATCTGTCCTGGAAACATCAGGAATGATATACTCAGTCTTCCTGAGGCTCCAAAATTTTTCCAAATAAACTCAGAGATTACAGAACCATTTTTCTCTTGGGAACTGAAGTGGAGTTATTTGCCTTCTGCCAGCATCTCACTTTTTTTTTCTCTAAGTTAGCTTTTGAGCCCAGAAGTAGATATTCCTTGTATTTGATTTACATAGGGAGCTTCCTAGAATGCCCGTGCCTCTGGATAGTTTCTGCATTCACTCAGGTATTGACAAAATACTGCAGTTCTACTGAAAATCTCTGAGATGACCATTTGATCACCTGAGTAACTTTTGAATGTGTCTTCTATGGAAGCCCTGGAGCCTCCCTTCTGGTATTTCATACACTGCCGGTACCAAGTATCCAGGGTGAAACCCTCCATCAGACATTGTTGGCAATTCCAGTATGGAGATGACACTAACGTGATGGGGCTCAAGAATCAGATGGTAGAAGAGCAGCTGGGAGGTGAAGTCTCAGTAGGCTAGGGGCTTAATGTTCGATGCACACCAGACTTCTGAGACTCAGGAGGCGTGTGTGTATCTGTCTGCCCAGTGTCTCTCATCTACAGCCTGGACCAGCTATTTCTTGGGGTGAACTACTGAAGGCTTTTGTACGACCTGTGTCAGGCAAGACTCTGGCCAGACCCTTTGCCATAGTCCATTTGTAATGTATTTCCACATGGCACAGGTATCTCCACTTTTGCCCATGCTCTCATGTGGCTCAGAATTATTCTCCCTACTGCCATTCTTCTTTGCCATCACAGAAGATATTTCAAGGTGTAGCCCTAAGCTTCTCCATCTAATCAATAACATGAGGGTTCGTATGGGAACACTGTCACAGGCTTACAGGAATATGTTCTTAAATATCTGCTTTTCTATTACTCTCTTCATTAAATTGACATTTATATCATCACCATTATGATTGTTATTAATGTTATTATTATATTGGTACAGTTCTTTATCATGGATATATTTGTGGTCGTTTTTATGCAATGTTGAATAATTGTTTTATGTTCCTGAAGACTGTTGAATTTGCTGAAGATGATTAAAAGACAACCTTAAAACATAAATACCACAGCAACCCCAGGAATCCTACTGTACTGCTTGGTGTCCTGTAGAAGAATGGGCTTCCTGAATTATTCTTTTATTTTTCAGGCAAGTACCTATTCATACCAGCATAGGAGACTGATGAAGTGCACCCTCATCTTGCCATGGGCTCAGAAAGAATTCGTACATATGCTTTATGTGATAGCAACTCTATGTGTAGGCCTGTGAGCCCTAGAATGCACTTTCTTTCACCAACTAGTCCACCTAACAGTTTTCTAAGTCAAATCCCCTCTCCATGCTTGGATAGGTCATGAATGGCTTTCTGTTACCCACCTAAGATGAAGGGATATTGCTAAATCAGGTTTGTGGCCAAGAAACTTTTATCTGGAGTGGCAGGAGAGGGCCTACCTGTTCACCAGAGTGTCTGCAACATTTTCTTTTTTTTCCTTTTTATTTATTTATTTATTTATTTTTTAGATAGAGTCTCGCTCCGTCACTCAGGCTGGAGTCCAGTGTCGCGATCTTGGCTCGCTGCAACCTCCGACTCCCAGGTTCAAGCGATTCTCCTGCCTCAGCCTCCTGAGTAGCTGGGATTACAGGTGCGTGTCACCACGCCCAGCTAATTTTTGTATTTTCAGTAGAGAGGGGGTTTCACCATGTTAGTCAGACTGGTCTCAAACTCCTGACCTCATGATCCACCTGCGTTGGCCTCCCAAAGTTCTGGGATTACAGGCATAAGGCGCCGCACCTGGCCTCTGCAACATTTTCTAAGTCGGTGTAGAAGCTCTTTGAACCACCTTTTCAGTCAAAGAACTCATGAAAAAGTCCTCCAAGAACTTGTGACCTTCTGGAAATTGTCAAAATCTCTACAGGTGTCCAGAGTCATCTAGATCTGTATTGCAAGCCACTGACTGGGTTCCAACATTATTAAAGCAAATGCAAAATATGCCATGCCCACCAAAAAAAATCCAGAAGCCATGGTATTTAGCTGTTTCCATCTTTCTTGCCTCCTGCAGGTGGGAGAGTACTGAGTATCATGCCCTCCTACAGCCTCTGGAGGACATGCCAATGTCTAGAGGTACCAGTAGAGAGGGGCCATGAAAGACAGATGACAGCCAGGTTGCTGGGAATGACATTGTCCTGGGGCTTATTGCTTGTCATGAACTCTGCCACTGGGCAACATGTGCAGGTGTGGACCCGTGCCTTCTCTGGATCCCTGCCCCATCAGCCAGCTGTCTTATCTCCTGAAAGCTGATAGGTGTTGGTCAGCATGGTGTTCCAGGACCAGGGTTATATTAACATTCTCTCTTAGGCTGAAACACCAGAAGTTAACACAGGAGTCCCCAGGTGTGCACATACTAACCTCCAGATTGTTTTTCTTCTCGTTCTAGATGTTCATCCTTGCTTTTTGGGACTTGAAATAACCCTACACAGCCAAATATTTATGCCTATTATCCACTTATGGAAAACTTATATGTCCCAAGTCCATAGGGTTAGTATTATTATCACTATTAAAACCATTAGTACTAGTATCATGATGATCATTATTCCTGTTAATATCCATCAATATTTTTATTACTGCCATTGTTAATATGGATTTTTCATTATTGTACAGCAATGAATATAGTTTATCCATTCACAAATGGTGTTCAGTTACCAAAGATGACTACAAGGCATGTTCTACAGACATATACACACACAGCTGTCCTGGAGACCCAGCTTTGCCACCAATTGCTCTTTCATAAGATGAGATCCCCCAGTACCCACCAGTTTTTCAGGACTCGACCTGAGCTGGCTCAGCTAGACCTGGAAAAGTTTCCTATGCCCAAATGTACTTGGAAAAATTTTAAAGTCTCTTCAGAGGCCCAGTAATAGCTTTTGGCAGCTTCTAAGACCAGGGAGGGTTTCTTGGCCATTCAGAGCCATTCAAATATTCCAAGTAAACTCAAGGATCCAGAAACCCCACTCGCAGTCATGAAATACCAGTGAATGGCCTCTGTGAGTCTCTTCAAGGTTTTCAAAGATGACTGCCTGAGAAGGCTGGCCAGGAAGTCACCCAAGCCCAACCTTCTGCAGGACGTTCTATGACAGCCAGGGACCCAGGGAATTGCCATTGAACAGAAGGGAGGAACAGAGACGGCACGCCTGAGCTTCTGGAAACATTCTAAGTGCCCTTGTTGGCCCAGAAAAGACTGGTGCTACCATATGAGGCACAGACTTGGCAACCTACCTACTCCAGGAACCACAGAAGGTTTAAAGGTTCCCAGGAAGTCCCAGGAAGGGCAGCCATAGCCCTTTAGAGCCATCAGATTTTATTCTAAGTCTACTTGGGAGACAGTGCTCTTAGCTTCATAAAAACACCAGTGGTGGTGCTAACACTTGCCCCAGTATCCAGTCTTTTCTACCTCATCTCAGAGCCAGGCAGCCACTATTTCCCAAAGCTGCTGTGCAATGAAAGGGGAATATTCTAGGTGCTCTCCTGTGCCCACGAAATTCTGTGGCTGCGCTGAAAGGCAGGAGATGTCCTCCGGAATGCTCTTCAGAAATCTGACAACACTGGTCAAGATTAAAGAAGCTCAATTCAACGTCATACAAAACCAATCCCAAATATATATATGTGCATAGTGAGACAAAATGATGAACACATCTGCTAATAATCATGAATGACAATAATAACAACAATGATGATCTTAGTGATAATGCCACCAACACTGTTAATGGCAATAACAATAAACCTGAGGTAATGAGTGTTAGGGTCCCTATTCACCGATGTGAAGGATGGCGACAATTTCTGGCCTCACAGAAATAAAGGAAAAGTAAACACCTGGAGGAGGAGGAGGTGAACCTGGAGCTCCCGCCGGCCTCTGGGCGCTCCTTGGTGGAAGGAGAGGGACTTGGTCCTGAGCCTGCCCCGGATCCACCTACACCAGAACCCCGGAGTCCCAGTCCCTGGATGGGCTCAGTCCCACCCAGGCCAGACGCCCCGGAGCCCCGCAGCCCGGGTCCTCCAGCCCTCGCTGCCGCCGCTTCTCGCGGAGCCAGGGCCGCCCCCGCGCCACCTCAGCCTCTGCGTGGCTCTGGGAGGGCAGCGCCGGAGGATGCTCCGGGCCCAGCGGGGGCATCTGGGCCCAGCGGGGGTATCCAGCCTCAGGCTGATACTGACGCCCTGAGGGCGCGGAATAGGGCGGCCTGCGCAAGGCCCGCCGTCTCGGGCCTTGCAAAAAGAGCGGCCTCTCCAACGCCCCTACCGGAACCTCCCCGGAGGCCCCAGCCCCAAAGCCAGGGCGATGGCGCCTCCCTGACAATGGGTGAAGAAAACTCAGGTCCTCCCTGGAGACCCGGCCCGCCGCGGGAGGCAGACCGCGCATGCGCCCTGCATGGCCGGAAAGGTGGGTTTCATTGCCCTCTGCTGGCCATGAGGTGGCAGCACAGGACGTTTGGTCTTAGCGGTGGACCTGAGTCTGAATCACTGAAATTCAGGTGTGGATTATTCAGTACTTTCTTTTGGAAGATCAAATGGAAATTGAGTACGATATCTTGTGCTTTAATTAAAGAAGATGGAAATAAAGAAGCAAATTCAAAAATCAGTATACAAAAGTCGATTGATTCCCTCTATGTGGAGGGAAGACGAGCTTGAATAAGAGAAGCATTCTGTGTTACGCTTTAATAATCGCTGGAGATCTGCCACCATGCATTTGTCAAATCCCATAGAATTTCACAGCACAAATAGTACATCTTAATGTGGCTCAGGAGTACATATAATGTCAGCCACAGTTTGTGGGTAAATTACATATTTAATTAAATAGATTAAACAATAAATAATGATATGAGCTCTGCCTGGACACAGTCCTTGCCTCTCCAACCAGTTTGCCAAGGGCTTGAATTTCTTGCTCATTATCCTCACACTTGACATAAACCCTGGCTGCAGAGTAAAATCAATCACTCGTGGAGATTTTTTAATATGATGATGTGTCAATTTCAACCATGGATAAGGCCATTTAGCCTTAGTAAGGCCGATCGTATTAAGATTCTGCCTGTTTGACAAAATTTCAAGTCATCCCACTTGATATTCAGGAAACATTTTCTCTTGAGTTTTAGGTTCAGTGGTGAGGCTCCTTCACGGACAATACATTTTCCAATTCTGAGGACAAGGCAGAGGAGGGCCCCTCTGTGAGAACTTTCATTTTGCTTCGGGAAAAGTACATTGAATCAAATATAGAAAAGGCTTGCAAGGTGGCTGACAGGTTCGGCTGTTTTATCATGCTGGTGTTTTATCTTCTGGACTGCAGTAAAAGGAGCACAGCTGTGTCTGTCTCTGTGTAATAACTCAGGACTCACCTGAATAAAATGTGGGGTGTCATGAGATGAACTGCTACTTCCAGTTAGAGAGGCTCCAGGGACAAAATTTCAAGAGCCTTCTGAGGGATAGAAGAGAAGAGCTGCCTTATTCTCTGATCCCAGGTAACTGCTCAGAGACAGAGGCAAGAGCTGGGGACACCCAAATGCATATACTAGGGGTCTTTGATACAGCCTCCATTTCCCTGCTAAATCTATGCAATGACAAACTGAGAAATCTAGCAAGTGGGGCTGAAGATCCCTGGTGTGTCAACTCGAGGGTTGGATGGAAACAAGTGGTTTTGGTGGACGTTGAAGTAAAGGGAGGTGAGCTGTGAGGAAAGAGCTGTTGAAGACTGGGGAGACTCAGAAGTTGGGGTAGAATCTCCACCAAGAATCTCACCCAAGGAGTTCAGATGCAAATCAGTTTGTTAGGGCTGCATAAATGAAACAAGGGCTTCACCAACATACTAAGTTTTTTCAACAACAGATTGTATTCTTTCAATATTTGTAAGTATTGGTCTTTTGGAAAAGTTTAATGAGATTTCTTATATAATTCTGCATTCAATTTATTCCTTGGTCACTTTGCTATTATGCATTTACATGCCACATTTTTATGAATAGATATTTTCTCAAATTTCTGAATTATTTTGCTAAAGTATGTGTTAAGAGTTTTTTCTAGAGGTCCACCTTCTTGACTCACTTTTCTGATGAGAAATCTATCAGGTTTCTCCACAGTGATTTTCAAGTTTGATAGCTCCTCAACGTGAGAAACTTAATGTCAACTAAGAAATGAATTACCACTAAAGAATTTTCTTCTTTCAAGATGCTAACCCTGTTTTGTCCAGTGTGAAATCTCACATGTGCCACATGTGTTGCTCTATGAAGAAAGGATTTCTCATGATTTTTCATTGCATAACTTCTCCAGTAAGAAGTATTTGGTATTCCAAGAGAATTCATTGCCCTTGGAAAGACTTTCCCTTGTTATTTAGCTTATGAAGGCTTTCCTCTCTTATTTTCCATTTTAGCAGCATTTTGTCACTCTTCTCTTGTGAACATCAAGCCTGGTGCTTGGCTGAATGTTCATTCACAGAAAAATACAAATAAAGGGTTCATCCAAGTAAAGTTTTCTCATGTTATTTGACAATAAATTGCAAATAAAAACATTTTCACACTGAATGCAGAGTTAGAGATTCTCTACCTGAAAGTCCCACATGTTTTAAGTTAAAGCTGTTGCTGAAGACTTTTAGTTGATTATGCTGACAGTTTCAGCTCTCTCATGTCATTTATGCTCAGATCACTAACAAGTCTTTGGTACATACATGTCATACAATTTCTCTTCCATATGAATTTATTGATGTGGGCTGAAGAATAAAGGCAACTGAAGTATCTTCCATGTTGATTACAGTATTTCTTCAAAATGTGAGTCCTTTGGCATGTTTAGATGCTACAACTACAGCTGAAGTCTCTTCCACATTCCTTACCTTCGTCATTCCTAACACTGTGTCATCTAAAGTCAGAATATGTTCTGAAGAAGTTTATAATTTTCTCTCCAGGGTGAATTTTCTGATGCTTTTTAAGATTAGTACATTGACTGAAGGCTTTCCCACATAAATGGCATTCATATGGCTTTTCTCCAGTGCGTGTTCTCTCATGTCATCTAAGGTCGGAGGACAGACTGAAGGCCTTCCCACATAGAAGACAAGCATGTGGTTTCTCTCCAATGTGAATTATTTTGTTTCCTCTAAAGCCAGAGCTTTGACTAAAGGCTTTCCCACTTTTATCACATTCATAACACTTTTGTCCAAGGTGAGTTCTCTCATGTCTTCGAAGGTTAAAGGATTGAATAAAGGCTTTCCCACATTGATGACACTTATATGGTCTCTCTCCCGTGTGAGTTTTCTCATGTCTTCTAAGGTGAGAACACTGAGTGAAGGCTTTTCCACATAGATGACATGCATATGGCCTCTCTCCAGTGTGAGTCATCTTGTGCCGTCTAAGGTAAAAGCAATTAGTATAGGCCTTTTCACATAGATTACATTGATATGATTTACCTTTAGTATGAATTTGTTTACGTGGTTTAGGGGACAAAAGATTACGAAGGGATTTTCCACACTGTTTGCTGACACAGGGTTTCTTTCCACTGTGAGTTAACAAACACTGAGTTATTGTGGAACTGTGAGTGCAATCTTCTCCCGAATCATTATATTCAAAAGGATCCTCCAGAATGAGAGAGTTCTCCTTTGGGACAAAGATTAAAAGCTCTTAATGGTTTACCCACATATATCTATACATTCATTTCACTACCTTTGAATCCTAGACCAACCATTCAGTGGTAGACCCCAGTTGAAATCTTTCCAATGTTTCTTGTGTGAAAGGAAATTAAATTTGGGGACCCCAAACTCATTTAACCAAAGGGAAAAATCAAGCTGGGAACTGGGTCACACAAACCTGCCTCCCCCTTCTGGTTCCTAAATAATATGACTACAAGATGAAAAGCTACATGCCTCCCCCATATTTTGCCCACAAGGAAATTCCTCATGAGCTGTTAAAATTACACCATGGCAATGCAAACTGATAACTTGTCTTTACAGGTGCAGTCATCCCAAGTTCACCAGACACAAATGCATATCTGATTGTTTCCCTGTCCCCATTTTGCCTATGTTGTCTTATGTAAAATGCAGCTTTCCTGCATTATTCCTCTGCCTCATTTGTTTATGTCATGTTATGTAAAAAAATCCAGATTCACTGAGCCAGAAAAATGCATGAATGACTATTTTTTCTACCCACCTTTTACATGAAAATTGTGTACTTCTCAATATCCCAGCCTTTCCCCTTTGAATTTGGAGCCTTCAAAATCATCTTTGGAGAAAGGCATACACCTGTCCCCTGGGTGCATGTCCTTAACTTTGGCAAATAAATCTCCTAAAATGATTGAGACTTGTCTTGTCATTTTTCTCGATTGACATTTGCATACACATTATCTCCTGCAGACACAGGTATGTTCTCTTCTGTAAGATCTCAACTGCAGAGTTATTGCATAATTGTGATGATATCAATATCTTTCAATGTCTGGGCATGAGCAATGTATATGCACTTGCTCTATTTTAGAGATCTCATGTTATGATTTAGAACAGAGGTCAATGTATTCACTAAATTCAAAGTCTCCAGTTTTTTTCTTTGCTTAGAAAGCACTTAATGCCAGCCTAATTACACTCAGGTGATTGTGCTTCATTATTAACTTAACCCATTACCATATCTTTAACTTAGATGACTGGTGTACACAGCTATAAAACTTACCATTGTCATACTGGTGGATGCGTCTTTTCTGATGATAGGATGCATGGATATCATGTGTTTTTTCTTAAGGGCACTTTCCCTGTCTGAAATAATTGAAAAATAAATTGTTACATTGGTATTATGGTAATAAAATTGTTTGAAAAGCCCCAAGGCCCATTTACTTTTTTTCAAAAATTGACACTTAGATGTGGCAAGTGTGTCAAATGAAGAAACTACTTGAATAGAAGAAATAGATTGTACAGTGTCAGCAATTAGAAAAGATTTTTAAAATTAAAATGTGAAAAGAGTTAAAATGGAGATGAGATATCAGGCAAGTAAATAGAGGGATAGTCTTCACAGGGGTATCAGGGAAAGGGTCAGCATATGAAAGTTTAACCCCAGCCAAGTACATGAATTGTCTTTTTCCCAAAAGTAAAAGAAAAGAAAAAAAAGAGGACACAAGAGTAACATCTGACACATGAACAAAATGATAATAACATCTAAGGAATTCTGCTCCAGTAGCCTAACCTACATTTTAGAAATTATCACTCATTTAATAAAACCACTAATTAATATTCAACTGATATTATTCATTGAGAAAGCACCTCCTCCTATTAGGACACAGGACCCTGTTGCTTACCTGGATTCTGGTCTTGAAGAAATACTCTTCCTTCCCGCCACAGCTCTTTTCCTTGCTCCAGCTGCAAAATTATATAGGATTTGCTTATCTGGTACCCTGTTAGTGGAAAGAATACATGTGTTTTGAGTTCACTGTCAATAAATGTGCATTATCACCAAGTGTAAGGCAGGCTATCAAGGAAGAATAAAAACAGTGAAGGTCAGCTCAGGCCACAAGACCTAGAACACAGAAAACTCCCCAGGATTTTTCTGACCCAACTTGAGACTAGAAAATAAATCCAAACCAAAGGGCCATCAGGAAAAGGAAATTCAAAACAGTCAGGACCTATGAATGCTGAGTCCATGCCTAAGTTCCAAGACACAATGCATAATACACAATCTTTTCAGAAAGAGAGTAATTAAATCTCTGCACATTGTGTTTATTATTATTCTCACGCAGAACAAAAAAAAACATTCGATTTACAAAAATAATTGGTGTTCTATATGGAAAAGATATTGCTATTGTTTTCACTAATTGGTCTCAGCCTAAGCATAGACTAAAGCAGAAGAGTTATTTAGAGAGTAATTTAATACATTGAAAATATTCATTATGTTCCCAGGTCTGTTATGAGTATTAGAGACTGAGTACCAAAGACACCATGAAATACTTGTCAAGATTACATTCTAATTGAGTGACAAACTAAATAAAATAAAATAAAAAGAAAGATATTTATTTAAGATAGATTTAGAGAGTTCAAACTTTTTTCAGATGAGATCTGTGAGAGAATCAGAGAAGAGATTAGAGTGAGATATGGGGAAGCTGTTCTAACACTTATTGAATGAATGAGCGAATGTGTGTCTACATATGTACGTGAATGTTGAGGGACTCACCGAGGGACACCAGGTGACTGATATTTTCCAGCATCACATCTCTGTACAGCTTTCTCTTGGATGTGTCCATCATGTCCCACTCTTCCTGGGTGAAGTCAATAGCTACATCTTCAAAAGTCACTTTCTCCTAAAACATCACAGACATTTTAGTTTAGACAGAGAAATCCCTTTCAATGTCCGGAAGAGGAAGGCTGAGATGATATAGCTAGGAGCTGGGTATGCAGAATACTCAGTGTTTTTGGTTCCAGCCAGTTCATTCTCAGTACTAAGCTGGTATCTGCCTTTCAGATTCACTCACAGAGATATACCCACTCTGAATCCATTAAACTTTACTATAAAGAAATATTGCATGAGGTGTGGCATAATATAACCCAGATATTTTTCAGTAATGTCTTAATCACCTCTACATAACTGCTTATAAAATTTTCACTTGAACATTCATAAATAAAATGAAATTTACCATGAATTTCAAGTAAATTACAGATTTGTCACAAGGCAAATAACCATGATTTACTACTTTTTAAACATGACTGCGATGAAATAAATTATTTCTCTAGATGAACGACAGGTTTCTCCCCAATCAAATGGTTAAAAGACCAATGATGTGTTTTGAATAATCTAATGAACTAATAGAAAATGTGTTTCCTACCTAGCAAATATTTATTAAATATAAGTCATTGGTCCCTTATTCATTCAAAAGTTAGAAAGTAATGAACCAGACTCCAGCATTCTTCAGAACTGAACGCTTTATGCAGAATATAGGATTCAATTCATACATATAGTCTCTCTAATGTTATATAATTCAGGTGTTCATGAAAAGGCTTGAAGACAGTCTAGCAGCACAAGACAAGACTGCTGAGGCTGCTATACTGAGGAAATCTTAGTCCGATGATTCCTGTGATATGAAGCCTCCTGTTCTCAACTTTCTCTCGGCAGTCCAAACATCAGTTATCATTGTTTCTCTTTTAAATTGACCTTCTCACTTCACTTGTTCAAAGATTAAGAAAGCCTCTTCATTGTTTTTTTTTTGTAACCAGCCCTTATAAAGCATTTCCACAGAACCCTAAATTGTACTCTATCTACTATATTCCTTCTTCTGAGTGTGCAACCATAATTAAATAATTATATTTCCTATATGTTACTTTCACTTACCAGAAGGCAAAAAAGTTAATTACCAAAAGGTAAAATGAATGGGGATAAGAATAGTAATGACTTCTTTAGTTGTGCTTTCACAAAGTTTTTAAAAGCTCAAATATATTTTATAAAACTCTTCTTTTCCCTCAACACTGCACAGCTCTTGCCCAAGTCCTATCACACTGGATTTATTGAACTCAGCTGCTAGAACATCAGACTCATTGTTGGGCTGTGATGTTCTGCTCTTCACTCATCTCTGTCGTCTGCATTCATCACAATCCTAAGTCTATTTCAGCCAACAGTACAGTTAATGGGTCAATTATTTCCCTATGAGATTATAGGATGGATAGAAGAAAAAGAAATATATAAATGAAACCTCTCATATCTTTTTTTGTAAATAGTCTTAATAAGGGCTGGAATAAAGTAGTGTAATATTAGAAATTATATTGATAATTTAGGAGTCTTTGACACACGATACCCAACCTAGAGTCCTGAGAAAACTTAATTGGAGGCCAGATACCTGAAAGCCTCCTGACTGCATTTGGAACACCCAGGCTGGGTGGATTTTACATCATAAAAACAAACAAAAAAAGAATAAAAATGAAACACCCATGCAAATTGGAGAAAACTGCCCATTTGCCAGCAATATGGGTATAATTTCAGTAGAAAGAGGCATCCCCTACTCACTAGTGAATGCATTGTCAGGAACTCAGTTTCTCTCTGTCTTCCTCTGGATTTCCACTTGCAGACACTTTAGGCACTAAGAAAAGCTGAGGTTGGAGAAAGAACATGTGAGACACCAGTCTTGTGCACAATTTTCAGATCAACCTGTGATGAAAAGCCAGACTTTCACTGAAGTGTGACACCAGCTGCACCACAGCCTAACCAACAGACACAAACACGCAGAGGCCTCTCCTCTTTTCCCGTGGTCAAAATTAGGAAGCCTATGACTATGGTTGCTAATAAACAAGGAACACAGATATCTTGTGAATGAGAACATCAAAAGCACGGAGTTTTGTATGTTAATTGGCACAAGTCCAGATATTCAATTCCCTCACTGATTTTAAAACACAGGGATCCCTGACTCCATCCACATGTGGAATATGATTTCCACCTATAGATAAACACTGGGATTTCTCAGATTTTATTATCCTAGCTTTATGCCCTAGCAACGTTTCTCCAACACCCACCACAGCCTTCTGAAGCTTTACTCCACTTTTATTTTCACTCAACTCTGACTTTTGTATTTCCCCTTGGAACGTGGAAATAATCAAGTAAGAATCTGTTTTAGGGTCGAGTGCAGTGGCTCACGCCTGTAATCCCAGCACTTTGGGAGGCCAAGGCAGGTGGATCACCTGAGGTCAAGGGTTCGAGACTAGCCTGGCCAACATGGTGAAACCCCATCTTTACTAAAAATACAAAAATTAACTGGGTATGGTGGTGCTTGCCTGTAATCCCAGCTACTCAGGAAGCTGAAGCAGGAGAATCTCTTGAACCCAGGAGGCAGAGATTACAGTGAGCTGAGATCCCACCACTGCACTCCAGCGATGGCGACAGAGTGAGACTCTGTCTCAAAAAAAAAAAAAAATCTGTTTTAGGATGGGGATAATGAATTGAGGGATTTATTTCACTTAGAGGGTCAACACTCCCATCCTGCTAATCTAGCCCTTAAAATCTCCTGCATCGGAAATTAGCAGGAGTACCCTGAGTCATGGTGTTTCTGTCCTGTGTATACAGTCACAATCGTCTAGGATGCTCAGAAAATACAAAATGACATAGGGGTGGGAGAAATTTAGCAGCTCAATCTGATGTTTCACTAACGTGGTATCTAAAATTCTTGCAATCATGGTTTATATTAGTCTTTGTTAGCTGCAATATCTGTGATTATCATGATACATATTTGCTGAGAAATACCCATGTCCATGTATATATTCGTACATAGATATGTAGGTATATAGGTGCATATGTTTATATGAGTGTATGTGTTTGAGACAGGGGGAAACATGCATGTATTATTTCCTTGCTAAAAATATAAAAATAATTAAATATATTTTATGTGCAAGTGATAATTATGTGTCATAAACAAAAAATTTACTGACCCATTTGTACATGAAGTCCAGGAAAAATAAAAAGGGTAACTTTGTATTAATTGTGACATTGTGCTTACAGATGTACATATATTTCCTTATTTAACCCTCATAATAATCCTGCTGATTATAATTTATTTACCAATTTAATAAATGATCAACAGGGTTTGAATAATATGACAAAATTACAAAATTAGAAAATGGCCCAGCAATACTTTTAATTATATTCTGCCTGTCACTGCCTCTTCTTGCTTTTTGACAAAATTACTCCCCTAACCAAGGTTCTCTATGATTCTGGGGACTCCAGCATTTAGACCCCAGTTCCCAAACATCATTGTGTCTATTTTTACTGCCACATTTAATGCACATTTACAGACTTCAACAAGCACTTTTCAATATCAACTTTTTTCTTATTCCTTGAACTATTTTCTACATCTGTTCATCAAGACTCCAGTAACATATGACTCCATCTGCCTGTCCCTTCCATGAATGTACCTGACAGTACATGTATTATGTAGCCTACAATTCAAGCAGAACAGATATTCCTTCAAAAAAAATAAGATATTAGAGAATGCCGACAAAGCTTCAGTGTAACCAGCTGTAACCCTTAATATTATTACCATGTAAACTCTTCCTCGAATATCAAAATAAGATTTGGGCTTTAGAGAATATTTGTGTGTAATTATAACCCAAACATGAACTAAAAGTAATTTAACTGGTCATATACAGACCGTGCCAGGGACAAAAAAGGACAAATATTATAAGAAAGTTAAAGCATACTTATTTCATAAAGGACTCTTGTGTGGAATCTATCAAAACGATTTCAAGATGTAGAGATTAAATATATTTTAAACCACATACATACACAAGCAATCTTTAGGAGAAACTTTTAAAAACTTATGTTATAGGTCTAAAATTTTCATTAATTCATGGAAAAAAAATGTATTGACAAACTTTTCACCAGAGCAGAAATAACAACTTATGTATTTGGTGACTTCAAGATGAGAGCCTGCACAGCTTAGTATCTCCCTCCAGTTGTCTCTCTCTCTCTCTTTTTTTTTTTTTTTTTTGGTAGAGTTTCACTCCTGTTGCCCAGGCTGGAGTGCAGTGGCGCGATCTCGGCTCACCGCAACCTCCACCTCCTGGGTTCAAGCAATTCTCCAGCCTCAGCCTCCTGAGTAGCTAGGATGACAAGCATGCGCCATCGTGCTCGGCTAATTTTGTATTTTTAGTCGAGACAGGGTTTCTCCATTTTGGTAGGGCTGGTCTAGAACTCCTGACCTCAGGTGATCCGCCAGCCTCCGCCTCTCAAAGTGTTGGGATTACAGGCGTAAGCCACCGTGCCCGGCCCAGATCTCTTAAAAAGTCATGAGGAATGAGCCATTCTGCATCCTCAATATTACCTTAATATTTTAAGGGCACCCGTAAAAATTAAGAGGCCAACTTGTGACTTCTTAGCCCTTTCACGGCTATTTAGACACACGTTAGTGAAGTATTAGGAATGCAGTATTAGGTCTCAAGTTCCTGGACAACAAAACCATGTTCTCCAACAGATCTTCAGTAAAAATAGCTGATGTCTATATTGTTTTGCCTGTCCTTTCCCTTCCTTTTAATTCAGAACTGCAGTCTCGAAAAGTGCTATTATTTAGTAGATTCTCTCAATTCTCAACACCAGTGCTATACAATGTTGAATGACATCTGAGGTGCTAGGGAAACAGCAGCTCACATTCTAGCAATGAAAAAATAGAAAAGCAAAGATCACCACAGAGTAAAAGAGAATAGATTTTTTTAAAGTATGAAACCAGAACGAATATATATCAGATTACACTATAATTGGAAAATCCTATTATCTTGACGGGATTGCAAGTCAGATTACACTATAAATGGAAAATCCTATTATCTTGACAGGATTGCAAGCCTCTCATGGCTTCCAACCTCCAATATATTCAAAGCAGTTCAGGAATGGTGAAAGTGGAATGGAATTTAAAATTATTCTAAGGTTTTATGTGTGAAAGCATCATGCCCTGAAACAAAATATTTATTTTTAAAGTGCATAATGAACACTGCATACAAAGTTTATGTAACAGGAGAGAGGAAATATCTCACATTTTAAAAAAAGGAATATGCAACATATTTACATACAATAAAATTAAATTAAATTAAAATACAGCAATGGAAGACAGAATCTAACATCTGAAAATCAAGGGAGAAATCTATTTTAAATAAACTTGTCACAATTTTAAAAGTAAGTTATGAAAAATAATAATACCTGAATATAGTACATAAAAGTACCAATACAATAAAGCTAAAACAATATCGATGGAAAAATTATTTGCTGTGCATTATTTTAAAAAAATAATCTAAGTACTTACCTCAATAGGGTAAAAGAATGAAATTTAAAAATTGCTTGAGAAAATCTGTGAAAGGAAATGAATATAGAGAAGCAGAATATAATTTAACTATAAACCACACAAATAGAATTTAAAAATAAGTGGTAGCCAACATGCCCAACACGATTTTCTGTGATGAAAGAAATTCTCTATATCTGCATTGTCCAATGCAGTAACTACCACACATATGTAGTTACAGAATTTCTAGTTTGGCCAAGACTTTGGCTATTACTACTAAGGATATGTCATTTAGTTATTTAATTATAATTAATTTACAGTTTATAGTCACATGTGACTAGTAGTTACTATATTGGCCAATGCAGATCTAGAATCTTGGAGGAGGCAGTTCAAATAATGAGATATGGTCAAAACAAAAGTGGAAAAGGCACACAAATAGTGAACACAGATTATGAGAATGTGAAGTAACAATTCACACAATAAAATGTAATAATGAGATGCTGCCTTGATGGGACAAATGTCTAATGATATACAAGGCTTGTCTTGTTACAGGTAGAAGAGCATGAGCAGGGCAGGAGAGGGCTCTTCCCCTACCCACTAGAAATGTCAGGTGATGGCCTGTCAATTATCACATTGCCTCTCTAAAAATGATAATTAGGCAGCACCAAAGAGAGGCCATTTCCTGATGGTCTACACCTGTTAACATCAAAAATGTTAGTTAAATGCAGACCTCAGGAAGAAGCAACTTCTTGGGCATGCATGTTAAGAGACAAAAATGGCAAAGCATAATCTTCCGGGGGCACACTCCACCGGAAAAGGAAAGAAAGCTTCAGATGGACATGCATATAACTCCCTAAACACACCGTGCATGCTCAATTTCAAAGGGTAAGGAAAGCACTGTGCAAGCCGGAAACGCTCCCTAAAGTTAGAATCATGGGAAAGAGGAAAACCCATGGCAGGATCAAGGTTAAAGGCTCTTCTCTTTTCTTTCTTGGACATTCAGGCATCTGTTCGGGTCTCTTCCAAGAGAATTTTCCTCTCCTTCCTGTTCTAAAGCCTTTTTAAATAAACTTCCACTCCTGCTCTGAAACTTACCGCTCAGTCTCTTTTTCTGCTGTATGCCCTTCAGTCAAATTATTTCTTCTGAGGAGGCAAGGACTGAAGTTGCTTATGGACCCATGCAGATACGCTGCCAGAAACTGGAATCTCTTCTACTGGTAACAGTATCATTGTAAGGGAATGAGGCCAGTTCACATCTCAGTGCTTGGAGAACTCACCAGAAATAAAAAGTTGGAGGATGCAGTGAACTTATCTACCTTCCAAGGCAAGTCCCACAAGCAAGCAGCAAGACTCTCTTTCCCCAAGGTCGTATAGCAAAGACATGGAATCAACCTAGATGCCCATCAATGTTAGAGTGGATAGAGAAAATACAGTATATGTACACCATGGAATACTACACAACCATAAAAAAATTATGTCCTTTGCACCAACATGGATGCAGCTGGAGGCCATTATTCTAACATAATGCAGGAAGAGAAAACCAAATACCATATGTTCTTAGTTATAAGTGAGAACAAAGCGTTGGTTACACACGGATGTAAAGATCGGAACAACAGATACTGGGGACTACTAGAGGGGGAAGGGAAGGTGGGGACAAAGGCCTTAAAAACTGTCTATTGGGTATTATGTTTTCTATCTGGGTTACAAGATCATCCATACTCCAAGCCTCAGCATCACACAATGTGCCAATGTAAAAACCTGCACATGCATCTCCTGAATCTAAAATAAAAGTTGAATTCTTTTTTTAAATGCTCAAAGATCTGGCTAACACGGTGAAACTCTGTCTCCACTAAAAAAAGAAAAAAAAAATTACAAAAAATTAGCTGGGCATGGTGGTGGGTGCCTGTAGTCCCAGCTACTTGGGAGGCTGAGGCACGAGAATGGTGTGAATCTGGGAGGCGGAGCTTGCAGTGAGCCGAGATCACGCCACTGCACTCCAGCCTGGGTGACAGAGCGAGACTCCATCTCAAAAAAATAATAATAATAATAAAAATGAGCAAAGATCTGAGTAGACATTTCCCAGAAGAACAGATACAAATGGCCAACAAATATGTGAAAATATTCTTACCATCTCTAATCATCAGGGGGATGCAGATAAAAACCACCATGAAATATCACCTGATACCTCTTAGAATAGCTATTATCAAAAAGATGTATAACAAGTATTAGCGAGGATGTGGAGAAAAGATAACCCTTGTATACTTGCGGTGGAAATACAAATTACTATGTCCATTTCAGATAACAGTATGAAGGTTTCTCAAAAATTTTTTAAATAAAACTACCTGCTGATGAGGCTGTTGAGATATAAGAACACTTTTACACTGTTGGTGGGAATGCAATTTAGTTCAACTATTGTGGAAGACAGTATGGTGATTCCTCAAAGACCTACAACCAGAAATACCACTTGACCCAGCAATCCCATTACTGGGTATATACCCAAAGGAATATAAATCATTCTATTATAAAGATACATGCACACATATGTTCATTGCAGCACTATTCACAATACCAAAGACATGGAATCAACCCGAATGTCCATCAGTGACAGACTGGATAAAGAAAATGTGGTACGTATACACCATGGAATACTATGCAGCCATAAAAAGGAATGAGATCATGTTCTTTGCAGGATCATGAATGGAGATGGAAGCCATTATCCTCAGCAAACTAACCCACGAACAGAAAACCAAACACTTCGCTTCTAACTTACAAGTGGGAGCAGAACGGTGAGAACACATGGATATTAGGAGGGGAACAACACACACTGGGGCCTGTTGGGAGGCAGGTGGAGGGAGAGTATCAGGATAAATGGCTAATACATATATGCAATGGAATATTATTCAGTGTTACATAATAATGAAATGCTGTCATTTGTGACAACATGGATGGACTTGGAGGGCATTACGTTATATGAAATAGGCCAACCACAGAATGACAATTACTATATGATTTCACTTGTATTTGAAATCTAAAATCGACAAACTCACAAAAGCAGAGAGTAGAATGGTGGTTGCCAGGTGCCGTGGTGCTGGGGAAATGGGTAGATGTGGTTAGAGCACAAAGTTTCAGATATACCACGTAAGTAAGTTCTGGAGGTCTCGTTTACAGCATAGTGCTTACAGCTAAGAATACTGTATTGCATACTTAAAATTTGCTAAAAGGGTAGATTTTGTATTCTTACCAATATTTCTTACCAAAAAAAATAATAATAAAGGGGGGGGGACTTAGGGAGGTGAAGGATATGGTTATAATCTTGATGGTAGTGATGTGTTCATGGTGTATACTTATCCCCAAGCTCACTGAGATGTACACCTTAAATATGTACAGCTTTTTAAATGTCATCATAGCTCAACAAAGTCGGTGAAAAAAAAACAAGAGGGGTTGGTTAAAAACCTTAAAAGGAGGGGTAGATGTTCCCTTGTTTTTCTCTCTTGGCTTTTTTCCTTCCTGCTGCCTGGAATTCAGAAATGGTAAGTGGGAATTTAGCAGCCAAACTAGAGCCTCTTCTAAAGTATAGCAGAACAGAGAGCTGGAAGGGGCCTGCATCCCTAATGAATTTGGCAAGTATCTGTACTAGCCATGGTAGGTAGAACTATAGATTTAAGTGAGGGAGAAACAAACTTCTGCCTTGTTTAAGCCACTTTGTTCAGACATTAATTTTATATACATATAGAGAACATATGCTCCTTTATGCGTAGGAAAAGTGTTTATGCCATATGGTCCATGATGGGTGTTCAACAATGTAGGATGAGGCTGATTATGATGACAATGGTGACAAATAGCATGAAATAATAAGCAATGAAAAAAAGGTGGCCTCATAGTTGTGTATGGTTACTTTATTTAAAGATTCTGCTGCTAATATCATTCAATGTATTTGTATGCTGGTGGGAGTTTTATTAGATGTAGACTAAGAAAGTTTACATTACTTAATGAAAAATACTTGACCAATTTTTTTTAAAAAAATAAAAATATCGTGAGATGGAACTAAGCATCTGTATTGCAAAGTAACTCTCCCAGTTGATTTTCTGCATAGTAATGATTGAGAATCCCCTGATCTAGATCCAACAGATCTCGACCTTTATAGGTGCTATCAAGGAAGCACCTAAGGAAGACAATTTTCCTGACTATATCCATACCTCCAGTTAGTAATAGATCTAGAGATCTAGAACCCAAATCCAGACCTCCTGCCTCCATGTGCGGTGGTCTTTCCCTGTTGTTTTGTTCCACTTGGTGAAGAGGATTTGAGAATAAATAGCCACATGATTCAACTCCCTCCTCAGTTCTGAGGAATATAGCCTTGTCCTAGCAAGCAAGAAGTTCATACAGCAGTGGATGAGACAAATATACATTCACTAATCTAACACACAAGGCAGTAAGTACTGTAACATAAACAAAGCACTTTGGAGTTTCAGACCAGGAGCAAGTGGGGTGATTAATTCTTAGCAGGGCTAGTAAAGTCTGGGAAGTGTTCACTAAAAAAATGTCTGGTCATTAATGAAACCAACTGATTTCGCAACACAGTCTAATTTATTGTAACAATATAAATGGTTGTTTGTTCATAAACTTTCATCTTTTGCCAAAATGTTTGTAGCTTATGTCCCCATTTAACAAGGTTTTCTGGCCAAAACTGTGCACCCACATCATTCTAATGAACTGGCTGTCCAATAAAAAAAAGGACTCTCAGTCTTCCCATAAAAGCAATTTTGCGTGCATAGAACACCTCTATCTGTGACTATCCCTAATGAGGTACAGAAAGACCCTTCTTATCCAAACAGAGACATTCCACTGGTGCTAGACAGCCACAGAAGGAAGTTTTCTCTGCCTCCTGGAAATGAAGCCCAACTTTCTTCTTTCTTCAGCCGTGAGGATTGCTGTCCTCCTCTTCACCATTTTCTTCTTTATGAGCCAAGTTCTACCAGGTAACAAAATAAACTTGGTAAGAGTAGAGTGCCTAACACCTTACAGGGATTCAATACTCAAAGAGAAATCACCATCACCTGTGACCAGAAAAGGGGGTCTCATAGGAAATCTGGAAGACACATTGGCTGAGAGGCCTGCAGCCATCTAATTCGTTAATTCTCCATAGCAACTCAGTTAAATGAAGTCAATGGTGTTTCAAGTCTTTGAAACCCTCTTATTCCATCTCCATATTAGGCAAGTTTACTAGCAGTTACTAGACCTCAAAAATTAAAAATCAGGCATTATTCTACTAAATTTTTGTCTCCAAAGCTCCTCTAGTTTCTTTCGGCAAAAGTTAGTTATCCTAAGAACTGGCATAAGAGCTATGCCAAAGGTGTGGTAGGCTCAGAAAGAAGGGATTGGTGGAAGAAGTCTCTTTGAAAATATTATTATAATCTAAGAAATCTTTAACCTATTGCTCCCCAATACTGTTGGTCCCTGGGGCTTGACTTTTCCCCTTAAGGCTCCATCTCCATCCCTGGCTTTCCCTCTTCCTTCTCAGCATCTAGTCTTGTAGAATTTAAACACAGGAACCAGGGATGACCCCACACCAGAGCATAGCCTACTGCATTCAGCATGCGAACATTAATCACAGGTATAAGGCCCCTTGCACAGACATGCTTTGGAGAAGTGTGTATAGGACTTCTTGGATTTGCCCAAGGTGGTTACCAGACACCCAAAGTAGATTCGAAAATTTTCTGGAACTCCTGAACATGTGTATTCAAGGATGAATAAGCAACTTATTGCCTCTATTTTTGCTGTTTTATAGAGAAAAAAAATAAGGCCCTGGAAACTGAAGTGCTTTTCCCAACAGTGGGGTAAATGTCAGAGTCAACAATTTGTTTTAATATCCTGGCTTTCCCTATACATCCCACCCTAGAGTTCTGTTGTGCTGTTCCTTTGTTTGACTTTCTAAAGCCTGAAAAAAGGTGATACCATATCCAATCATATTAACTCGGTAGCACACAACATCCGGGACTGACATAAGATTATTATCCCTGTGGCATTACTGAATTCCTGTCTCACTAGTACTTGTTAAATAGTCACCCTGGCTAAATACATGGGTTTGATTTTTTTTTAATTAGTTAAAAATATTTTAAAATATGTGTCTTACATATATAACCCCAGAAAATCAATTCGTTTAATCAAGGTTTAAAAATTCCAAATTTGGATAAACAAATTTTTTTGTTTGTTTGTTTTCACTGTCACTCAATAAAAATAGAAGCAACTAATTGGATAGACCAGCACAGGCGGAAGCACGACTCACAGTCAAAAATGGGATGCAACAAGACTGGAGAAGAAAACACAGGATGGTGCTAAAGAATGCAGCCTAATGAAAGGTGGCATCTCCTCTGGATGTCCTTAGGTAGACATTGAAGCAGAACTGCCAACTTTTTGTAGAAGGCTAGAGAGGAGAGGAGGACACAGAGAGAGGGCAAGAGTGGAAAACAGAATGAGGCTCAGAATACCAAGCCTTAGTGCTCTCCCTATCATCTGCCTCACTCGATCACTGGGTAATCTTGGGCAAGTTTCTTCCTTTCCATCAGCTTATTTCCTCATCTTTAAGGTAAGTGACTAGACAAGACATCCTATGTTCATTGTAACTCTATCTTTTGTTCCTGAAGCAAATGGCTGGAAAAGACATAGTGTCCACAATATGCAATACACAAGGTTCACAAGCAAAGAACAAATGAAAACGAAAGATTTTTAAAATCCCTAATGTTATTTGAATTCTTGCAGATGAACTATGGTACATAATAATTTTAAAAAGCCTTTTGTAATTTCAATTTTTAAAAATAATTTCAACCTTTATTTTAGATTCAGGGAGTGCATGTGTGATTTGTTACATGGGTATATTGTGTGATATTGAGGTTTGGGGTATGAATAACTCTGTCACGCAGGTAGGGTGTACCCAAAGGGTACCTTTTCAGACTTTACTCCCTCTCCCTCCCCTCCTGGTAAGACCCAATCTCTCTTGTTCCCATTTTTATGTCCATGTGCACTCATTGCTCGGCTCCCACTTATAACTGAGAATATGTGGCATTTGGCTTCCTGTTCCTGAGCTAATTTGCTTAGAATAAAGTCCTCCAGCTGCATCCATGTTGCTGAAAAGGACACAATTTGGTCCTTTTTATGGATGCATAGTATTCCGTGACATATATGTACTACATTTTCTTTATTCAATCCACTGTTGATGAACACCTAGTTTGATTCCATACCTTCACTACTGTGAATACCACTGTGATGAACATACAAATTTAGGTCTTTTTACAAGACTGATTTACTTTCCTTTGGATATACACCCAGTAGTGAGATTAGTGGGTCAAATGGTAGTTCTGTATTAAGTTTCTTGAAAAGTGGTTTGAAAATATAATGCTCAATAGAATCAGGTATAGTAAAATAGTACACATGATTCAAAGACCTGTGAACCGAGAGTAACAACAAATTTCCACACAAACATATTGCAAGTTAGAAAATAGCTGTATTTTAATCAATTATTCCACAATCATTTACTGAATAGCTATTATAAGACAAGACTTTAATCAGATTCTGGAATATACATACAGAGGAGAATAAGATATGATTCCTGCCCTCAAGAAATTCATTATCAAGAATTGAGGTCAGATGGGAAAACGCCACCCATAGTAGAATGCAAGAAGTACTACCACAGAGGGATGTCCAAGAGTGATTTATCACATATCACAAGACAGGTCAGTGGTTCATCCTCTACACTATACTAATCTCTTATGACTCTTCCAGCTGCAAAGGGCCAATTTTAGCACAAGGCCAGTGGGCTTGGGTACTACTATACTTAGTAGCTGACTACTTACAGATAAAAGGAAGAGATGGAAAGCTCAGGGATCAAAAAACTCAGATTTCAGCTTGTTTCTACCAAGTGGTCAACATTTAGAATTACCATTGTCTTCAGAAAGGCATGACCTTTATTTCCCAATTTGCCTTATAGATATAAATATGATGTTGCATATATTTGGTCTTCACATCAATCCACTAACTGCTTTGTGACCATTGAAAAGTTAAATGGAATCTAATACATTTGGATTTCAGTTCAATTAAATAGGCATTTATTGAATGTTTATTAAAATTGCTGTACTGATTGAAAGCTATTCTAGAATTGGCTTTTGTGTTCCAGAATAGAAAAAAAAAAAAGGTGCTGGTTTTTATACTTCTCTTATTGCCAAGAAGTTGTCATGGAAAAGGTGCTCTGTGTTACATACAAAGACTGCTCAGAATTAAAACACTTTTCAATCTAAATACCTCAGTGTGTGTGGCCTATCCCCAGAGCAGTGATATTTTCGGACATAAATGAAATACTATTCAATGTTTTCAACAAGTATAGTTTTTAAGCCTTTAAGAAGACCTTGAATGTTTCACTCTTAATATATGCAATGGTTTCTAAAGAAAAATTGCAACCTCAAAGACCAGTGCCAGAGATATAAGTAGTGTGTGAAGTCTCAGGGGGTAACAAGTACTGGCACAGATATATTTGTGTATTAAACACATAGGAATATTGTTCCCTTCAACAGGAAAAGTATCCTCTCTAACAATTAAAGTATATTATCTTTTAGGTCTAAATTTCAGTTCTACTTTTGAAAGATACATCTGTTATAATCTATCATATAGAGTGTGTGTGTGTGTGTGTGTGTGTGTGTGTGTGTGTGTGTGTAGGAGTAAAAAGAGATGAGCCAAAAGAGATTTTCTTCTCTTTCACTCCAGGAAAATCCATAGTACAAGACATTATATTTTTTTGAAAGGCTGAAATCTCCCATCAGTGTTGGAAGATAATAAGGAAGAAATAAACTGAAACTTGCATGCTCTAGAACTTGTAAAGGGGAGCGGGCTACTCACCTCCAGCCTTTTGTCATGTAGGTGCACCCAACATTCTCAGATTTTTCAAGAACACCAAAAAATCCAAATTTTTGTGTGACAGCAGATTTTTAAGTGTTTAAGAAATCAAATAACACACACACACACACACAAATCCACACAAGATTATTTTCAGGCACTGCCCCCTACGTCCATGTAATTCAATACAAAGTAAAGACTGATGAATGCTTACAATAACCCTCTTCTGCTGTAGCCAGGGGCAAATTCAAGGAGATCTGTGAACGTCCAAATGGCTCCTGTCAGGACTTTTGCCTCGAAACAGAAATCCATGTAGGGAGATGTTTAAATAGCCGACCCTGCTGCCTGCCTCTGGGGCATCAACCAAGAATTGAGAGCACTACACACAAAAAGGACTGAAGCCTGTTGTTTTCTGGTGGTTTTAGGTTCTCTTTTTTCTCTCTCCCTCTCCCTATCTCCCTGTCTCCCGTTCCCTCTCTCCATTTTTCTCACAGGGATTTTCATTGAATCCTCAAAAAAGAATAAACCAAAACCAACCAGCACAAAACCTCTTTTAAAAGTTTATATTACTGGCTGGGTGCGGTGACTCATGCCTGTAATCCTAGCACTTTGGGAGGCCAAGCTGGGTGGATCGTGAGGTCAGGAGATCAAGACCATTCTGGCCAACATGGTGAAACCCTGTCTCTTTTAAAAATACAAAAATTTAGCCAGGCATGGTGGCGGGCACCTGTAATCCCAGCTACGCAGGAGGCTGAAGCAGGAGAATCGTTTGAACCCATGAGGTGGAGGCTGCAGTGAGCCGAGATCCCGACACTGCACTCCAGCCTGGGTGACAGAGCAAGACACTGTCTCAAAAAAAAAATAAAGAAAGAAAGAAAGAAAGAAATAAGTTTATATGCCATGTTATGACTTGATTACTGTTTGGTTTCCAGTATCCTTCTATCCCATCTAGATGAGCTCTTAGTTGAAAATGACTTACAGGAGGGTGGGGGAACTTTCAACCATACCTATTGATTTGTCTAGCACTGTAACCCTTCACCCTGCATGTGGGAAGACCACTCCCATTTTTTACAGGGAAAATGCGCCATCCTATTCCATGCAGCCTTGCAGGGGTCTGTCTCTCCCTGATAAAGGTGCACCACATATGAAAATTGCACAATCACGTCAACCAGACTTCACCAGAAATCTAAATTATAAAAAGAGTTGCACTCAGAATAAAGGCAATTTCTTCAGCACCCTTTTCGGAGGCAAATCCCTGGGTCTGTACATGTATGCCTGGCCAAGATTCAGGGAATTCCTTCAGTTCCCAGCTTTCACTGGGCATAATCATTCAGCATTTTCTGCCATCTTTTAAAACACTGTATTGGCTTCCTATGGCTGCTATCACAAATTACAACAAACTTAGTGACTTAAAGCAACACAAATGCATTATCTGACAGTTCTATAGGCTGCAGGTTTCAGATGGATCTCTGTGGGCCAACATCAAGGTGTCAGCAGGGCTGAGCTTTCTTCTGGAAGCTCTGCAGTTTTCTTCCTGCACCTTTATCCCAGCAATGACAGGCTACTCCTGGGAACCATAGCTTCCTTCATCCATTTTCAAAGCCAGCAATGGAGCATTGAGTCCTCACATTCCATCATTCTGAATTCATCTTCTCCCCACTCTTCCATTTTTTAGGACTCATGATTACGTTGGGCCCACCTGGATAATCTAAGATAATCTCCCTATTTTAAGGTCAGCTGATTAACAGCCTTAATTTCACATGAAACCTCAATTCCCCTTTGCCTTACAAGGTGGCACATTCACAGGACCCAGGAGTTAGGATGTGGATAGCTTTGGCAGGAGACAGAGGGGACATTATTCTGCCTACAACAGCCACTGAGTGCTTTTACCACCTGTCACAATTTTGCTCCATTTAGACACAATTTTAGTGGCTTTGTGTGAAGAGATTCTCATTCATAGAGTTTTCTTTTTTGTGTAAAGTAGTGAGGGGCCTCCCCTTGGTCATTGAAAGAGTATAGAATCAAGATATTTAAAAGTATATTAGCTGGATTTTATTTTTCACTATGACTGATTTGGCCAAGAAACAATGTTAAGTTATGTCACATGGACTACTCGAAATCTCAAAAAGTTCAAAACATTGGGTTCAAAATCTCAGAGATTGAGATATATTCCAACCAACTCAACCCTGTGGAAGTGCCAAGTTTTCCTCAGTGCCACTCTTGAAACCGCATCACCAACTGACCCTTTAATATATTTTTGCACTATATAACATTTATTTCTTAGAGTAAGTGCTTCCCTAGAAAAGAAGCAGTTTGGACACGTATATTAAAGCCGTCACCTAGAATATTATCTTCTCATTGCTAGGAGGTGGCCTTCAAGATGGCTGACTAGAGGTACCAGGCACTGTGTCCTCCCAAAGAAAGACCAAAACAGCAAGTAGATAATCATACCTTGAAGAGGGCATGAAAGAGGGCACTAGAATTCAGCAGCAAAGTGACGAGGAATCTCTGAGGCATGGAAGGAAAGGAAAATGAAGCAGCAGCCCAGCCAGAATCAGCTTAAAGCCAGGACAGGCTCTGCAGTGTGGTGAAAAGGTAAAAAAGAGAGCCCCAGTGGTCCATATTCCCACTGTGGACACTGCAATCCTAGCCAAGGGACGGTCTCTCAGCCCTCGCAGGCCCTGAGACTACTATAGGGAGCTGCCTGGAGTGTATGTGATGGTCATTGTCCCAGAGAAGGAGTTGGCACTGGATCATCTGCACCTGCCCCCAGACACAGGCAGCTGTGGCACAATGCCAATTTGAGAGCCCAGCCCCCAAAAGACTACATCCTGCCCTGGGGCCCAACAGCCCCTGCATCTCCACATCTCTGGACCCTCAGTGACATTCCCTCATGTCCATCCAGAGGCCTGCAGAGTCACAATACCAGCTGAACTCACCAGTGTAGCTTGGTCCCCATCACTCTAGCCTACACAGTGTCCTACACTCCAGGGAACTGGCAGTGCCATTCACTAGAGAGGCTGCCCCCAGAACAAAGGGAGCTGAAGCAGGCACTCTTCACAAGTGGAGAGTCACCTTCCCAGGACCACTGACACTGACAGCAATCCTGACCCCCAGGAGCAGGGCCACTGCACACCTGCAGGCATCCTCAGGGGACCTGGGGACTCACCTGCCTGAGCACTATTCCAGGGCCAGAGCACAGGCCCATCCCACCCATTGCTGTCACTACCACTACCCAAGGTCGTTGTCCAGGACGCTGGGGATCAACCCACACTGCTGTCTGTCATTGGCACCTGTGCATGCCTTCTTGTGACCTAAGTATGAGCCCACCCAGCCTGGTGGTGCCTGTGCACATTGTCTGGGAGCCTGGGGATTAATCCACCATGCCTATCACCATCAAGTACCTGTGTGTCTCCTGAGAGCCTAAGGATAGGACTTCCCAGCCTGCCATCACGGCTGCCACCAATGCCCACATATTTGCACCAGGTGAAAGCCTGAGGACTACTCTGTCCATCATGTTGCCACGACTGTTGGTGTCTGCACATGCCATCTGGGGTCACAAGAGTTGACCTGCTATGACTACAGCACAGGGTCTTGAGGGCATGCCTATCTCCCTAGCTCACCACTGTCACTGCTGGCACTTGAGAAAGCCACCTGACTCACGCCTGTAATCCCAGCACTTTGGAAGGCTGAAGGGGGCAGATCACCTGAGGTCGGGAGTTCAAGACCAGCCTGACCAACATGGAGAAACTCCATCTCTACTAAAAAAAAAAAACAAAAAAAAAAAAATACAAAATTAGCCGGGCATGGAGGTGCATGCCTGTAATCCCAGCTACTCGGGAGGCTGAGGCAGGAGAATTGCTTGAACCTGGGAGGCGGAGGTTGCAGTGAGCTGAGAACACACCATTGCACACCAGCCTGGGCAACAGAGCAAAACTTCATCTCAAAAAAAAAAAAAAAAGCCACCTGAAGGCCCAAGGATGGCCTGCCTGAAACTTCAACCACTGGTGCCCACGTTCATCACCCACAAGTTCAAAGACCAATGCAACTGGTGCCCAAGGACCAAACTGCCTGGCCTGTCTTTCCCCAGCAAAATCTCACCACAGCCTCCATTAACAATGAAGGCTAAGACACTGAGGAGCTCACAGACATCAGTGATGCTGATTATAGCTGAAGAAATCATAGAAGTATAAACTACTGAACCAACTCAGAACTAAAGGCAAAGTGTCTTACTGATTCAACAGTATAGATACAGCTACAGAAGTCAGTCTTTTACTACCAAAGCCAATCTATAAAATTAGAAGAAGCAACTGTTTTACCAGATATTCAAATATCAATGTAAGGACATAAGAAACATTAAAGAGCAAGGAAACATAGCATCCCTGAAGGAAAACCAATAATTCTCCAGCAACAGATTTCAATCAAACAAATCCATAAAATGAGTGAAAAGGAATTTAACAGCTGAAATTGAATAATTCAATAAATAAAATAAATAATACAATTTGAGAACCTCAACAATAGACTAGATTAAGAAGATGAAAGAATTTCTAAACATAAAGATCGGTCTTCATATGCAGGATTAAATGGATTAAAGACTTAAGTGTGAAACACAAAACTATAAAAACCCTGGAAGACAACCTAGGCAATACCATTCAGGACATAGGCACGGGCGAAAATTTTATAACAATGACACCAAAAGCAATTGTGACAAAAGCAAAAATTGACGAATGGGATGTAATTAAACTAAGGAGCTTCTGGGCAGCAAAAGAAACTATTAACAGAGCAAAAAGACAACCTGCAGAATGGGAGAAAACTTTTGCAAGCTATGCATTCGACAAAGATCCAATATACAGCATCTACAAGGAACTTAAAGAAATTTACAAAAAAAAAAAACCTTTAAAAATAGGCAAAAACATGATCAGACGCTTCTCAAAAGAAGACATACATGCTGCCAACAATCATATGAAAAAAAAAGCTCAAGGGTCATGAGGGATTATGACAGACAGGAGGCAGAACTAGATGGCAGCTCTGGACAGAGCAGCATGCGGAGGCTTGCGTTGTGAATTTTAGCTCCAGATGGACTGCAAGAGCAGACCAGCAATCCTGACAGGACCCACAGACCCTCCGAAGGAAGCAGACTGCTCTTGCAGGACCTGGGAGACACCCCAAATACTTTAAGTCCCCTAACCACGGAAATGGGAAAGGGAGACCCTCGTCTCATGAACACACACCCCCACTGGAGAAGCTGAAAGTCTGTTTGTGGGAGAAGTTCGTGACTTTACCTGGAGCTGAGTCAAGTTAGAGAGCCGAGCTGAGCAACATACAGGAGTAGAGGAAGTAGCACAAAGGCACTGGAAGGCCGCTGGATCCCCAAGTAGCCCATTCCTGCCTGGCACGGCAGACATCCATCGGGGGGGTGGCCAGAGGAGCAGGGGGTAAAACTTCACAGGGAGAAGAACCTCTCTAGCTGAACTTTGTAAAAAATTGAATGGGGCTGGAAGCCTCCTGGCCAGAACTCGGGGGAGGGCGTGAATCAGGCTTGCAGACTTCACAGGCGGGGTAAGAACTGAAGCCCATTTCTTTGTCAGTCGGGAGGCAGAAAGCCTCAGGTAAGTTTTCAAGCCAGATTCGCCTTCGGCCTGGAAACAGACTCCGGGCTATCACAAGGGGCATTGTGGGAGTGAGACCCGCCTTTCAGCGTGCCTGGAAGCTAGCTTTCCCCAACTTCCCTGACAACCTGCATGACTCAGCAGAGGCAGCCATAATCCTTCTAGGTACACAACTCCACTGACCTGGGAATCTCACCTCCATCCCCCACAGCAGCCAAAGCAAGACCCACCCAAGGAGAGTCTGAGCTCAGGCACGCCTAGCCCCACCCCCACCTGATGGTCCTTCCATATCCACCCTGGTAGCAGAAGACAAAGAACATACGATCTTTGGAGTTCTGGAGCCCTGCCCACCACTGGTCCCTCTCCACAGTGTCCGGAATTGGTGGGTTCTTGGTCTCGCTGAGTTTAAGAATGAAGCCGCAGACCCTCCTGGTGAGTGTTAACAATTCTTAAAGATGGTGTGTCCAGAGTTGCTTATTCCTCCCAGTGGGTTCATGGTCTGGCTGGCCTCAGAAGTGAAGTTGCAGACCTTCGCAGTGAGTGTTACAGCGCTTAAAGGCGGCACGAAACCAAAGAGTGAGCAGCAGCAAGCTATGTTGCAAAAAGCGAAAGAACAAACTTCCCACAGAATGGAAGGGGACCCAAGCCTGTTGAGCTGTGGGCTCCGGTGGCCTGCTTTTATTCCCTTGTCTGGCCCCCATCCATATCCTGCTGATTGGTCCATTTTACAGAGAGCTGATTGGTCCGTTTTGACAGAGTGCTGACTGGTGTATTTACAAACCTTTAGCTAGACAGAGTGCTGATTGGTGCATTTAAAATCCTTTAGCTGGACACAAAAGTTCTTCAAGTCCCCCACCAGATTAGCTAGACCCAGAGCGCTGATTGGTGCATTTACAAAGTTTTAGCTAGACACAGAGTGCTGATTGGTGCTTTTACAATCATTTAGCTAGACAGAAAAGTTCTCCAAGTCCCCAGCGGGCCCAGAAGCCCAGCCGGCTTCACCTCTTGATGGCACTCGCCAGACAGGACTTTGCAGCACCCAGCCCTGGCACTCCAGCAGCCTAGAGAGAGCTCATCCCCCGGTCAAGCCCAGCAGGCACCGGCCAGCCGCCTCAAGTGTGGGGCCCACCGAGCCCGCGCCCACGCAGAACCCGCGCCAGCCCACAAGGGCCACACGCAGCCCCGGCTCCCACCACGGCCTCTCCCTCCACACCCTGCGAGCAGAGGGAGCCGGCTCCGGCCTTGACCAGCCCCAGAGAGGGACCCCCACAGTGCAGTGGCGGGCTGAAGGGCTCCTCGAGTGCAACCAGAGTGGACGCCGAGGCCAAGGAGGCACTGAGAGCAAGCGAGGGTTGCTAGCATGTTGTCATCTCTCAACACTACTACAGCGGATGCTTTCTGGAAAGCGCCATCTCCCAGCAGGAGGCCCATCAGCACAAAAAATAGAGCCTTAAACCACCAAAATGGTGGAAGCAGTTTGAAAAACAGGTTGGCAGTTTTCAAAGAATTAAAAATAGAGTTAGCATATAACCCAGCAATTCCACTCTTAGGTATATACTTAAGAAAAAAGTTTGTACGTAAGAGTTGAAAAATTCTCAGTGAATTCTTATAGCAGCGTTATTCATAATAGTAAAAAAGCTGAAATAACCCAAATGCCCATCAGCTGATAAATATATAAACACATTGTGGTATATTTATATAATACAGTATTATTTATTGATAGAAGGAATGAAATAGCTATATATCCTACAACGTGGATGACCCCCATGGAGTCATCAGAACACCACCATCATTCTTCAGAGTTAGTAAAAACAATTCTAAAATTCATATGGAACAAAAAAAGAGCCCACATATCCAAAGCAAGACAAAGCAATAAGAACAAATCTGGAGGCATCACACTACCTGATTTCAAAGTATGCTATAAGATCATAGTCACCAAAACAGTGTGGTACCAGAAAAATATATACATCAAAATATGTGCACTTTAATAACATAGCATCAAATTTATAAAACAAAAATTGAGCAACCTACAAGGAAAAATGAAAAAATTCCAAACTATAGTGGGAGATTATAACTTATTTTTCTTAGTCATTCAAAGAAAAAGAAGACTTTAAACATCAATAATACATTGGATGTTAATAAAAATTTACTATTTTTGTGAAGGAAATAATTACAAATAACTTCATTCAACAACTACAGAATACAGTTTTAATAGGACATATTGAATATGCACAAATATTGACCATATAACGATTTGTTCTACATGCCAAATCTTAACAAAAGTCAAATAACTGACACTCTACAGAAAGTGTTCATTTATCACACTGATATGAAATTATAAGAAACTGTTCTAAAACCCAGTTAATTAAAGAAAAAAATCTTAGTGAAAAAATAAATATATTGAAATTAAAATATTACTTATTAAAACTTTTTGGATTCCATTGGTATAATATTAAAGAGGAAATTCAGGGTCATAATTGCTAATATTAGAAAATAATAATGGTGAGTCTTTGGCAATACCATCATGAACACTCCTGATCTCATCTGATCTCAGAAGAAAATAATAATAGAAAACAGAAACATCTCAGTCTTTGCAGTATGAATTACAAAGAAAATAAAATGCACAAATAAAAGTAACAGGAAAAAAGGAAGCATCTTTAAATATGCAAAACCATTAACGAAACTTGACAAAATTAACTCAAGATGAAACAGAAAATAAGAATGTTTTCCTGAATTAATAAAGCAACTAATTCTGTAATCAATAACCTTCCAAAAAAGAGGGCACTTAACTTATATTTTCAACCACATTTCAGAAATTTAAAAAATTGTAATTATATCCAACTCTTCTAAGAAAAAAAGAAAAAGGGACACTCCAAAACATCGTATTTATCAAAACAATTTTTATTAAGATAATATTCACACAATGAAATATTCACTATTTCAACCATTTTGATTTGTTTAATTTAATAGATGTTAGTATATTTACAATGTTGTGCAGCCATCACCACTATTTGATTCCAAAACCTTTCCATCACCCCAAAAAGAAACTCCTTCTCTAATCCCCAGAAACTACTAATTTGTTTTCTATCTTTATAGATTTGACTATTCTGGACAGTACATAACTGGAATTATAAAATATATACCCATTTGTGTCTGCCTTCCATAACTTAACATAATTTTTCAAGGTCATCCAAGTTGTAGGATATATAGCTATTTCATTCCTTCTATCAATAAATAATACTGTGTTATATAAATATACCACATTGTGTTTATATATTTATCAGCTGATGGGCATTTGGGTTATTTCAGGTTTTTTTACTATTATGAATAATGCTGCTATGAGAATTCATTGAGAATTTTTCAACTCTTAGGTAGAAACTATTTTCTTAAGTATATACCTAAGAGTAGAATTGCTGGGTTATATGGTGACTCTATTTTTAATTCTTTAAGAAATGCCAACCTGTTTTTCAAACTACCTCCACCATTTTATGTTTCCATCAGAAATGTATGAGAATCCAATTTCTCCACATTTTCCACAACACTTGTTATTTTCCATCTTTCTT
Organism: Homo sapiens; assembly: GCF_000001405.40. NCBI lineage: Eukaryota > Metazoa > Chordata > Mammalia > Primates > Hominidae > Homo > Homo sapiens. The sequence goes on along the minus strand of NC_000008.11, from coordinate 12,086,402 downwards.
GATAATAGTTATTCCACTCGATATCAAATGGTATCTCATTGTGGTTTTTTCATTTCCCTTTCATGTGCTTATAGCCCACTTAAATATCTTTTTCAAAAAACTATTCAAATCTTTTGATCATTTCTTAGATCATTTGTGTTTTATTGTCGTTGTTGCTGCTGCTGATTTGTAGTAGTTCTTTATATATTCTGGATATTAATCCAATTTTCAAATATTTTTCTCATATTCATTGGGCTTTTTTCCCCTTCCTTGGCAGTATCCTTTAATGCACTCAAATTTTTAACTTAAATGAAGTCCAATTTAACTATTTTTTGTGGCTATGTTTTTGGTGTCATATTTAAGAAAGCATTGCCTAATCTAAGGTCACAAATATTTGTACCATTTTTTCCTAAACATTTACAATTTTAGTTATCACATTAAGGTCTTTGGTCAGTTTTGAATTAATTCTCATATATGGCATGAGGTAGACAAATTTTTCCTTTTACATGTGGATATCCAGTTGTCCCAGCACCATTTGTTGAAGACTATTCGTTCCTCATTAAATGCTCTTGGCACCCTTGTTGAAAATCAATTGCATGTAGATGAATGGGTTTATTTCTGAACTTTAAATTTGATTTTATCAGTCTATATGTCTATTCTTACACCATTATCACACTGTTCAGATTATTGTGACTTTGAGGTAAGTTTTGAAATTGAGAAATTTGAGTGCTCCCACTTTGTTCTTCTATTTCAAAATTGTTTTGGATATTTAATCGTCTTTTCATTTCTATATAAATTTTAGAATAATTTTTGTCAATTTCTGCAAAAAGACAGAATTTTGATAGGGGTTGCATTAAATCTGTAAATCAATTTGGGAAGTATTTTCAGTTAAATTATATTAAATCTTCCAACTCATGAGCATGAGAAATCTTTCCATTCACTTGGGTCTTCTTTTTCTTTCAAAAATATTTTGTAGACTCAGCGGACAAGTCTTACACTTCCTTCATTGCACTATTTCCTATGTATTTAATGTTTTATGCTATTGTAAGTATCATTGTTTTCTTCATTTAACTTCCAAGTTGTTCATTCCTATTACAGAAAAGAAATGCAGCTGATTTTTGCATATTGATCTAGTATCTTCAAACTTTGTTGAAATTGTTTATTAGCCCTAATAGATTTTTGTGAATTCTTTTGAGTATTCTACATGTAATATCATTTCATGGCTTAATGGAGATAATAATGCTTCTTCCTTTCCTCCGAATGCCTTTAGTTTCTTCTTAGCCTAATTGCCTTTGCTAGAACTTTCAGCACATTGTTGAACGGAAGTGTCAAGGGCAGACATTCTTTTCTTGTTCCTGTTTTTAGGAGAAAACCTTTTAGTCTTTCACTATTAGGTATGATGTTAGCTACACTTTTCTTATCGATGCTCGTTATCAGGGTGAGAAAATTGTCTTGGATTTATGATTTCTTGAGTGTCATCATGAAAGGACACTAGATTTTGTCAAATAATTGTTTATGTCTTTTGAGACGATTGTGGCTTTTTTTCCCTTTATTCTACTAATATTGATTGATTTTGCAGATTTAAAAAAACTTCTTTTTTTTCTTCTTTTTTTTTTTTTTTTGAGACAGGGTCTTGCTGTGTCACCCAGGCTGGAGGGCAGTGGTGCAATCTCACCTCACTGCAGCCTCTGCTTCTCGGGTTCAAGCGATTCTCTTGCCTCAGCCACCGGAGTAGCTGAAATTACAGTCGTGCGCCACCGCGCCCAGCTAAATTTGTATCTTTAGTGGAGATGGAGTATTGCCATGTTGGCCAGGCTGGTCTCGAACTCCTGGCCTCAAGTGACCTGCCTGCCTTAGCCTCCCAAAGTGCCGGGATTACCGGCTTGAGCCACCGCCCACAAGCCAATTCTTAAAATAAATTGCACTTGGTTGTGGTGTATAATCCTTCTAATGTATTGCTAGATTCCATTTTAAAGTATTTTGTTAAGAATTTTTGTATCTTTATTTATAAAGAATACTGGACTAGTTTTCATTTCTGGTAATGTCTTTGTCTTGCTTTCATATCAGGGTAATACTGGTCACATAAAATTAGTTTGGAAATGTGTCATAATTTTTTAAAGACTGTAGGAAAGCTTAGCCTTCATTATTCTTTAAACGTGATTAAATTCACTAGTACAGCCATCTGGTCCTGGATTATATTTTTGGAAGTTTTTGATCACAGACTCACTACCGTCACTTGTTATATGTCTATCTGTATTTTTTATTTCTTCTTGACTCAGTTTTGGTAGTTTATTTGTAGAAATTGTCCATCATTTTATTTAGGGTATCTAATTTGTTGACATACAATTATTCATAGGGTTCTCTTATAATTTCTTTTATCTATGTAAGTTGGGTAGTAGTATCCCCACTCTTTTTTTTTTTTTTTTTTTTTTTTTTTTGAGACAGAGTCTCGCTTTGTTGCCCAGGCTGGAGTGCAGTGGCGCCATCTCCGCTCACTGCAAGCTCTGTCTCCTGGGTTCACGCCATTCTCCTGCATCAGCCTCCGAAGTAGCTGGGACTCCAGGCGCCCGCCACCACGCCCGGCTAATTTTTTGTATTTTTTTAGTAGAGACGGGGTTTCACCATGTTAACCAGGATGGTCTTGATCTCCTGATCTCGTGATCTGCCTGCCTCAGCCTCCCAAAGTGCTGGGATTACAGGCGTGATCCACCGCGCCTGGCCTTTATTTTTAATTTTAGTAATTTATGTATTCTTCCTTTTTTCCTTGGTCAGTATAGCAAAAGGTTAGTCAAGTTTCTCGATCTTTTCAAATAATCAACTTTTGGTTTTGTTGATTTCTCTACTGTTTTGTTATTCTCTATTTCACTTTGCTCTAATATTTATTATTTTATTTTTCCTGCTTGCTGTGAATTTAATTAGTTCTTCTTTTCCTGGGTTCTGAATTTCGAATGTTAGCTATCTATTTTATTCATTCTTTTTTAAGGTAAGGGTTTACATCTATAAATTTTTATCTGAGCTTAGCTTTTGCTGCATCCCTGATTGTATTTTCATTTTCGTTCTTCTCCAAGTATTTTTCAATTCCCTTTGTGATTTCTTCTTGGACACATTGGTTATGTAGGGGTATGGTGTTTAATTCTCACATATTTGTGAATTTTTCAGTTTTTTTTTTCTGTTACTGATTTTTAGTTTCATCCCACAGTGATTGGAGAAAGTATTTTGTATGATTTTAATATTTTAAAATTTTCTGAGATTTATTTTATGGCCTAACGTGGACTATTCTGGAGACTGTTTTGTGTTTACTTAAGAAAAAAATATGTATTCACCTGTTGTTAATTGGAGTGTTGTATAGATGTCTGTTAGTCTACTGGTTTATAGTGTTGCTCAAGTTTTCCATTTTCTTACCGGTCTTCTATCTAGTTATTTTGTATTATTAAATTTAGAGTATCAGAATATCCATACTTTTTAGCTATTCTCTCTTCAGTTATATTAGCATATATGTATTTCAGGGCTCTCTTATTAGGTGCATACATATTTATAATTATTATATCTTATTAATGGATTGACCCTTTTAATATTATACAATATCCTTTTGGTTATAAAAATTTTGTCTTGAAGTCTATTTTGTCTGACATTAATATAGCTATTTCTGCTCTTTTTTGGTCACAATTTGCATGAAATATTATTTTCCATTCTTTTTTTTCAAACTACTTGTGTATTTTAATCTAAAATGAGCCTCATAGATAACATATAATTGGATCATGTTTTTAAATATATTCTCTCAATCTCTGCCTTTAATTGTAGAATTTAATTCATTTACATGGACTATAATTCCTAATAAGGAAGGATTTCTGCCATTTTTCTATTTGTTGTCTATATATCTTATATCTTTTTTGTTCTTCAATTCTTTCATTCCTCCATTATTGCCTTCCTTTGTATTAAATATTTCTAGTGTATCATTTTAATTATCTTGTTCTTGTACTACTTTTTTTTATTTTTTCATTTTACTTTAAGTTCTGGGATACAAGTCCAAAACGTGTAGGTTTGTTGCAAGGTTTACCTGTGCCCTGGTGGTTTGCTGCTCCTAGCAACCCGTCATTTAGGTTTTAAGCTCCACATGAATGAGCTGTTTATCGTAATGCTCTCCCTCCCCTCGCGCCCCCATCCCCTGACTGGCCCTGGTGTGTGTTGTTCCCCTTCCTGTGTCCATGTGTTCTCATTGTTCAACTCCCACTTATGAGTGAGAACACGTGGTGTTAGTTTTTCTGTTCCTGTGTTAGTTTGCTGAGGATGATGGCTTCCACCTTCATCCATGTCCCTGCAAAGGACATGATCTCATTCCTTTTTATGGCTGCATAGTGTTCCATGGTGTATATTTACCACATTTTCTTTTCCAGTCTATCACTGATAGTCATTTGGGTTGGTTACATGTCTTTCCTATTGTAAATAGTGCTGTAATAAACATATGTGTGCTTGTATCTTTACAGTAGAATGATTTATGATTCCTTTGGGTATATGCCCAGTAATGGGATTGCTGGGACAAATGGTATTTCTGGTTCTAGATCCTTGAAGAATCACCACACTGTCTTCTACAATGGTTGATCTGATTTACATTCCCACCAACAGTGTAAAAGCATTCCTATTTCTCCAGAGCATCACCAGCATCTATTGCTTCTTGACTTTTTAATAATCACCATTCTGACTGGCATGAAATATTATCTCATTGTGGTTTTGATTTGCATTTCTTTAATAATCAGTGATGTTGAGCTTTTTTTTATGTTTGTTAGCCGCATAAATGTCTTCTTTTGAGAAGTGTCTGTTCATATTCTTTGCCAACTTTTTAAGGGGGTTGCTTTTTCTTGTAAATTTGTTTAAGCTCCTTGTAGATTCTGGATATTAGACCTTTGTCAGATGGGGAGATTTCAAAAATTTTCTCCCATTCTGTAGGTTTCCTGTTCACTCTGATGATAGTTTCTTTTGCTGTGCAGAAGCTCTTTAGCTTAATTAGATCCCATCTGTCAGTTTTGACTTTTGTTGCAAATGCTTTTGGCATTTTCGTCATGAAGTCTTTGCCCATGCCTATGTCCTGAATGGTATTGCCTAGGTTTTCTCCTAGAATCTTTATGGTTTTGGGTTTTACATTTAAGTCTTTAATGCATCTTGAGTTAAATTTTGTATAAGGTGTAAGGAAGGGGTCCACTTTTAATTTTCTGAATATGGCTAGCCATTTTTCCCATCACCATTTATTAAAGAGGGAATCACATCATCTGCAAACAGAGACAATTTGACTTCCTCTCTTCCTATTTGAATACTTTTATTTCTTTCTCTTGCCTGTTTGCCCTGGCCAGAAGTTCCAATACTATGTTGAATAGGAGCGGTGAGAGAGGGCATCCTTGTCTTGTGCTGGTTTTCTATCTCTGGTGGAATTCAGCTCTGAATCAGTCTGGTCCTGGACTTTTTTTGGGTGGTAGACTATTAATTACTGTCTCAATTTCACAGCTTCTTACTGGTCTATTCAGGGATTCACCTTCTTCCAGGTTTAGTCTCGAGAGGGTGTATATGTCCAGGAATTTATGCATGTCTTCTAGGTTTTCTAGTTTATTTGCATAGAGGTATTTATAGTATTCTCTAGTGATAGTTTGTATTTCTGTAGGGTCAGTGGTGATATCCCCTTTATCATTTTTATTGTGTCTATTTGATTCTCCTCTCTTTTCTTCTTTATTAGTCTAGCTAGTGGTCTATTTTGTTAATTTCTTCAAGAAATCAGCTTGTGGATTAATTGATTTCTTGAAGGGTTTTTTTGTATCTCTATCTCCTTCAGTTCTGCTCTGATCTTAGTTATTTCTTGCCTTCTGCTAGCTTTTGGATTTGTTTGTTGTTGCTCCTCTAGCTCTTCTAATTGTGATGTTAGGCTGTCATTTTTGAGATCTTTCTAGCTTTCTGATGTGGGCATTTAGTGCTATAAATTTCCCTCTTAACACTGCTTTAGCTGTGCCCCAGAGAGTCTGGTATGTGGTCTTTGTTCTCGTTGGTTTCAAATAACTTCTTGATTTCTGCCTTAATTTCCTTATTTACCCAGGAGTCATTCAGGAGCAGATTGTTCAATTTCCATGTAGTTGTGTGGTTTTGAGTGAGTTTCTTCATCCTGAGTTCTAATTTGATTGCACTGTGGTCTGAGAGACAGTTTGTTATATTTTCAGTTCTTTTGCATTTTCTGATGAGTGTTTTACTGCCAACTATGCAGTCGATTTTAGAATATGTGTCATGTGGCACTGAATAGAATATATATTCTGTTGATTTGGGGTGGAGAGTTCTGTAGATGTCTATTAAGTCCACTAGATCCAGAGCTGAGTTCAAGTCCTGCATATCTTTGTTAATTTTCTGTCTTGTTGATCTAATATTGACAGTGGGGTGTTAAAGTCTCCCATTATTATTTTGCGGGAGTCTAAGTCTCTTTGCAGGTGTCTAAGAATTTGTTTTATGAATCTAGGTGCTCCTGTATTGGGTGCATATATATTTAGGATAGTTAGCTCTTCTTGTTGAATTGATCCCTTTATCATTATGTAATACTCTTCTTTGTCTTTTTTTATCTTTGTTGGTTTAAACTCTGTTTTGTCAGGGACTAGAATTGCAACCCCTGCTTTTTTTGGCTGAGATTACAGGCATGGGCCACCATGCCCAGCTAATTTTGTATTTTTGGTAGACACGGGATTTCTCCATGTTGGTCAGGCTGCTCTCGAACTCCTGACCTCAGGTGATCCGCCCGCCTCGGCCTCCCAAAGTGCTGGGATTACAGGCGTGAGCAACCGGGCCCAACCTAAATCACATCTTTATACATCGTATGATCATGAACATACGTTTATATTTATTGCTTTATGCATTGACTTTCTTTTTATTGTATTTAAGATATACAATATTATGTTTGTGTATATATACATATATATATAGTGCAATGATTGCCATAATCAAGCAAATTAACATATCCGTCATCTCACATAGTTACTTTTTTGTGGTAAAAGTATCTAAAATCTGCTCTGGGCAAATTTCTGGAGTATGATACGTTATTAACTACAGCTCTTGTGTTGTACATGAGATCTCTAGGCATATGTATTTTATATAGCTGAAACTTGTACCCTTTGGCTTTCATCTTCCATCTTCCACACATCTCCCACCTCTTTCTAACCTTTCTATTTCTTAGGGCTTTTGTGGGGCTTTTTTGTTTAGGGTCTACCTATAAATGAGACAATGCAGTATTTTTCTTTCTGTGCCTGATTTATTATTAGCATAATGTCTTCTAGGTTCATCCATGTTGATGCAAATGAAAGAAACTTCTTTACAAAACTGAGTGATATTTTATTATGTATATAATTCCTTTATCCATCTGTTCATAAACACTTAGGTTTTTTCAATATCTTGGGTAATGTGAGTAATGCTGCAATGTGATGTGCAGTTGTTTTTAAATCAGAAGAAAAGAGGATATTGCTTATATATACTAAAGTTCCCTTTATTAAAGATACACACACACACACACACACACACACACACCAGCATTTTTACTCCTTTATGTGTTTGAAATTACTGTATAATGTTCTTTCATTTCAGCCCAAATCACTCCTTGTAGAATTTTTTATCATCCCACTGCATTCTTAAAAGAGGTCAGCTGTAAATTTACTGTGAATCACTAATAACTAATCTTCCCTTATCTGCAATTTTACTTTCCATGGCTTCAGTTACCTATGGTCAACTTTCACCTGAAAATATTAAATGGAAAATTTCAGAAATAAACAATTTTCAATTGCATGCCATTCGAGCAGCATGATGAAATCTCATGCTATCTGGCTTCATCCCACTTGGGATGTGAACCATTCCTTTGTCCAGAATATTCATCCTGTATATGCTACCGACCCATTAGTCAATTAACACCTGTCCTGGTTATCAGATTGACTGTCACGCTATCACAGTCCTGTATTCAAGTAACCCTAATTTTACTTAATAATGGCCCCAAAATGCAAGAGTACTCCCCCAATTTATATAATAAAATTATCAAATTTTAAATTTTGATTAAATGTTATTGTAAGTATGTATTAAAAAACATAATATGTGTATGATTCAGTACTATCCATGGTTTCAGGTATTCACTAGGAGTTTTGAAATGTATCCCTCATGGATAAGAAGGAACTACTGTAAATGATAAGTCTCTTCTCTCCTACTGTTTTCAAGATTTACTCTTTGGCTTTGGATTTGAGCCATTTGGTTATGATATGTCTTCGGGTGGTTTCTTTCAGTTTATCCATCTAGAGTACATTGAGCTTATTGTACATGCAGGTTAAATTTTTTATAAAATTTGGTAAGCATTAGACAATTATATCTTCAAATATATTTTCTGTACCTTTCTCTCTCTCTTTTCTTTTTGGAACTTCCATTATGCATATGTTGATATCTTGATGGTGTTCCACAGGTCTATTAGACTCCATTTATTATTCTTCATTCTTTTCTCTGAGATTTTCCCTAACTGGATAATCTCAATTGACCTATTTTCATGTTCACTAATTTTTTGTACCTCCTCAAATCTGCTGTTTAGCCCTCTAGAGTATTTTTCATTTCCATTATTTTATCTTTCAACTCCAGAATTTCTATTTGGTTTCTTTTTAAAAGAACATTATAAAATAAATAATTTTTTTAAAAAAAAATTATTGATAGCCTCTATTTTGTGAGATATCATTCTCATGTTTTTTTTAATTGTCTCTTGTTGATATTCTCTATTTTTGTGAGATATCATTCTCATGTTTCTCTTTAGTTCCTTAGATGCCGTTTCCTTTAGCTCTTTGAACATATCTAAAATAGTTGATTTAAAGTCTGTTTCTATTAAAGCCAATGTCTGGATCTCCTCGGGATAGATTTCATTAACTGAATGTTTTCTTTTCCATGTGCCATACTTTCTTGGGTTTTTTCTTTTTGCATGTCTCATACTTTTTTTGAATACCAGACATTTTAAACATGATAATGTGGCCACTCTAGAAATAAGATTCTCCGTCCTCCCCACGTTGTACTCCTCATTGTAGTTATTTGTTTGTTCAGTATCTTTTCTGAATAAACTTTTTGGTCTCTATTTTTTGTCACCTATGTCGATTAAAATATTTTTTCCATTAGCTTAGAGGTCAGCTAATAATTTGACAAAGATTTCCATATGTGTTTGGAACTTGCAGAGGGGCTTTGTGTATGTGTTGGGCCCTGCTTTCAACACTCAGACAGACAGATTACGACTCTGCCTTGGCTTACACTTTCTGCTTGTGCAGGGAAGGTAGAAATTTCCCAGGTTTTTTTTTTTTTTTTTTTTTTTTTTTTTTTGAGACGGAGTCTCGCTCTGTCGCCCAGGCTGGAGTGCAGTGGCGCGATCTCAGCTCACTGCAAGCTCCGCCTCCCGGGTTCACGCCATTCTCCTGCCTCAGCCTCCCGAGTAGCTGGGACTACAGGCGCCCGCCACCACGCCCGGCTAATTTTTTGTATTTTTAGTAGAGACGGGGTTTCACCGCGTTAGCCAGGATGGTCTCGATCTCCTGACCTCGTGATCCGCCCGCCTCGGCCTCCCAAAGTGCTGGGATTACAGGCGTGAGCCACCGCGCCCGGCCATTTCCCAGGTTTTTACTAAACATGCACACAGCCTTGACATACACAGTTTTGCAAATTCTCAGAAATATGTTGAAGCTTTTCAAAGCCCACATTCCCCAAAGCATCTCATTCCCAGGACTTCCTCTGAAGACTTTTGTTTAGTCTATTGTTTTCCCCAGTGTTCAGGCGACAGTATTTATAATGTTTTTCTGTAAATGTTTTCTAATACCGCCCCACACCAAGTAGCAGCTTTACCACTGCGTGAGGTCCAGGTTAGGTGAAAAAACAAGGCTTCTGAGAATATATTACAGGGAGTCAACAGGCAGACCAATTTTTCATGAATGAGGTCCATTCTGTTTCTTCTGGCATTGGTGTTAAGAATCTGGGCATTATTTTCAAGCCTGCTGCTTCTCTGTGAAGAATGGAAACAGGGTAAGTTAAAAACCACAAATCGATGTTCTTACTGAGACCAGATATTTTGCTAGAATTAACACTCCCTAGATTGCTGAAAACCTTAGGTTAGTTTTCAGAGTTCTAAAAAGCTTTATGTTGACAGTTGTTGCCAGTTTTATCGTATATTTTATAAAGAGATAAAATTTTGAACATTTTTATTCCACTTTTGCTGATCTCACTATACCACAACCTTTTTATTATACTCTTTGTACCGTATAATTTATTCATTATACTATTATTATTACTTATTAGTCACAACAATTCCCAATATTGAAAATGAAGGACAATAAAATTCTGGCAATTTTATTCAAGAGCATAATGGATTGAACCATGTAAAACTGACATTTTTGAAACTGAAAAAAAAGTTATAGCTACTGTGGCACATTGCATTTTTCAAAAATGCATTTCCAAAAATTTAGTTTTCTAAAAATATATATTCCATCCCACAAGATCTTTTTATAATGTAACATTGATACTCCTCCACTGAGAGGTGAAGTCTATGTTCCCTCTGCTTGATCTGAGGCAAACCTTTGTAACTGCCTTAACTAATAAATACAGTGCAGATGATGCTTTCTGACTTCTCAGGCTACATAATAAAAGGTTATATGACTTCTGTTTGTATCTCAGTCTTCAGAACCACTAGTTGAAAGACTGGAAATCTTAGCCAGAGCAATCAGGTAAGAGAAAGAAATAAAAGGCATCCAACTAGAAAGAGAGGAAGTCAAACTATCTCTCTTCGCAGATGATATGACTCTATAATGAGAAAATTCCATAGTCTCTGCCCAAAGGCCATAGACCTGATACTCAGTAAAGTTGCAGGATGAAAAATCAATGTATAAAAAATCAATATCATTTCTATACACCAAGCTGTGAGCCACACCAAGAACAAAATTCCATTCATAATAGCTGGAAGAAAAAATAAAAATACCTAGGAATACAGCTAACCAGGAGGATGAAAGATCTCTAAATGAGAATTATAAAACAATGCTGAAAGAAATAAGGGATGACACAAACAAATGAAAAAACATTCTATGCTCATGGATAGGAAGAGTCAATATTCTTAAAATGGCCGTACTGCTCAAAGCAATTTACAGATTCAGTGCTATTCCTATCAAACTATCAATGACATGTTTACAGAGTTAGAAAAAACTATTTTAACATTCATATGAGACCAAAAAAAAAAGAGTCTGATGAGTGAAAGTAATCCTAAGCAAAAAAGAACATCACTGGAGGCATCACATTACCTGACTTCAAACTATATGACAAAGCTGCAGAAACTAAAACAACATGGGACTGGTACAAAAGCAGACACATGGACCATTGCAACAGAATCTCTATTCCAGAGATAAAGATTGCTGTAACACAGAAATAAAGCTGCACACCTACAACCATCTGCTCTTTGACAAAGTTGACAAAAATAAACAATGGGGAAAAGACTCCCTGTTCAATAAATGGGGCGGAGATAGCTGGCTAGCCATATGTTAGAAGGATGAAACTGAATGCCTACCTTTCACGATATACAAAAAACTAACTCAAGATGGATTAAAGATTTCAATATAAGACCTCAAACTATAAAAATTCTAGAAGAAAATCTAGGAAACATCATGTTCGACATTGGCCTTGGGAAATAATGCATGACTAAGTCCTCAAAAGCAACTGCAACAAAAACAAAAATTGACAAGTGGAGCCGAATTAACTAAAGAGTTTCTGCAGAGAAAAAAAAAAAAAACTGTTAACAGAGTAAACAGCAAACTACAGAATGGGAGAAAATATTTGCAAACCATGCATCTGACAAAAGTCTAATATCCAGAATCTATAAGGAATTTAAATCAACAAGCAAAAACTAAAACCTTTATTTAAAAATTTGGAAAACATGGACACTTCTCAAAAGCAGACATACAGAGAGACACCCAACATATTTTTAAAATGCTCAGTATCACTAATAACTAGAGAAATGCAAATCAAAACCACAATAAGATCCCCTCTCACACCAGTCAGAATAGATATTATTAAAAGTCAAAAAATAACAGACACTGGTGAGGCTTTGGAGAAAAGGGAATTCTTATAGACTGCTAGTGGAAATATAAATTAGTTCAGCTATAGTGGAAAGTAGTCTGAAGATTTCTCAAAACACTTAAAATAAAAGCACTACTTGACACAGCAATCCCATTACTTAGTATATATCTAAAGGAATATCAATTATTCCACCATAAAGATACATGCATTTGTATGTTCATTGCAGCATTATTCACAATAGTAAAGACATGGAATCAACCTAGATGCCCATCAACAGCGGACTAGATAAAGAAAGTGTGGCATATATGCGCCATAGAATAGTATGCAGCCATGAAAAGAAAAAATCATGTCCTTTGCAGCAGCACAGATGCAGCTGGAGGCCATTATTCTAACCAAATTAACACAGAAACGGACAGCCAAATACCATACATTCTTACTTAAAAGTGGAAGCTATTGGGAGGCTGAGGCAGGCAGATCACGAGGTCAGGAGATTGAGACCATCCTGGCTAACACGGTGAAACCCTGTCTCTACTAAAAATACAAAAAATTAGCTGTGCGTGGTGGCGCACACCTGTAGTCCCAGCTACTCAGGAGGCTGAGGCAGGAGAATCGCTTGGACCCCGGAGGTGGAGGTTGCAGTGAGCAGAGATCATGCCACTGCCCTCCAGCCTGGGCAACAGAGCAAGACTGTGTCTCAAACAAACAAACAAAAAAAGTGGAAGCTAAACACTGAATACAGATGGACACAAAGAAGGGAACAACAGACACTAAGGCCTACCTGGGGTGGAGGGTGGGAGGAGGGTGAGGATTGAAAATCTACCTGTTGAGTAATACGCTGAATACCTGGGAAAATTATCTGTATACTAAACCCCCAGGACACACAATTTATCCATGTAACAAACCTGCACACGAAACACTTGAATGAGTTACATATACAAGAATGAGGGCATAAAAAAAAAAAGGACTTTACTTAGCACCTTTGTCAAAATCATTAAGCATGGATAAATATATATGGTCTTACCCATATGCAGACCATTCATATGATGGTCGTATCCTTGACTCTCTATTATGTTCTGTTGAACTATATGTCTCTTCTTATTTCAGTATCACAGTGTCTTCGTTATTGTAGCTTTGTCTTGAAACAAGGTAGTCTAAATTGTCTGGCTTTGTTCTACTTTTCAAAAAATCTTTTGAATATTAGTCTTTTGGAACATTTATTCAAACCTAAAATTATTAAGGCATAAATTATTAATGAGGAAATAAATTAGCAAATGCTCATAAATACATCAACTAACATGAAAATGATCAAAAGTAGTCAAATAAAAGCTATATAAAAGTTATATATATATGCATATATAATTTTTCAGAAAAGACTGACACCATATATGAAAGTTTACAAATTTAAAAAAATATCAATTCAAGGAAATATGCCAATAAGGAATTGAACAGAAGGTAAATTTGTTTTGGGTAAGTTGGATGTTGGTCAATTGATTCTTGATTAAAGCATGCTCTTAAGCTTTCAATATTTTGTTGCTATGTGGTGGGTTAGGGTGAAAGGTTAGGGGAATCTCTTTAAGCTGTAGGCTCAGAGTCTTTTGAGAGGAGCTGCGCACTTTACTCTGTCTTTTATCTTTCAACTCTCCTGATCTTACTTGTCTTGTTGTATGAGATAATTATACAAAGGATCAATAACGATGAAAAAATATTTGTTTTCAATGTGAATTAAATGTATCCACCTTTCGGATGTGATTAAGAACACCTCAGGGCCGGGCGCAGCGGCTCACGCCTTGTAATCCCAGCACTTTGGGAGGCCGAGGTGGGCGGATCACGAGGTCAGGAGATGGAGACCATCCTGGCTAACACGGTGAAACCCCGTCTCTACTAAAAATACAAAAAATTAGCCGGGCGTGGTGGTGGGCGCCTGTAGTTCCAGCTACTGGGGAGGCTGAGGTAGGAGAATGGCGTGAACCTGGGAGGTGGAGCTTGAGTGAGCCGAGATCGCGCCACGGCACTCCAGCCTGCAACCTGGGCGACAGAGCGAGACTCCGTCTCAAAAAAAAAAAAAAGAACACCTCACACAAGTGACAGCCTTTCTTTTAAGGACTAACTTAGTTAAAAAAAAAAAAATAAGAAAAACATAGCTTTTCATAAATGGACCTTAGAGAATACTCTTGTCCCTCTTGCAAAAAAACAACAACAACAAAAACAAAAACAAAACAAAACAAAACAAAAAAAAACAGTGTATTATGGAAATGTTTCCTTACAAGCCCTAGGACTTTTGCAGTAAGGATGTTCTGTACCCACATGGCTTTACTTCTTAGCCCCATTCAAAAAAGAAAATTAACTACAGGTATTAATTCACCTCTGGTGAAATTGAGAGCCATAGGAAAAGGAAAGGGTTAGCCATCTGGTTTCCTACAATTAGGTTAATTTGTCACAAAATTTAGAGACCTTCGAGTTTGGAAGTATTCCAACGGAAGCTGTTTTATGTCCTTTCTGTTAAGCTTCACTGAGCAAGAGGAACCTCAGGCCCCCAGAATTAAATAAAACCCCTGTGTTCCACCAGCCCTGATCACTCACCTCTCTATTGGGCACTCAACCATGAAACTCCATTCCCTTATTTCTGTTCTCCTCCTCTTTGTGACTTTAATACCAAAAGGTAAGATGGTGAATGATTGTAGAAGTCTATTGGGACGCCTAGACCGGAAGAGGTCTACTGAGATAATTATGCTGTGGCCATCCGAACTCAGACCCCAATTCACAGCCTTAGGAATTCAGAAATCCACCATGTTTCTCTTCTTTGGTACTAATGAGGCCACAATTGAGAAGCAGGACAAGGAGTTCTTTCAACAGAAAATGGGGGTTCAAGAGCTCGATAATTAGAAAATGGGGCCGAAATAGAGTTAGGGGTATAGAAGCTCTGATATGTGATTTAAAGGTTAGTAAATAAAGCAAACAGCTATCATCAAGGCTTCACTCTCCAAAAAGGAGAGTGAAGATGATAGTTCTTGATTCCAACTCGGTAGTGGATGGAAGTGATGTTGAGTCTATTGGTGAGGAATATTTGTGAAGGGTAGCAGTTAGGCAAATAAGACAGAGTTCAACAAGAAAATTTTGCATCAAATTATAAAAGACCAATAGAAATTTGGGAACAAGGGAATTGGGAAAAGAATAAACAGTGGCATGAAGCTTTAATGGCAAAATTTTAAGCATAAGACAAATAGTACAGAAAACCCTTCAAGACTCATAGTTGCATCCTTAGGGTCCACGATTCAGAAGTTTAAATATCGAAATGTAGAATCAAACTGAAAAGGGAATATAGAATCAAACATCTTCAGGGTGTTTCATCCAGATCCTGATAAGATATGATAAAATTATTATCTCCACTGTTAATAGTGGGATGTTCATAGCCCCCAAAATAAAGTGTGTGGTCAATGAGCAAAGATCTCTTCCTCCCTTTATCTCTGAGATTATTTTTTAAATAATTTCAACTTATATTGTAGATTCAGGGGGTACATGTGCATGTTTGTTATGTTGGTATATTTTGTGATGTGAGGTTTGGGGCATGATGGTAATCCCATCACTCATGTAGTGAGCATAGTACCAAATAGTTTTTTAATCCTTGTTTTCCTCCCTCCCCACTCTAGTAGTCTCCCATGTCCCATCTTTATGTCCATGAGTATCCAGTGTTTAGCTCCCACTTACAAGTGAGAACATGCAGTATTTGGTTTTCTATTTCTGCATTAATTTGCAGTCCTCCAGCTCATCCATGTTGCTACAAAGTATATGATTTTGTTCCTTTTTATGGCTTCATAGTATTCCATGGTCTATATGTACCACATTTTCTTTATCCAGTCCACCATTGATGAGCACCTGGGTTGATTCTTTGTCTTTACTATTGTGAGTAGTTCTGGGATGAACATAGGAGTGCAGGTATGTTTTGGGTAGAATTATTTGTTTTCTTTTGGACGATATACCCAGTAGGAATTGCTGGGTGGAATGGTAGCTCTGTTTTAAGTTCTTTGAGAAATCTTCAGACTGTTACATTCCCACCAACAGTGTATAAGCACTCCTTTTCTCCACAGCCTCATCTGCGTTTCTGTTATTTTTTTAACTTTTTAATAATAGCCATTCTCACTGGTGTAAGATAGTTCTCATTGTGGTTTTGATTTGCATTGCTCTAGTGATTAGTGGTGTTGAGCTACTTTTCATGTTTGCTGGCTGCTTCTATTATCTTTTTTTGAGAAGAGTCTGTTCATGTTTTTCATGTCTTTTCCCCACTTTATTTATTTTTTGCTTGTTGATTTAAATTCCCTGTAGATTCCGGATATTAAATTTTTGTCAGATGCATAGTTAGCAGATATTTTCTCCCATTCTGTTGTTTTCTGTTTACCCTGTTAATAGTTTCTTTTTCTCTGCAGAAGCTCTTTAGTTTAATTCGGCTCTACTTGTCAACTTTTGTTTTTGTTGCAATTGCTTTTGAGTACTTAGTCATAAATTATTCCCCAAGGCCAATATCTACAATGGTGTTTCTTAGATTTTCTTCTAGGAGTCTTATAGTTTGAGGTCTTACATTTAAATATTTAATTCGTCATGAGTTAATTTTTTGTATATGGTGAAAGATAGGCATCCAGTTTTATTCTTCTGCTTGTGGCTGGCCAGCTATCCCAGCACCATTTATTGAACAGGGAGTCCTTTTCCCGTTGTTTATTTTTGTCAACTGTGTCAAAGAGCAGATGGTTATAAATGTGCAGCTTTATTTCTGGGTTCTCTATTCTGTTCAAGTGGTTCATGTGTCTGCTTTTGTACCAGTCCCATGCCATTTTAGTTACTGTGGCCTTATAGTATAATTTGGAGGCAAGTAGGATGATGCCTCCAGTGTTGCTCTTTTTGCTTAGGATTATTTTGGTTGTCTGAGTTCTTTTATGGTTTCATATGAGTTTTAGAATAGTTTTTTCTATTCTGTGAAAAATGTCATTGGTAGTTTGATAGGAATAGCACTGAATCTATAAATTGCTTTGGGCAGTATGGCCATTTTCACAATATTGGTTCTTGCAATCCACAGCAGGGAATATTTTTCTATTTGTGTTACCTGTGATTGCTTTCAGTAGTGATTTGTAGTGTCACTTGTAGAGATCTTTCACCTCCTTGGTTAAATGTATTCATGGGTATTTAATTTTTTGTGTGGCTGTTGTAAATGGGATTGCATTCTTGACCTGGCTCTCGGGTTGAACATTGTTGGTGTATAGAAAGGCTACTGATCTTGTACATTGATGTTGCATCCTGAAACTTTACTAAAGTTGTCTATGAGGTCCAGGAGGCTTTCAAAGAATCTTTAGAGTTTCTTAAGTGTAGAATAATATCATCTATAAAATGAGGTAATTTGATTTCTTCTTTTCCTATTCGGATGCCTTTTATTTCAAAAGGCTGATTGCTCTGGCTCGTATTTCCAGTACTATGTTGATTAGGATGGTGAGAGGGGGCACTCTTGTTTTGTTCCAGTTCTGAGATTCTTTGAAGTGCAATCAAAGCTACTCAATTGTTTGATCTTTACCTAATCTGTGGACATGTTGAGATCCACCTCACATATGATTGCCTCCTTCTGAAGGAGCTTATGCAATTCTCATTTGGTTCTCAGCTTTGGTCAGAAGATACCATTGAGGTCAGATACACTTGTAGTGACATGTGATATGAAATTATATGATGGTAATAATTTCAAATTAAAATAAAATTTAGTGGCAGTTGTTTTTATTTTAGATAATAAAACCCATGTACAGATAAAGAATGTGATTTTCCTCCGATCACATAGGTAGTAGCAACATCGCAGCTAAAAGCAAATCTCTTTAATCTGGGTCAATGTTGTTTTTAATCAATCCATAGGTGGAGATATGCATACAAAAACGATAACTCTGATTTCTGCCAGACTTTTTTCTCAGAATCTTCTAATTATATATTGTGGAAACTAAGGAGGTTTTCTACCATATGTGACAACATGGATGAACCTGGAGGACATTATGCTAAATGAAATAAGCCAGTCACAGAAGACAAATAGTGCATGATTGCACTTATATGAGGTACCTAAAATAGTCAAACTCATGGAAACAGGTAGCAGAATGGTGCTTTCCAGGGACTGGGGAGGGAGGAGGAAATAGGGAGTTGCTATTTAATGAGTAAAAGTTTTCAGTTTTATTAGATGAATAAGCTCTAAATATCAACTGTACAATATTATATCTATAGCACTTAAAAATTTCTTAAGAATGTAGATCTCACTTTAAGTGTTACGACCACAATAAAATAAAAGATGAAGAACAAGAGGTTATTTGAGGTTGAAAGCTGAGTTAATCTCCCCACAAATACGACAAGAATCCTTCAGAGGCCTGCCTTTCAAGCCGTGACATCTTCCTGGAGGAATAGAAATATCAGCCCTTCTTTCTTCCTTCCAAATCAGCTATACCAGGAAGAAGGATTAAACAAAGGTCCTATAATTCTGCACAGGAGGGAATCACTTTTGAATAGCCAGGTTTCTTGTGATCAGAGGATATTAAAACCATACATAAAGGTCAAAATACCTTAGTTGTGCATATTGAGATGTTCTTGGACACATTATGAAGTGGGACCCAGAACACTCAGGTCGAAAAATAGGAATTTCAATATCAGTTTTGTATGGTCTCTTAGTACTGAATAGTTAATTGCTGAGCTGTCTATACAATTTAATAACACTGCACTCCAAAAATTCTGATCTTAATCTCTGCTGTGACTGTTGGGCATGTAGAATTTATCAGGTGTCTAGAAGCATTCTGATAATCTTAGAAATTTTATAACTCCTATATAACTTTTATGTCATAAAATTTCTTTTAAGAAAAATTGAGTGGCTAGATCATGAAGAGTTTTGTTAAAGACATTTTTACACCAAAAAAATCCAATTAAGTAAAAAAAGTTATTGTTTTCATGAAAAAATTTCTCCAAAGAAACTACCTAATCTGAAATATTAGTTTATCAGCTTAATGTCTGATGAATATTAAGTTATAGCTACTTGAATATATGTTTTTATATATCCTTATATTTAATCCAAAAAGAATCCATGGTATCCTATAAAAAATTGGAATAGTTCATATAGATTTATATGTACACATAAACATACATATATATGCTGGGAATATGAGTCTAAAGAGGTTAGAATGGCATAAATCTTGGATTGCTGCATTAGCTCTCTGAGAATTAAGAAAATTATAGCATTCTTCTTACACTGACTGTGGAGAATAACATAATATCTAAATACACGACATTGGACAGGAGCAGAAGACAGCCTGAACTCACATTATGTAGAGAAAAGGAAACTGCACTTCTATTTTTTGATTGATAAAGTTCCAGGCAGATCCTGTTCCATTTAAATCCTCTACATCATCCAAAAAAAAAAAAAACTTAAAAGTTACTGACTCAATGAGTTCTAATGCTAAGAAAGTTATATCCTTTTAGAAAGTAGATGAATGCGCTATTAAGGGTATTTTCCAGTGTGATTCTAAGTCCTTCTCACTGCATCCACAGAAATTAATGTTGTGATATAATATGAAGTGAACATCTAAATTGTTTCTTTTTCCAAAGGCACTTATTAAATATGCATCCTTTCCTCAACTGCCGTGTGATATAACCATTATAACATATTAATGTCAAATAAATTCTAAAGTGTATTAGAGAGTGCCTCTCTTCTTTTGCTCTATATGTATATACTTCTGTCAGTAAGTCTGAAAATAAATGTGAATATCTGGGAAGAAATTTCCTTCCTCATGAATGAAGAATATGAATCTGAATCTGAATTAAGTAATTTAATCTTATCTTTTTGACTTAAACTAGTGCCCTCGGCATGACGATATGTCACAGTCATCGGTAAAAAGGGAGATTATAATTCTTTGGCTTCATGCTCAAAGCATACCTCCTTAAATTAAGCTTCCCATGTAGCAAGAAGCACATCACTGGTAGGATGAATTGTTCCACTCCTTTTGAGTGAAGCAAGGGACATCTCCCAAATAGAGGAATTGGCACTGTCTTAGGCTACATGCTGTGTCAGTAGGCTGAACTTTACCGTATAGTGGGTTATGCATCCTGCTGAGAGGAAGTTCACTCTTTTGGCTTCAGCTGAAGATTCACATTCCACCTCATTTTGCATGGGATGCCTCTAAGTTCACACACATAGGCCTCCTTGATACCATACTCTGCCTCTGACTATATCTTTCCCAGTACTAACACCCCCTGATTTTAGCTTCATTTAAAAAGTCTGACAGTGTTGCCAGATGTTAAATGTATGGATGAAGTTATCAGGGAAAAGACCAACAGCTAGCAACAGGTCTGCTATGCTTCTGAGCATGAAGCCTGTGTTCTGTGTAGACAATGCAGTTGAACCAGCACCTTCCACAACTGGCTGGGGAGACTTCAGGTCTCTCTCTGAAAGTCAGCCACTTTCTCTTCCACAATAGTCTTGGAAAAAAGAGAGAATATTACAAGATATTGCCCAACTCCCCCATCATGATATTCTCTTGTGCACAGAAACCCTGAGTTTATGAACTGCTAGTCTGATAGTAGAGTATAATACCAGACTGCACTAGGTTGAAGCTTCTAACAAGAGTGGAAGACAATCTTGCATAGGTTATGAGCACTCAGTTCCAAAAGGTTGCATTGGTTTTTCTGGCTATGGATCTATTTCTACAGAGTAGAGAAACAATAATGATAGCCTAGTTTAAATACAAAACAATAACAAACAACAACAAAAAGATTGAGAGCTGAAACGGCCACCAAACTGTTACTCATCTACAGAAGCAAAGAAGCCAGAGGTAGTATATTAGAGGCCAGTAAAAACAAAATAAGATCCAGGTGTGTTAACAGGATGGTTCAGGAACTAATGTCTGTTAATGAACATCAGCAAAAGTGTTTTTCTTATATAACATCTGCAGTGATATACAGTAGGAAAAATAAACTATGGTTGTGCTGAGAAGGCAAGAGAAAGGATAGTAAGCATAGAGAAAACTACTGAATTAGAGCACACCCTTAGCCATATGCTTCTCCACAACCAGATGAATTAAGAGAACATGTGGATACACTTAAGGGAAAATACCTTTTAGCTCTGTGAGTAATTCTCTGCAGGTGTCTGTCTGTCTATCTATCTATCTATCTATCTATCTATCTATCCATTCCTCCATCTATCTATGAGGTATTGAGCAACATAGGAAAGGTATTTCTTACATAGTTCTGAAATGAGGAAATTAGTTTAGATAAAATCTCAAGGATTGATAGGCTTTCTATGAAAGGAGATGAAGATATGCACATGAACCATTTGATAGGGATGATGTATGCACAGATGGGTATTTGGAGGGACACATACTTCCTTTGAAACTGTTTCTTAGTGGTGGCATTGTTGGTGTTTGGTGCAAGACAATTCCTTAGGTGAAAAATTTAGCAATGCTGTGCTATCTGCTAAATACCAAAGACACCTTCCCTAGGCATGGTGGCAAGAACAAATGGTCCCACACATTTCAAAATGTACTGCAATAGGGGAGGACAATCCCTTTAAAGGATTTTAGAAATTGGCCTATTTCCTCCAAGGTGTATATAATCTACAATCTTAGCTCCCTTCCCATAAAAAGGCGCTGTTTCTGTCTGCGGGTCTGATCCTTTCATATAGACAATGTTTTCTTTCCTATCCCAAAGCCATTCTTCTGGGGGTTTATTGTTTTATGTATATTTTCAATAGTGAATTAATGATGTTCTTAAATTTCTTCCTGTGTAGGAAAGACTGGCGTTATTCCAGGACAAAAACAGTGTATTGCTTTGAAAGGGGTGTGCAGAGACAAACTATGCAGCACACTAGATGATACCATTGGTATATGTAATGAAGGAAAAAAATGTTGTAGAAGGTGGTGGATACTTGAGCCCTATCCAACTCCGGTTCCCAAAGGAAAATCTCCTTAGGTGGGAGCAAACGTTAAGCCCTTTGAACTCCAGAATGGATGGATAAATTTTGCAGACTCCTGCTTAACCCAATTCCTTATTCTTCCTTGACTGGAAATAAATGTTGTCCTAATCCCATGTGTACTGACTGCCTCCTGGAGCATTTCTTCTTGATGCACATGCAAGCCTCTTAAGAACTATAGGAATAAAATAAATAACAGAAGAATCTCATACCCTATAGGTACTTATAAAAAAATGTTTCTAAGAAAAAAAAGATAAAAATATTAAATACGTAAAACAATAAGAATATGAAGTATCAGTAGGCAGTGTTTGATTATTTGAAGTGCAATGTCAGTCTGCTTCCTCATCCAGTTCTGAACAAATATCATTTTCATTACTAATAGAGACCTACTTAGATAATATGGGTTAAAGCCTGCTAATCATGTGACCTTGCTAACATTGCACCTGAGAATTAGGCGCATGACCATTCCAGTCATACCAGCACTTGAAGCAGATCTCCCCTCTGCTGCCCCCTGCCCCTAGAGAAGTAGAAAAGAAGACCCGCTTTCTACAAGTAGGCTCACTAGGAGGAGCTGTAGAGCTGAAGAGTGGCTAACTTATCATGCCTGGTTCTTTCCAAACTCTCCATCAGATAAGTCCATTTCCTGGGGCCAAGAAAATTAAAGGGCAGGGAGGATACCAGGAGTATGACATGGCATGAGTGTCACAAAGATGGAAAACATCTAGAATGAGGCCAAATTACCTCACAAACAAAATTCAAGGGTTTGTATTTTTTTAACCACAGAGCTTATGGTCAATGAATCAGGGGAGGATGGGTTATCTCCCTATGCAGAGGAGATGTCAGGAGTCTATTAAAATAACTCAAATCTCATCTTCATGGATCTGTTTCTTCAATACTAGTCATTAATTTTTCTATATCTTCTCAGAATCACTCATGAACGGCATGTTACTCTGAGATCAGATTCTAAGCTAATCTCAGAATAATACACTAATACAATTTTTACCATATACATTTTACACATAGCTGAAAATTTACATCCTCTCTTCTTTGCCATCTTAAGTTATGTGCCACTACATTATCCAGTGTAGCACATTAGAGATTCTTTGATAATTAAATGACATTAAGAGACTTTAAAAGTCATAAATACCCTCCTATATTAAAATGCTAAAAAAGAAAAACTTCCCACATTTGAATATAAACAAGTGTTCTTATAAAATTTCTAGGCATAAATTGAAGTTCAAAGATTGAATCTCTTCTATCTCTATGTTAAAGCCCAAAGACATTAGAATCCAAATGAATTACTGCCTGAAATTATCTTCCCCTTGTTAAGTCCAAATTTTTCTATTAAATGTAAGCAAAAAAAAAAAAAAAAAAAGTCATCACCCATTTCTTATTCTCCGTCTTAGTGAAATAGTGAAAGTTTCTTCAGAGACTTGACATTGAATTAATATAACATCTCAACTCACTGAAGCAAAAAGAACTTTTTTTTTTGAGACGGAGTCTCGCTCTGTCACCCAGGCTGGAGTGCAGTGGCGCGATCTCAGCTCATTGCAAGCTCCGCCTCCCGGATTCCCGCTATTCTCCAGCCTTAGCCTCCCAAGTAGGTGGGACTACAGGCGCCCGCCACCACGCCTGGCTAATTTTTTGTATTTTTAGTAGAGACGGGGTTTCACCGTGTTAGCCAGGATGGTCTCGATCTCCTGACCTCGTGATCTGCCCGCCTCGGCCTCCCAAAGTGCTGGGATTACAGGAGTGAGCCACCGTGCCTGGACAGAACGTTTTTTATATCTGGGCAAGAAGAAAAAACAGGTAAGGGAAATGAAAAACATAAGGAACAAACAGAATCAGTCCAGAAAGTCTAATTTCTTTTTTTTTTAAGTGAAAGTTTATTAAGAAAGTAAAGGAATAAAAGAATGGGTATTCCATAGGCAGAGGAGCCTCTAATTTCTAATTCTGATTGTTTTTCTTAATTTTCTTTCGGATAATACTCTCGATTTTACCATACAGTATTGGCCATTTACTAAAGAAGTTCAGTGACAGATAATACAATATAAAGTAGAGCAATGTGTCTGATCTCCAGCACTGTCAACATTTTGAGAAGAACAATTTTTTTTTTTTTGCTGTGGGGAGCTTTCCTGTATATTGTAGGATGTTTAGCAGCCTCTCTTGCCTCTAAAACATTTCTCCCACCTGTGACCAAAAAATAAATAACTAAACAAACAAACAAATAAAAATCTCTAACATTACTAAAAGTCCTCTGAGGGCAACATTGTCCCTAGTTGAAAACCACTATAGTAAAGAAATTATCAGTTAAAGTTGAAAGTAAATAGGAGTTAGAAAATTCAATCAAGTAGAGATCTTTGCCTGTAAACTTTCAAAAAGTAGGACAGCTTCACATATAAAATAATAGATAAGAAAAGTCTTCTGACAATCCAAAGATGAATTATATCTCTTTATCTGAAACATATAGATCTAGAGATAACCCCTTTGGTTTTTTTACTGCTGTGCTAGTTGTTATAAATACCTGACCATATCTTAACCATTGAGATTTTAGGGCAATATTGTTCTGATATCTCATCCAGAGGTGCAGAAATCCACGTTTTAGGGACATTTAAAAGATTTCTGGGAAAAGGCTGTCTGTGCCTTTTGATAATAAGACTGGGTGAATTACATGCAATCTGTTGGAGTACTTGACTATATCTTCTGGAGAAGGCCATGTTTACTGTATACAATGATATGATTCTGTGCATGGAACATATTATATTGATACTAATTTATGAGGGCATAGTTGATAAACCCCAAAGGAATTAATTTTACTGTTATATAAAGGCAAAGGCAGGCCGGACGCAGTGGCTCACACCTGTAATCCCAACACTTTGGGAGGCTGAGGTCAGGAGTTCAAGACCAGCCTGGCCAACATGGCAAAACCTCGTCTCTACTAAAAATACAAAAATTAGCCAGGCATGATGGTGGGTGCCCGTAATCCCAGCTACTAAAGAAGCTGAGGCAGGAGAACTGCTTGAACCCAGGAGGCAGAGGTTGCAGTGAGCCGAGATTGTGCCACTGCACTCGAGCCTGGGCGACAGAGCGAGACTCCTTCTCAAAAAAAAAAAAAAAAAAAAAAGACAAAGGCAATACTATATATCATGAAAGCTTGAGATACTCTCAGACCTTTGCCAGTTGTACATTTAGAAGTTCGTTTTGTTCTTTCTATCTTTCTGGAAAATTTGATATGATCGAGACAATAGAGTTTCTGAATAAATGGCAAGTCACAAAAATACTAGAAAATAGTCCAAGTAAAATGGATTTTATTATCACTAGAAAAAGATTGCAATTTCCATATTCAAAATACAAAATAAAATATTTTTGCTGCTGTAAGAACCATAGCTCATATAACCTTGAAAGGTTTTTATATTAGATGTAAAGTAGTATGACACCCAATGATAGACTGTGGTGTAAAGAGCAATACTATGAACACTAAAGCAACTCTTAAATAACACAACAGTTTAATAAGAAAAAAAATGACTAATTACAATGACCCATCTACTTGAAAAAAAGAAGAAAAAGAAATCAAAGAACAAATGAAGCAGAACATCTGTAAGATGGCTAAGTAGAAGATCCCCAGCCTTCGTCCACCCACAGAACACTGATTTGGCAACCATCCATTGATAAAATATCTTTGTGGTAACATCAGGACCCAGTCAGGAGTTCATGACAACCCACTAGAGCCCAAGACCAAGGAAAACTGCTTTGAGAAGGCAGGCCCATGTCCTGGGAGTAGGCTCACCAATCATAGACCTGGCCATGAACACAGAAACACCGCCATCTGCCTGTGGACCCTGCTGCAGCCCTGCTCACAGGTGGTTCCAGATGCAGCCTCAAAAGTCATTCCCAAAAGTCATTCAGGAGCAGGTTGTTTAATTTCCATGTAATTGTATGGTTTTTAGTGATTTTCCTAATATTTGTCTCTATTTTTATTGGGATGTAGTCAGAGAGTGTGGTTGGTATAATTTCGAGTTTTTTGAATTTGCTGATTATTGTTTTATGGCCAATCACATGGTTGATTTTAGAGTGTGTACCATGTGCACATGAGAAGAATGTGTATCCTGTTGTTGGGTGGACTGTTCTGTAGATGTCTTTTAGGTCCATTTGGTCAAGTGTTGAGTTAAGGCCTAAATATCTTTGTTAGTTTTCTCTCTCAATGATCTGTCGAATGCTGTCAGTGAGGTGTTGAAGTCTCCCACTACTACTGTGTGGTTATCTAAGTCTTTTTGTAGGTCCCTAATAACTTGTTTTATGAATTGCGCACACTTGTCTTGGGTGCATATATATTTAAGATAGCTAAGTCTTCTTGTTGAATTGAACCCTTTACCATTATGTAATGCCCTTCTTTGTCTATCTCTATCTTTGTTGGCTTAAAGTCTGTTTCGTCTGAAATTAGAATGGCAACCCCTGCTTTTTTGTTTCTCATTTGCTTGGCAGATCTTTCTTTGAGCCTTTACTTTGAACCTATGAGTGATGGGTCTCACATGCAATGACACTGAAGACAGCATACATTTGGGGCTTGCTTCTTTATCCAACTTGCCACTTTGTGCCTTTTAAGTAGGGCATTTAGTCCATTTATGTTCAAGGTTAATATTGCTATGTGTGGAGTTGATCTTGTTATTGTGTTGTTAGCTGGTTATTATGCAGACTTCATTGTGTGTTGCTCTATAGTGTCACTATCTATGTAATTAATTGTGTTTTGTGGTGGTTGGTACTCTTTCATTTCCATATTTAGTACTCCCTTAAGGACCTCTGGTAAGGCATGTCTGATGGTAACAAATTTCCTTAGCATTTGCTTTTCTGAAAACGATTTTATTTCTCCTTTACTTGTAAAGTTTAGTTTAGATGGATATAAAATTCTTGGTTGGGATTTCTTGTCTTTAAGAATGCTGAATGTAGGCCCACAATCTCTTCTGGCTTATAGAGTTTCAGCTTAACAGTCCACGGTTAGCCTGATGGGATTCCCTTTGTGGGTTTCCTGCTCCTTTTCTCTAGCTGCCTTTAATACTTTTTCTAGGGGATGGTTGTCTTGTGTAGTATCTTGCAGGCATTCTCTGCATTTCCTAAATTTGAATCAACCTCTCTAGTGAGGTTGGGGAAGTTTTTATGGAAGATATCCTCAAATATGTTTCCCAAGTTGTTTGCTTTCTCTCCTGCTCTTTCAGGGATGCCAGTGAGTCATATATCTGGTCGCTTTACATAATTCCCTATTTCTCAGAGGTTTGTTCATTTTTTTGAATTCTTTTTTCTTTATTTTTGTCTAACTGAACGAGTCTTCAATCTCTGAGATTCTTTCCTCAGCATGGCCTATTTTTTTATTAGTATTATACTTTAAGTTCTAGGGTACATGTGCACAACGTGCAGGTTTGTTACATATGCACACATGTGCCATGCTGGTGTGCTGCACCCATTAACTCGTAATTTACACTAGGTATATCTCCTAATGCTATCCCTCCCCCCTCCCACTACCCCATGACAGTCCTCAGTGTGTGATGTTCCCCTTCCTGTGTCCAAGTGTTCTCATTGTTCGATTCTCACCTATGAGTGAGAACATGCGGTGTTTGGTTTTCTGTCCTTGGGATCGTTTGCTGAGAATGACGGTTTCCAGCTTCATCCATGTCCCTACAAACAACATGGAGTCATCCTTTTCTTATGGCTGCATACTATTCCGTGGTATATGTGTGCCACCTTTTCTTAATCCAGTCTATCACTGATGGGCATTTGGGTTGGTTCCAAGTCTTGCTATTGTGAATAGTGCTGCAATAAACATACGTGTGTATCAGCATGCCCTGTTTTGCTGTTAATACTTGTGATTGTATTATTAAATTCTCATAGACAGTTTTTCATATCTATCAGATCAGTTTTGTTCTTTCTTAAAAGGGCTATTTTGTCTTTCAACTCATATCATTTGATTAGATTCCTTAGATTCCTTGAATTTGGTTTCAACTTGCTCCTGAATCTCGATGATCTTCATTCCTATCTTGATTCTAAATTATATGTCTGTCATTTCAGCACAGTTAAGAACCATTGCTGAGGAACTACTGCAGTCCCTTGAAGGTGAGAAGACACTCTGGCTGTTTGAGTTGCCAGAGTTCTTGTGCTGCTTCTTTTTAATCTGTGTAGACTGATGTTTCTTTAATCTTTGGTGTTCTTGTCTGTATTAATCTGTTCCCAAGCTGATAATAAAGACATACCAGAGAATGGGTAATTTATAAGGAAAAAGGTTTAATTTGCTCACAATTCCACATTGTTAGGCTGGGGAGGCCTAACAATCATCGCAAATGAGGAGCAAAATTACGTCTTACGTGGTGTCAGGCAAGAGAGTTTGTGCAGGGGAATTCCCGTTTATAAAATCATCAGATCTCATGAGAGCTCACTCATGGGGGAACCACCCCCATGATTAAGTTATCTCCATCTGGTCCTGCCCTTGACACATGGGGATTTATTCAAGGTGACATTTGGGTGGGGACACAGAGCCAAACCGTATCACTGTCCTTTGGATGGGGTTTTCGCTCTTATATTCTTTGACATCTTTGACGGTTTGATTGTGGAATAAAGTGGGTTCCGTTGACTGGTGTCATTTCTGGGAAACTTCTGGGGGCCAAGGCTCAGCTCATTACTCCTGGGCTGTGTGCCCTAATCCTGGGAAGCTGGTACCAGGCTCCTGGCTTTTTTCTCTTGTCCCTTGAGGTGAGAAACCTGCTGCACTTGACATTGGACATTTTAAGTTCTAACTTAAGTTCTAACCGCAAAAGCACAGACAATGCATTCAAAAATAGACAAATTCGATTATAATCAAAATAAAAAGCTTATGCACACCAAAGAAAACAATTAAAGAGACAATCTGCAGATTGGGAGAAAATATTTGCAAGCCATACATCTGCTAAGGGGTTAACAGACAAAATTTATAAGGAACTCAACAACTCTACAGAAAGAAAACAAATAGTCCAATTAAAAAATGGGCACAGGAGGTGAATAGACATTTCTCAAAAGAAGACATACAAATGACCAATAAACTTGTGAAAAACTGTTCAACATCACTAATCATTAGGGAAATGGAAATTACAACCAGAATGAGATATCAGCTCACACCTGCTAGAATGGCTACTACCAAAAAGAGGAAATGTAACAGGTGTTGGAGAGTATGTGTAGAAAAGGGAACACTTGCACACTGTTGTAGGAATGTAAATTACTGTAGCCATTATGGAAAACTTATAAGTTTCTCAACAAAAATAAAAATAAAATTACCTATGACCTAGGAATCTCACGGCTGGGTATTTACTGAAAAGACTTGAAATTTGTATATTGAAGAGATGTCTGCATTTCCATGTTCATTGCAGCACTTTTTGCAATAGTCAAGTTTTGGAATCAACCTAAGTGTCTATCAACAGATAAATGGATAAAGAAAATATAGTATATATACAGAGTAGAATACTATTCTACCTTAAAGAAAAGAAACTTTTTTATTTGCAGCAACAAAGTTGGAATTGGAGAACTTTATGCTAAGTGAAATAAGTCTGGCACACAAAGACAAATATTACATGTTTCACTTATTTGTGGAATCTAAAACAGTCAAACTCAAATAAGCAGAGAGTAGAACAGTGGTTACCAGAGGCTGGGGATGGTAAAGGGATGAGGATATCATGGTCAAACAGTACAAAGCCTCAGCTGGACAAGAGAATTAGGTTTCTTTAAGATATACTGCACAGCATGGTGAATATAGTAAAAAATGTATTATACATTTCGAAATTGCCAAGAGAATACATTTCAACCATTCTCAAGACAAAAAAATCATGATTTTAGGTGATTGGTGTGTTAATTACCATGATCTAACTTTTCCACATTGAATTCATAAATCATAACATCACTTTGTACCCAATAAATAAGACAACTATAATTTATCAATTTGTAATTAATAATTTGTTAATAAATAAGATAACAGGCAAAAGATTTGAGTACTCATTTCACCAAAGAAAATATGTGAATGGGCATAAACACATGAAAAGATTATCAGAATCATTAGTCATTAGTGAAATGCAAATTAAAACCACAATGAGAAGCCACTTAACACACACTAGAATAACTATAATAAAAATGACCAGTGATAAAATATGTCCGTGAAGATGTGGCTAAATGAGGTCCCTTTACAATGCTGATGGAAATATAAAATAGTATCACCGCTTTGGAAAATAGTTTGGCCTTTTCTTAAAACTGATAAATATGAATATATCATACAATTTAATGATGCTATTCTTAGGTTTCTATCCCATATATTAGTATATGGATAAACAAAATTTACTATATCTATATGGAGAAATACTATTTCATAATAAAAAAGAACAAATACTAATAGATGATACATCATGGATGAACTTCCACAACATTATGCTGCATGAAAAAAGCCAGTGAATGAGTTTATATATAACCCCCACACTCCCAGTCTTCAGATTAAAATGTAGCCCCAGCTGACAGCTTTTGTCTGCAACCTCAACACAGACCTTTAGCCAAAAGCACCCAGTTAAGCCTCATCCCACAGAAACTTGTGATAATCAGTTTGTTGTTTTAAGCCACTACATTTTGGAATACCTTGTTATGCAACAATAACTAATACACTACCCCTGTGAAATTTCTATATTGTGCTTATTCTCTTTCATAAAATGTGTTGAGTAACCACCTAGATCAATCTGTAATCTCAATTATTCTTAAGAAATAGGAATTATCACACTTTGGGAGGCCGAGGCGGGTGGATCACGAGATCAGGAGATCGAGACCATCCTGGCTAACAGGAGGAAACCCCCATCTCTAATAAAAAATACAAAAAAAAAAATTAGCCGGGAGTGGTGGCGGGCGCCTGTAGTCCCAGGTACTCAGGAGGCTGAGGCAGGAGAATGGCGTGAACCTGGGAGGCGGAGCTTGAAGTGGGTCGAGATCGCGCCACTGCACTCCAGCCTGGGAGACAGAGCAAGACTGCGTCTCAAAAAAACAAAAAAGGAAATAGGAATTATCTATTTCTTCAGGATTGTACATAAAATCTTGCTAGTTCTAGCTCCTTTTGGTTGTAAAAGGATAGAACATTGACCACTTGTAAGTTTGTTTTGGTCAATATTATTCATTCGTATTTCCCTAAAAGTGTCCATTTCATTCACATATTCAGCATAGAGGGTTTAAAGGATTCTATCATGATATCAAAACACTTCTCTATCTGTAGTTTATGTTCCTTTTCTTCCCTGTATTATTTTTTTTCTCTTTTTCTCATGATCTTTTCCTAAGACTCATCTAATATATGAATCTTCCCATAAACTATCTAGTGGTCTTACTAAATAACTCTACAATGTTTCTTGCTTTGTTTTGTTTCTTATTTATGTGTGATATTATTTTTGTTTATTGCCTCCTATTTTGTTTCAGGTTTTTCTTCTTTTTATTTTGTTATTTATTTCGATTCTTCAGTTGAGCAGTACGCTGCTTTCATACTTTCATGAATTCTAGTAAATATCTTGAAGATCATAAATGACGGTTTTTATACCACTTTGGCTGCATTCCACAGGATTTCATTTATAGTGCTTTCCGTTTTTTCAGATCTAATTATTTTGTATTCATTTTTATGAATGCCTTAGCCCAAGTGTTATGTAGGAATGTGTTGTGTTTTAATATCTTTGTGTATGAATTTGGGAATATACCTTATTGTTATTGATTTCTGATATTAGCAACTTGCTGCAGGGAGCATGGCCTTTTTGATATCAATTTTATTTTAGAATTTATTCAATAATCATGGAAAGCCTCTCTGAGACGGTGACACAGGAACAAAGCCTGAATGAAATAGGGGGACAGAGTTTCCATAGAAATATCTTAGAAAAGAATAATCCTTGCAATGGTAATAGTAAAAACAGAGGCTATGAGGTAGAAATGAGTTTGAAATGTTTATGGAAGAGCAAGAAAACTAATACGTGTGGAACAGAGTGAAAAGAGGGAACAGTAGCAGGAAAAAAAAGATCGGAGAAATATTCAGCAACCAAATCAGGTAGGACATTGTGTGCCATGTAAACAGACTGGATTTATTCTATGTAGTTTTTTTAAAAAAACGTAATTAGATTTTCAATAAGGAAATAATTTGATTTAATTTGCATTTTAGAAACATATCTCTGGTGTCTGAACATAAATTAGAGTATGCAAAGCTCTGGTAAAAACATAGAGACAAGTTAGAGGGCTCTCTCCAGAGACACCAGTGACTTGGACAATGATGCAATGACAGAGGAAGTGTACAAAGGTTGGATTTAAGACACATTTTAGGCCGGGCCCAGTAGCTCACACCCATAATCCCAGCACTTTTGGAGGCCAAGGCAGGCGGATCATCTGAGGACAGGAGTTAGAGAACAGCCTAACCAACATGGCAAAACCCCATCTCTACAAAAACACATACAAAAATTAGCTGAGAATTTGTAGCTAGCACCTGTAATCCCAGTTACTCGGGAGGCTGAGACACAAGAATCGCTTGAACCTGGGAAGCAGAGGTTGCAGTGAGCAGAGATCGCACCATTGCACTCCAGCCTGGGTGACAGAGTGAAACTCTGTCTCAAAAATTTTTAAAAATAAAAAATAAAAGAGATATTTTAAAGATAGAACTGGGCTTGCTAATGGGTTGTAATTATGAAATGAGAGAATCAAAGGTATGCTCAGAGTTTTTGTTCGTTTTTGTTTTTTAACCTAAACAACTAGGTACATGAGCCCATCATGGAGAGAGCAAGACTAAAGGCAGTGTGAGTATTAACAGAGAAAGTGGTATGAATCAAAAATTCATTTTGGAATTCTTGAGTTGCTTATTAGACATCCAAAAGTAGATGTCAAGTAAATAGTTGAATTTTTTTATTCTGAAGCTTATAGGGAACATCCAGGCTAGAGCTAATACTTCATTTACACAGAGAGAGACAGCAACCTTGTGCCAATATGCTTCTCATAGCTATGAAGAGAATCTATCTATAGACTTGATCAACTCAAGTGCAGAAAGAGAAAAAAAAACTGCCTCCTAACAACTGATGGAGTGATTTGACTCATTTCGTTTGACCTTATGTCTATCATTTATTTTTACCTTATTTTCTATCTTTTTCTCTTATTTTGCTAGTTGAACAAAGTTATTATCCATTTTTTACCTCTACTGGAAAATAGTCTATACTAAGATTCTCCTTTCAATTAACAACGTATTGAAGTAAAGGTTTCACTCGCTCCACATAAGTTAAGCACACCTGCAACTCCAGCAGCCACTTGGGTCAGGAGACCTAGCCAGAAATTGATTTGGAAATAGTAGAGAAGCCCCTTGGGACAATCTCATAACATTTACGTAGTGAAAGTAGAAACACAAAACAATGCCCAAGAATGAAAGGATGATTACATAAATATATTATGAAATATCCATAAGATGGAATATTATGTAGAAAGTAAAAATTACTGTTTAGGAGTATTTGAAAATAGTATAGGAAAATATTTACATTAAAGTAATACTTATTAAATAAATAAAGCTATAGGTGAATCACAAGAATAAGAGAGAGAAATTTAATGGAAAGTAAATAAACTAAAATAGTAATGATCTTTTTAGTGATCAAGTAATGTGTTATATCTATTATCATGATAATCATTTTTTCCAATTTTACATGAAATAATCTTTAGAAATCAATAAAAATAAAATATACATATAGGATATAGGCATACCTGTGTTTGTCTACTCTTAGAGAAAAACTTGTGAGTGATTTAACAAAAGTGTATTCAATGGAAAGCTGAGGGAAAATGTCAGCCACGTGTGGGGTAAGAAGTGAATGAAAGATAACATGGAAATGAAGCGTAGAGACTATGATTTTCCTGAGGGGGAAAGGGAGAAGCTAGGGCATTCATTAAAAAAACAAACTAAATACAGGAAAGACAATTTTGTGTTTTGTTTTTAACGTGGCAGGAACTTGAGGATATTGACAGACTTCAAGTAAGGAAAACAATAGATGTAGAAAGCGGGCAGCGCCGGGCACGCAGCTCACTGCTGTAATCCCAGCACTTTGGGAGGCAGAGGCAGGCAGATCACTTGAGGCCAAGAGTTCAAGACCAGCCTGGCCGACATGGTGAAACTTCATCTCTACCAAAAATACAAAAATTAGCTGGGTGTGGTGGCACACACCTGTAATCCCAGCTACACGGGAGGCTGGCAGGAGATTCACTTGAACCTGGAGGTGGAGGTTGCAGTGAGCTGAGATCACGCCTCTGCCCTCCAGCCTGGGCAACAGAGTGAGACTCTGTCTCAAATAAATAAGTAAATAAGAAAAAGAAAACCGGCATTAACAAGAAGAAAAACAGATAATTAATGCATCAAAGTCCCCAAAGCTGTCAGTACTGCTGAAGGCAGGGTAGGAAAGTAAACAGTGAATACTTGATTATAAATTGTTTATTGAAAATCTGGTGCCTTCCTGGAGAGTTATGTGCAATAAAGCGCTATAATTTCTAGGTCAAATTTAATTATCTAATGGTAAATTGCCTTCTTTCTTCTTCTACTGTGACAGCTTATATTTGATAGGTTGATAGCTATCTGATTTTCTTCTTGGTGTTCTTTTAAGGAAAGTCATTGGTCAGAGCACTTGATCTTTCTTTGCTGAAGCCCTCTGCAATCTAAGCCATCTTTCAATGCTCATCTGGTACCTACTGGTCCACCCCCAGCATGCAATGAACCTTCCTCTGACCCTTCTTTGATATCCCTGATTGCTAGCCCATGGATTACGCAATGTTCTTGGGCTTCCTGGGCAGGATTCCAAGCCTACCTCCTGGCTCCAAATCTCTTAGGTTGGTGCAAACGTAATTGGGATTTTTGCCATTGAAAGAAATGGCAAAAACCACAATTACGTTTGCACCAACCTACATCAGGCTGGCAAACAAATGTTCATAGAAAATATCAAGCAGTGAAAATTATGCCCTTAGTGTTCCATAAAGGATTTCAGTTATTTGTTCTCATAAATTGTATTGCTTTGCAGTGTAAACTGTACTTCCAAAGCTTTTCCTCGTGATCAAGAAAGAAATAATTCTCAGAGAGGTGAGAAAAATCAGTAAATTCTGGATACTTGATCAGAGATACTAATGATCCTAGGCCATTCTGGCTTCAGTAAATGGAACAGTCATCAATAACCAGCACAATGACCCTAAGATCCCCCTTTGAGTTATCTAGGGTGCTGGCAGAGGCTTGTGCCCAGGCACCGCTGCCCCAGCAACTCAGGAGGAAGGACCTGAATGGAGGTTTAGGAAAAAACATCCCCAGAGCTTTCATGCCCCTCACTGGCCCTCCTTAGGCTAAGACTTGGGAAGTTTGCCTCTTCCAAGACCTCCCCATCCCTGACTCAAGATTTCACTTTCAAAGTCTCTAAAGGCAGGAAGGACCTGCTGAAATAATATAATCAGGTGTTCCATTCACTAACAC
The DNA here is from genome assembly GCF_000001405.40 of Homo sapiens. NCBI lineage: Eukaryota > Metazoa > Chordata > Mammalia > Primates > Hominidae > Homo > Homo sapiens. Next base: position 12,050,904 of record NC_000008.11, on the reverse strand, counting down.
TCTGAAGTATTATAGAAGTAGCACCAAGAAGAAGCCATGGCAGAAAGAGAACTTCCTTCTTGGTACTGAGAAAAGTTACTTCACCTGTAGTGAGACCATCTAGAAAGGAATGAAGGTCAAGTAAGACCAGGAACGTGCATGTACTTTACAGTTTCTGAAGCTGATATTCTGGCCAGATGTGGTGGGTCACCCCTGTAATCCCAGCACTTCAGGAGGCCGAGGCGGGTGGATCACATGAGACCAGGAGTTCGAGACCAGCCTGGCCAACATGGCAAGACCCTATTGCTACTAAAGATACAAAACTTAGCCAGGCATGGAGACGTGTGCCTGTAATCCCAGCTACTCGGGAGGCTGAGGCAGGAGAATCACTTGAACCCGGGAGGCAGAGGTTGCAGTGAGTCAAGATCGCACCACTGCGCTCCAGCCTGGGCAACAGTGTGAGACCCTGTCTATAAATAAAAAATAAATAAATAAATAAAGTTTACTCATACCCTGTTTAAGCATTCCCTACGGCACCCAAAGTATTCTGGTGATTATGTTCATTTCCTTAGTGTCTAAGAAGTAATTTGTACCTCTCTGTCAGAAATATGCTTGTGTTGCATTGCTATTTATTTGTATATATTATTTACTTTCCGAAGTGTATTATAGGTTCCCTAAGGCCCACTCTCCTTTCTTTAATTCCTCTCATATTACATGTAACTGATGTGCAAACAATTTGTGTTAACTTAGATTTCAATATAAAAATTAGTTTATCCCATTCGATCGATTGGACAGAAAGATAATCAAATAAAAGTTTTTCTGTATCTCACTAGTCTGTTTATAATTTCATATTTAATTCCATTGCTTAAGCATGCTAACACACGGTGCCAAAATAGTAATAAATAGGCATGCTGTTGTATTACGTGCTACTTCCTATTATCAGAAAAATAAAATGAATGCTTTTCCTCTATAACTGCTTCCTTAACTTTTACAGTTCCTCCAGAATGCATAAGACAATGCTGATATTTCAAGTCTCTCTCCTGCCTTTGACATGGCTGTGCTTTCTACTACCTTTGCACACACCCTCTTTACCTTTGATAAATGTACTTTAAATGACCGATAGTCGTGATGATTGCATGCTGTCTCCTGATATAAAATCTCATTGAAACACAGAAATGTTCTTGTTCCTGAAGGGTTCAATAATCACTCAGCAACTCACCTCTTCAGAGGAGTGAATATACACAGAAGTCCTCTTCATCTCAGCTACTGATTCTCTCTAACCTGCTTTACCTATTCAAACATGAGGGTCTTGTTTTTCGTCTTTGGAGTCCTTTCCTTGATGTCCACAGTTCCTCCAAGAAAGACAGAAACTTTTTTATTCCAAAGTTCTAAAACTATAAGTAAAAGAAAATGCAAGGTCTTTCAAGAGTCTGAAAATAAATTAGGCATGGGCAGATTTTACTGTACCATGAAGGCTGCTCAGAGGATTGAAGAGTTAATACTAAAGAAATAAATAAGGTGGTTCACTGCAGTGATTTAACCTATGATAAACTCACTCGAGGCCGGGCACAGCGTCTCATGACTATAATCCCAGCATTTGGGGAGTTTGAGGTGGGTGAGCTCAGGAGTTCTAGACCAGCCCGGTGGGGGCAACAGGGTGAAACCCCATCTCTACAAAAAAAAAAAAATAATCATACAAAATTTAGTCAGGTATAGTGGTGCGTGCCTGTGGTTCTGGCTACTCAGGAAGCTTAGGCAGGAGGATCGCTTGAGCCTGAGATGTCAAGGCTGCATTCAGCTTAGGTCATGCCACTGCACACCAGCCTGGGCAACAGAGTGAGACCCTGTCTCAAAAAATAATAATAATAATAAATAAACTTACTTGAGAGTTGTGTTTGATCAAAAGGTGGTGAGAGGATGCACACAGAACACAGGAAATTTAAAGAATTGGAAAAATGAAAAGCGAATGATGACTAGAAGAAGGGCTAGAGGTGAAGAGGTGGATACTCCACCATAATCCTTGGTTCACAGGATAAATTCACCACTGATCCAGGCAAGGACCTAGCCTCTGTGTTCCTTTAAAGTTGAATAAAACTCATATGATATCATTTAATGTATATGGAAATTACTTTTTCTACGGTGAGAGTTAAGATTCTACCTTAATTTTTAACCACATAACTAGTCAATTATATATAAGCATATTTATTAATCAATATGACTTTCCCAAATTAATTTTAAAATTCATCAATACCCCATAATAAAAACATATTAAACTGTGGTTTATACCTGAGATTTAGATTACTGGTTGACTTATTGATCATTTCTGAAGCACATTTTAATACTTCACGATTCAAGATTCCCTCATTTATATAATATTCATGATTCAAGATTCCCTTATTTATATAATTGTAAGTAATTATGCCTTTCCTCCATGAATGTTAGTGGGTTTTTTATATTTTTATTGAGATACAATTTACCATAAAATTCATTGCCTTAAAGTGTTCTATTCAGTGGTTATCAGTGTATTCTTAAAATTGTGCACCCCTCCCCATTATCTAATTCCAGAATATGTTTATAACCGCAAGAAGAAATCTCTCCTCCTCCCAGTCCCTAGCAACCACTGATCTAATTTGTGTCTCTATGTATATTCCTATTCTGGACATTTACTATGAACAGAATAATAAATATGTGATCCTTCATGTCTGCCTTCTTTCATTTAGCATAATGTTTTCAAGATTCATCCATGTTGTGGCATAGATTCGTACTTCATTCCTTCATTCAGTGGTCATCACTGTATCCCACTTTAAGAATCCACTGATACTCACTAAATGGAACACTCTCAAGGAATGAATTTTATATTAAATTCTATCTCAATAAAAATGTAAAACACCAACATTCACGGAGGAAAAGTATCATTCTGTATAATTATATAAATGATGGAATCTTGAAATAAATTTTAAAATGTGCTCTGAGGTAATATGCACCTCAGAAAAGATAAATAAGTCAATTGATAATCTAAATCTCAGGTATAAACCACAGTTTAATATGTATTTATTATAAAGTATTGGTGGATTTTAAAATTAATTTGGGAAAGTTAGATTGATCATTGGTGTTGGTAAAAAAAATTTCATCGTATGGATTATTTAGCATATGGTTGTTTATAACAGACTTTAATGATCCATTGTGTTTCTTTTATATCAGTTGTAATGTCTCCTGTTTTATTTCTGATTTTATTTATTTGGCATTCTCTCTTTTGTTCTTGGTTAGTCTAGCTAGCAGTTTATAAAGTCTGTTTATCTCTTCCAAAAGTCAACTTTTTGTTTCATTAACTCTTTGCATTTTTTAAATCTCGAATTCACTCAGTCCTGCTTTGATTTTTATTATTTCTTTCCTTCTCCTAAGTTTGGATTTCATTTTATCTTGTTTTTCTTGTTCCTTGAGGTGCATAGTAGCTTGTTCATAATCTTACTATGTTCTTGCAGTAGGCATTTATTGCTATAAAATTCTCTCTTAGCACTGTCTTTGTTGTATTCCATAGGTTTTGGTATGTTGTCTTTCCATTTGCATTTATTTCAAGAACATTTGTTATTTTCTTCTTAGTTTTTTCATTGACTCAATGGTTGTTCGGAAGCATGTTGTTTAATTTCCATGTTATCTGTATAGTTTCCAAAGTTCTTCCTAGTATTCATTTCTAGTTCTATTCTATTTTTGTCTAGAATATACTTGATATAATGTTGATTTTTCAAAATTTGTTGAAACTTTTTTGTGTCTTAACATGTGGTCTAGCCTGGAGAATGTTCTATGTGATGAGGAGAAGAATGTGTACTCCACTGCTATTGGATGAAATGTTCTGTAAATGTCTGTTAAGTCTATTTGGTCTGCGGTACAGATTAAATTCGATGATTCTTTGTTAGCTTTCTACCTAGAATGCTGAATGTTCAATGCTGAAAGTGGGGTATTGAAGCCCTCAGTCATCATGATGTTGAGGTGTATCTCTCTCTTTACCTCTAATGACATTTTTAATATATCTAAGTATTGCACTACTGGGTACATATATATACATATTTGGAATTTTTATATCCTCTTGCTGAATTGGCCCTTTTATCATTATATGATGGCCTTCTTTGTCTCTTTTTATGTTTTTTCGCTTAAAGTCAATTTTGTCCAATATAAATATAGATGTATTAGGCCATTCTTGCATTGCTATAGGGTTATCATAAGAAAGTACCACAGAATGGGTGCCTTAAATAACAAAAGTTCATTTTCTCACAGTTGTGGATGTTATAAGTCTAAGATCAAGATGTCAGCACATTTGGTTTCTCCTGAGGCCTGTCTTGGCTTGCAGCTGGTTGCCTTCTTGCTATGTCCTCTTATGGCATTTTTTCTGTGCACATGCATTCCTGGTGTCTCTTCCTCTTCTAATAAGGACATCAGCCATATTGCACGAGGGCCATACCCTGGGAGTCTCATTTTAGCTTTATCACTCCTTAAAAAAAAAAAAAAAACTTATCTTCAAATATGATTACATTCTGAGATACTAAAGATTGGGACTTCAACCTACAGATTTTGGAGGAAAACTTGTTAGACCATAACGATGAATTCATCAATAGACCGATGTGATCAAGGAAAGAATCAGTGAGCCTAAAGAAGTTTAAATAGCAACTTCCAAACTTAAAAGCAAAGAAAAAAGAATTAAAAAGAACAGAATATTTGATAAGTGTAGGCCAATTACAAAAAGGAACAATATATGTGTAATGAAGTATCAGGAGGAGGAGAAAGAAAGGAATAGAAGAAATATTTGAAGAAATTCTGACTGAGATTTTCCCAAAATTGAAAATAAACAAAATATACATATCTAGGAAGCTGAGAGAATACCACGCAAGATAAATACAAAAAAATTTAAACATAGGCATATTATATTGAAGCTGCCAAAAATCAAAGACAAAAAAAAAATCTTAAAAGAAGCCAGGAGGGAAAAAACCTTTATCTATGGACAACCAAGGATAAGAATTACATCAGACTTCTCTTAAACCACATAAGCAAAAAGAGAGGAAAGTGAAATATTTAAAATGTTAAAAAAGAAAAAAAGAACACTATCTTAAAACTGTCTACTTAGCAAAATTATCCTTTTTTTTTTTTGACAGAGAGTCTCACTTTGTCACCCAGGCTGGAGTGCAGTGGCAGTGACCTTGGCTCACTGCAGCCTCTGCCTCCTGGATGCAAGCAATCTCGTGCCTCAGCCAGCCACCACCACGCCTGGCTAATTTTGTATTTTTAGCAGAGACTGGGTTTCCCTAGGTTGGCCAGGCTGGTCTCGAACTCCTGACCTCAGGTGATCCGCCAGCCTTGGCCTCCCAAAGTGCCAGGATTAAAGGTGCAGGCCACCGCACCCAGCCTACCCTTTAAATTAAGATAAAAATACATAATTTTCTTAGGTAAACAAAAATAGAGTTTGTCACCAGTAGTCCTACCTTACAATAAAAGTAAAAAGAAATTATTCACTCATACTCAATGGTAAAAAACTAAAAGCTTTTCTTCTAAGATCAGGAACAAGGCTAAAGTGCCCCTTCTTGCCACATTTATTTAACATGATACTAAGAGTTCTAGCAAGAACAATTAGGCAAGAAAAGGAAATAAATGGCATCCAAACTGTTGAGGGGTGGGAATGAGTAAAGTTGTCTATTTCCAAATGACATAATTTTTTTGTAAAAAGCCCTAAACTTCACTCCCCACAAATTATTACAACTAATAACAAATTCAGTAAAGTTGCAGGATAGAAAATCAACATACAAATATCAGTTGTGTTTCTATAGCACTAACAACAAACAACTGGAAAGCAAGTAAAGAAAATCCCATTCATAATAGCAAGAAAAAGTTAAGATATTTAAGAATAAACTTAACCAAAAAGATGAAAGAGTGGTACATTAAAAATTGCAGACATTCATGAAAGAAATTAAAGAAGACACAAATCAGTGGAAAGATATCCTATGTTCGTGAATTGGAAGACATAATAATATTAAAATATCCATACTATTCAAAGCAATTTATAGATTATATACAATCCCTATCAAAATCCTAATGGCACTCTTGACAGAAATAGAAAAAACAATCTTAAAATTCATATAAAACCACAAAGGACCCAGAATAGTCAAAACAATGAGCAAGAAAAACAATGCTAGGGGCATCACATTTTCTAATTTCAAAATGTATTATAAAGATAGAGTAATCAAAACTGTGTGCTACTGGCATAAAGACAGACATATAGGCCACTGGAAGAGAATAGAGGGCCCAGAAATCAACAGACACTTATACAGTCAACTGGCCTTCAACAAACATGCAAAGAATATATAATGGGGAAAAGACGGTTTCTTCAATACATGGTACTGAGAAAACTGAATATTCACATGCAAAAGAATAAATTGGGCCTGTATCTTACACTACACACAAAAAGCAACTCAAAATGAACTATACATTTAAACATAATTACCTGAGACTATAACACTTATAGAAGAAAACATAAGGAGAAACTTTCATGATGTTGGTCATGGCAATTATTTTAACTTACAAATTGTAACAAAAGGATTTGGGAAGGACTGGTAGGTTTAAAGGGAATATTTATGGGGGATTATGGGTTATAGGCTCCTGTGCATATCTCAGTAACTTCCTCAACAAAGGAGAAATGGCCTTGAGCCCGAATACCCTGGGAAGCTGGAACTAAGACTCAACTCCTTCTGACCCGTTCTCTCAATTAAGGATTCCTTTTTCTCATTTCACCAAGAACAGAGAAGCAACCAAAGATAGCTTTTCCACTTTTCCACCACCATATCTCTTCACATAGTTTTATCTTTATCCGTAATCTACCTTCTCTTCACTGTCTGATTCAAGGCCAACCCCTCCACTTACACTAGATTCCATCCCCAATGACTTTTTCAAGAATTTAACTCCAGAAGTTAAACATTATTTCCTGCATTATGAATCTCTACACTACCCCCAAGCAGGATAATTCATTTTAGGTAGAAATATGTGGTAATAGTTCTCATTTAAAATTCTGTACATTTCCAGCTACTGCCTCATTTACTCCTCTCTTTATAGAAGAAAGCATCGTTTGTCTTTATTCAGCATCTCCACTTTTTCTCTTGCATTCTTTTGCTGTTTTTGTTTTTCTGGGAAAGTTCTTTAATGTTTTTAATTTATTATAAAACATTTCAGACATTTAAGAATAAAAAGTAAGTATATTGTATCGTATAATTTGTCTTCTCCTCTTAAAGCCGGAAGCTTCATTTCTAATGATGAATGTCCTTCAGAATATTATCATTGCAGACTGAAGTGCAATGCTGATGAACATGCAATTACATACTGTGCTGACTTCAGCATCTGCTGCAAACTGAAGATCATTGAAATTGACGGACAAAAGAAGTGGTGAAAATGCTAACTCCATCTTCTTCAGACTCCAGGAGCAAAAACATGTCTTAAACTCTCTTATCTACGAATAATTAACATGATGGATGAAAATTATTATAATTGCATGTTTAGATGGTCAGGTGAAAATGAATATAAATTTTATAAATGCTTACCCTCTATTTTCATGTGTGCATTTTAACATTAACTCCCTTAATTTACATCCACAGCCACATTGCTGTTTCACCCATAGTACTATATCCGATGCGGGGAGTAAGAGCCAGCCCCTCTTGCCCCCCTGGCTCTTAGGACCCCCATTGCAGCGGGGTGAGGCACTCCCCGCGATGCCGGGAGTAACAGCTAGCCCTTCTTGCCCCGCTGGCCCTTAGGACACCCATCGCAGGGGGGAGAGGGGCCCCCCGCGATGCGGGGAGTAAGAGCCAGCCCCTCTTGCCCCCCTGGTTTTTAGGATCCGCGGTGGACTCACAGCCTGTTTATCATACTGTGAGTAATATCATCTCCCGCTCTGGAGATTATGAACTGTTTCACAAACCGGTGTACACCCTGGGTATACAGAGGTTGTACACCCGTCTCTATTGGGAGTCATATCATCCTCTTCCTCCCTGAATATTAAGAACAGTATCACAGAGTTGTTTCTACTCCCTGGGATATCGTGTGTCATATCCTCCTCTCCCACGTTGCAATTAGAAACAATATCAGTGGGGGGGTGTCCACCTTCTGTGATATTGAAAGTAATATCATACTCTTCCCTCTAGGATCGTGGGAACAATATACTTGGTGGTGTCCACTTTCTGCAATATATGTAGTCCTATCACTCCCTCCGCCTTGGAATGTTATTAAGGACCATCTCACATGGGGGTGTACACTTCCTGCGATGTTGGGAGTAATAGCATTGTCTTCTTCCGTGAATATTAGGAGCAAAATCACAGGGTGGATGCACACCCAGTGCTATATTGGGAGTAATATCTTACTCCACACCCTGGAGATTATATTCGGATCAATATCACCGGCTGGGTGTACACCTACTGTGATATTGAACGTAATATCATGCTCTCTCTCTCTCTGGACATTAGGAGCAATATCGCAGGTGGTTGTACACCCACTGAGGTATTAGGGCGTAATATTAGTATGAATTATACCTCATTTATTATTAACATAAATATGAATGACTGATATTAATATTAATATTAATAAATAATTGCTAATAAAAAGTTTACAGATTATTAATATTAATATGAAATATTAGGAGCTAATATTACTGTTTTCTAATGAATAAGATCAATAGTTATTAATATCAGGCGTCATTAATCATTAATATTAATCATGTATTGTTATTGTTAGTATAACTATTTAATATTAATTATCATTATTATCGGTATTGATTTTAAAAATTATATTATGGGTTATTAATATTGATAATTATTAGTGTCAATTAATAATTGAGATTATTAATTGCGGCAAGTCGCATTGCGCCATTCCACCCCTCCCTCGGCAGCTCGTTTACGACCCAAAAAGGGGACACAAATGCCCCTGAGAGAGCAGCGATAGACTGGGATAGATGAGGATGGTCACGTGGTGGAGAGGTGTGTTTTTGGGTACCAGCCCTTCACCTGCATCGACCTTCTCAACTGGAAAAACAATACACCGCCCTATACCGAAAACCCACAAGCACTAATTGATTTGCTCCAAACTGTTATCCAGACCCACAACCACACCTGGGCTGATTGGCACCAGTTGCTCATGTTCCTCTTTAATAGTGAAGAAAGGCAGAGAGTCCTCCAAGCAGCAACTAAGTGGCTAGAGGAACATGCACCAGCTGATTATCAAAACCCCCAAGAGTATGGAAGGACCCAGTTGCCAGGAACCGACCCCCACTTGGACCCACATGAAAGAGAGGATATGCAAAGGTGAAACCGAGACAGGGAAGCTCTCTTGGAAGGATTAATGAGGGGAGCTCAGAAGGCCACAAACGTTAACAAGCTCTCTGAGGTCATTCAGGGAAAAGAAGAAAGTCCAGCACAATTCTACGAGAGAGAATTGTGGGAGGCCTGTCGTATGTATACTCCCTTTGATCCCGATAGCCCTGAAAATCAGTGCATGATTCCCATGGCTTTAGTCCGTCAAAGCGCAGAAGACGTGAGAAGAAAACTGCAGAAACAGGCTGGGCTTGCAGGGATGAATCCATCCCAATTACTAGAAATAGCTAGCCAGGTGTTTGTAAACAGGGATGCAGTAAGCCCTAAGGAAAATGGCAAAGAGAATGGAGGTCAGGCCCGGCAACACGCCGACCTGTTTCTCAGCTGCAACAATCAGAGGGCCCCCCCAAAGAGGCAAGGGAAAGGGGGCCCTGGGAAAGAAACTCAGCTTGGCTGTCAGAGTTTGCAGCATAACCAGTGTGCTGATTGTAAAGAAATAGGACAGTGGAAGAACAAATGCCCTCAGCTCAAAAGAAAACAAGGTGACTCAGAGCAGGAGGCCCCGGACAAGGAGGAAGGGGCCCTGCTCAACCTGGCAGAAGGGTTACTGGACAGAGGGAGACCGGGCTCAAGCCTCCCCAAAGAGCCTCTGGTCAGAATGACTGTCGGGGGTGAAGACATTGACTTTCTTGTAGATAGCGGTGCTGAACATTCGCTAGTAACCGCCCCGGTCACCCCCTTATCCAAAAAGACTATTGACATCATCGAAGTCACGGGGGTTTCAGCAAAGCAAGCTTTCTGCTTGCCTCGGACTTGTACTGTAGGAGGACATAAAGTCATTCATCAGTTTTGGTACATGCCTGACTGTCCCTTGACCTTTTCGGGAAGGGACATGCTCAGCAAGCTGAGAGCCACTATCTCTTTGAGAGAGCACGGCTCTTCGCTGCTAAAGTTACCCGGAACGGGAGTCATTATGACCATTATAGTCCCCCGAGAGTTGGAATGGAGACTTTTCTGAACTGAGCCGGGCCAAGAGAGACCAGCTCTGGCTGAGCGGTGGCCAAGAGTATGGCAGAAGACAACCCTGGGGCACTGCCAGTTAAGACTGGGGCCCAGCCGGTGAGGCAAAAAGAGGAGCCAGTCCCCAGAGAAGCCCTTCAAGGTATCCAGGTCCATCTCAAGCACCTAAGAACTTTTGGAATGATTGTTCCTTGTCAGTCTCCATGGAACACTCCCCTCCTGCCTGTTCCCAAACCACGGACCAAGGACTACCGGCCGGTACAGGATTTGCGCTTGCTTCATCAAGCTACACTGACTTTACATCCAACAGTACCTAACGCATACACATTGTTGGGGTTTCTGCCAGCTGAGGACAGCTGGTTCACCTGCTTGGACCTGAAAGACGCTTTCTTTCCTATCAGATTAGCCCCTGAGAGGCAGAAGCTGTTTGCCTTTCAGTGGGAAGATCCGGAGTCAGGTGTCACTACTCAGTACACTTGGACTCGACTTCCCCAAGGGTTCAAGAACTCCCCCACCATCTTCGGGGAGGCATGGGCTCAAGACCTCCAGAAGTTTCCCAGCAGAGACCTAGGCTGCGTGTTGCTCCAGTAGGCTGATGACCTTCTGCTGGGACACCCCACGGCAGTCGGGTGTGCCAAGGGAAAAGATGCCCTACACCGGCACCTGGAGGACTGTGGGTAGAAGGTGTCCAAGAAGAAAGCTCAGATCTGCTGACAGCAGGTACGTTACTTGGGATTTACTATCTGACAGGGGTCGGAACACAGCCCGGGATCAGAAAGAAAGCAGGTCATTTGCCATCTAGCGGAGCCTAAGATCTGAAGGCAGGTGAGAGAATTCTTAGGAGCTGTGGGGTTTTGTAGACTGTGGATCCCAAACTTTGCAGTATTAGCCAAGCCTTTGTATGCGGTCACAAATGGGGCGGGGACCGGGAACCTTTGGAATGCAGATCCCAACAACAGCAAGTCTTTCATGAGTTAAAGGAAAAACTTCTGGCAGCCCCAGCCCTGGGGCTACCCGATTTGACAAAGCCTTTTCCATTATATGCATAAAAGAGAGAAAAGATGGCAGCTGGACTTTGAACCCAAACTGTGGGGCCCCGGCCGAGGCCTGTGGCCTACCTCTCTCAACAACTAGACGGGGTTTCTAAACGATGGCCCCCCTGTTGGAGGGCCTTGGCAGCAAGTGCCCTGCTAGTACAAGAAGCAAATAAGCTGACTCTTGGGCAAAGCCTGAACATAAATGCCTCCCATTCTGTGGTGACTTTAATGAGTAGTAAAGGACATCATTGGCTAATGAATGCCAGACTCACCAAGTACCAAACTTTGCTCTGTGAAAATCCCCATATAACCAGTAAAGTTTGTAACACCCTACACCCCGCCACCTTGCTGCCGGTATCAGAGAGCTCTGCCGAGCCTGATTGTGTAGAAATGTTGTACTCAATTGACTGTAGCAGGCCTGACCTCCGGGACCAGACTTGGGCATCAGTAGACTGGGAGCCATACGTGGATGGGAGCAGCTTCTTCAACTCCCAAGGAGAGAGAGGTTCAGGGTATGCAGTGATAACCCTGGACACTGTTGTTGAAGCCAGATCACTGCCCCAGGCCACATCAGCCCAGAAAGCTGAACTCATTGCTTTCATTGGGGCCTTAGAACTCAGTGAGGGTGAGACTGTCAACATTTACACTGATTCTCCGTATGTCTTTTTAACCCTTCAAGTGCATGGAGCGTGATAGAAAGAAGACGAGTTTTGAACTGTGGGGGAAAAGACAGAAAATATCAACAAGAAGTCTTTCAATGATTAGAAGCAGTATTGAAACCCCACAAAGTGGAAGTTAGGCATTGCAGAGGACACCAGCGAGCTTCCATCTTGCTGGATTTGGGGAATTCCCACGCTGACTCAGAGGCTCGAAAAGCAGCATCTGTCCCCTTCTGGGCATCAGTGCTCCTTCAAGCACCTGATCTTGGACCTGCTTCTTCTAAAGAAGAAAAGGACTTTCTCCAGGTAGAGGGAAGGACAAGTGATGGAGGAAGGATGGATTTGGTTACCAGATGGGAGAGTAGCTGTGCCACAGCTGCTAGGAGCCGCAGTTGTACTGGCTGTGCAAGAAACCACCCATCGAGGTCAGGAGTCACTGGAAAAGTTGTTAGGCTGGTATTTCTACATCTCGCCTTTGTCAGCCCTTGCCAAAACGGTGAGGCAGTGGTGTGTTACCTGCGACAGCATGATGCGAGGCAAGGTCCAGCCGTTCCGCCCGGCATACGAGCTTATGGAGCAGCCCCCTTTGAAGGTCTCCAGGTGGACTTCACAGAGATGTCAAAGTGTGGAGGTAACAAGTATGTACTAGTTCTTGGGCGTACCTACTCTGGGTGGGTGGAGGCCTATCCAACACGAACTGAGAAAGCTCATGAAGTAACCCCTGTGCTTCTTCATGATTGGATTCCTAGATTTCGACGGGCTTTAGGGATTGGCTCAGACAGCGGGCCTGTGTTTTTGGCTGCCTTGGTACAGAAGATGGCAAAGGTATTGGGGATCACACGGAAACTGCATGCCGCCTCCCGGCCTCAGAGTTCCGGAAAGGTGGAGCGGATGAATCGTACTATCAAAAATAGTAGTATTGTCTTCCCTGCTGGATATTTAAAACAACACCACAAGGGGCGTCAAACCACCTGCTAAATTGGAGGGAATGTTATCCTCTCCCCTCCTCCCCCAGCCCCGGATATTAGAGATAATAACACAGGGGTGATGTACACCCACTGCTTTATTGGGAGTAATATCATCCTCTCCTTTCTTGGATATTAGCAACAATATCACACTGTGCGTGTAGGCGTGTCGCGAAATTCAGTGGAATGTCATCCTGCGCCTTCCTGGATATGACGAACAATATCACGGCGGATGTACAACTTCTGAGATATTGAGAATGATATCATCCTCTCCCCTCTGGAAGTTAGGGACAATATCACAGGGGTAGTGTACACCCTCTGGGATGTTGGGACTCATATCATCCTCCCGCCCACTGGATATTAAAAACCATATCACAAGGGGCATGTACACACACTTCGATAACGGTATTAATACCATCCTCTCCCTCTTTGGATATGCGGTGACATATTTCAGGTGGGGTATACACCACCTGCAATATTGGAAGTAACATGAATTTCTCCCCCCCTGGATATGAGAAACAATATCACAGGGGGTTGTGAACAACCCCTGCGATATTTGGAGTAATATCATCGTCACCCCTCACAATTATTAAGAACAATATCGTAGAGATGGGGGATGTACACCCACTTTCATATTTGATATCATCCTCTTCCCCCCTAGATATTAGGAGCAATATCAGGAAGGGATGTACAGACCCTGCAACCTTTGCTGTCATAGAATTGTCTCTCCCCTAGATAATAGGAAAAAATGTCACTGGGGATGTGAACAGCCCTGTGATATTGACAGTAGTATCATCCTCTCCCCCCATGCATATTGGGAACAACATCACGGGTGGGGTGTACTGCCTCTGTGATATTGGGAGTGAAATTTTCCTCTCTTCCCCTGGACATTAGGAAGTGTATCATAGGGGGAGGGTGTACATTCCCTGCGATATTCAATGTAACTTTATCCTCTCCCTCCCAGGGTATTCAGAACAATATTACAGGAGGGGTGTACACCCTCTGCGATATTGAGAGTCATATCATCCTCTTTCGCTCTGGATGTTAGGAACAATATCACAGGGTTGTGTACACCCCCTGCGGTATTGGGAGTAATATCATCCTGTCTCCCTGTGGATATTAGGAAGAGTATCACAGGGCTGTGGAAACCCTCTGCGATACTGGGAGTAACATCATCCTCTCTCCCTCTGAATATAGGAAGATTTTCACAGGGGGGTGTACACCCCCTGCTATATTGGGAGTAAGATCATCCTCTCCACCCAGGAAATGACTAACAAGGTCACGGGGGGGTGTACTCCCCCTGCGATATTGGGAATAATGTCGTCCTCCCCAAACCTGGATGTTAGCAATGAGATCACAGAGGGGCTGTACACACCCTGCGACACTGGAAGTAACATGATCCTCTCCCCACCTGGATACTGGGAAAGATACCACAGCGCGGGTATACGTTTCCTACACTGGTGGGAGTAATATCATTCTTTTCCTTTCTGGATATTAGGAAGAATATCACAGGGGTGCTGTACAATTACTTCGATATCGGGAGTAATATCATCCTCTATTTTCCTGGATATTGGGCACAAAATCACAGAAGGGTGTACAACCCCTGCGATATTGGGAGTAATAGCATACTCTCCATCCTTGGATGTTAGAAAACAATATCATCAGGGCTGAACACCCCTCGCGATAATAGGAGTCATGGTTACTCTTTCACAGGCCATTTGGAACAATATCACAGGGGGTGTTTACAAACAGGGGTGGTGTACACCCCCTGTGATATTGGGAGTAACATCATTCTCTCCACCTCCAGATATTAAGAACAATATCCTGGCGGGAGGTGGTACACCCCCAGTGATATTGCGAATAATGTCATCCTCTCCTTCCCTGGATATTAGGAACAATATCACAGGGGGTGTACACCTTCTGTGATATTGGAAGCAATATCATCCTCTCCCCCGCTGGATATTAGAAAAAAAAATCACTCACGGTGTACACCCACTGTGATATGAGGGGTAATATCTTCCTAGGGTATTACGAATAATTTCACAGTCTGTACACACATGGTGTACACTCACTGTGATATTAGGAGTAATATCTACCTAGTAGATAACAAATAACATCGCAGGGTGTACACCAACTTTGATATTAGCTCTAGTATTCTTCTAAGTTGTTACAAATAAGATCACAGCGTGTTCCAACATGGTGTACACTCACTGTGATATCAGGAGTCCTATCTCTGTGATGTATTATCAATAATATCACAGGATGTACACCCACTGTATTATTAGGAGTAAGATCTCTGTAGGATATTACAATTAAGATCACAGGGTGTAGAGTCACCATGATATTAGGAGCAATATCTTTCTAGGATATTACAAATAATATCACAGGGTGTACGCCCACTCTACTGTCAGGAGCAATACCTCCCTAGGATATCAAAAATCCTATCACAGGGTGTCCAATCTCTGCCTTCCAGGTTATAAGGGATTCTCCAGCTTCAGCCTCCCGAGTAGCTAGGGTTACCCGCCACCACGACCGGCTATTTTTTTTTATTATTTTCACTGGAGACGGGGTTTCACAACGTTGGCCAGGCTGGTCTGGAACTCCTGACCTCAGGTGATCCATCAGCCTCGGCCACCCAAAGTGCTGGGATTACAGGTGTGAGCCATGGTGCTGGGCCAGCAGTTATAGATTCTATTCATTTGGAAACCCAGCTCCCATTTTTGAGTGTGCATGTACTTTTATGAAGAAATGATGTCAGAAAACCGAAGGATGATAATAAATATGAAAAGTAACAGGCATGTGAAAAGGTCTTCCGATTGAGAATTATAAGGTTCGATTTCGTTTTCAGATAATGGGGTCCTAGCCCTTGTGTCATCCTTTTACATATTCTACATCAATGGAAGTTGTAGCACCGTGTCAGAATAAAGTAGAGTGTATTTCACGGTTTCTTAATTTCTTTCAATTAGACTGAGATCTTTTTCTGAAAGAGAGAAGGACATTTTCATTGCATTGTATTTTTTCTGAAAAGAGTAGGCCATATTTTACTGAGATCACGGATTTGTTATATATGACGTTTTGGTCTTCTAATATTCTCCAGTGGATATTCTCTAAAGTAGTATGTACAGAAAGCCTTGAATAGCAAAAAAGTAAATCACGTAATAATTCTGAGATTTTTGGAATTGTCACAACTGAGAAACATTGCTGGCGGTGTATGGTCCGCAAGTGTGAAGATGTTCCTTGTGAATTGCTTGCATCTAGCATTAAGGGCTGGTTTTTATCTTTTATTTTTCCAATCCTCTTTCCTTCTCAAGGTGTCCAAGACACACAGGGCCACGGAATCTCACAGGTGTCTGAGAATTCCTCCTCCTGGGACTCTCAGAGGATCCAGAACTGCAGCCGGTCCTCGCTTTGCTGTCCCTGTCCCTGTCCATGTATCTGGTCACGGTGCTGAGGAACCTGCTCAGCATACCGGCTGTCAGCTCTGACTCCCCCCTCCACACCCCCACGTAATTCTTCCTCTCCAACCTGTGCTGGGCTGACATGGGTTTCACCTCAGCCACGGTTCCCAAGATGATTGTGGACATGCAGTCACATAGCAGAGTCATCTCTCATGCGGGCTGCCTGACACAGATGTATTTCTTGGTCCTTTTTGCATGTATAGAAGGCATGCTCCTGACTGTGATGGCCTATGACTGCTTTGTAGACATCTGTGGCCCTCTGCACTATCCAGTCATCGTGAATCCTCACCTCTGTATCTTCTTCGTCTTGGTGTCCTTTTTCCTCAGCCTGTTGGATTCCCAGCTGCACAGTTGGATTGTGTTATAACTCACCATCATCAAGAATGTGGAAATCTCTCATTTTGTCTGTGACCCCTCTCAACCTCTCAAACTTGCCTGTTCTGACAGCGTCATCAATAGCATATTCATATATTTCGATAGTACTATGTTTGGTTTTCTTCCCATTTCAGGGATCCTTTTGTCTTACTATAAAACTGTCCCCTCCATTCTAAGGATTTCATCGTCAGATGGGAAGTATAAAGCTTTCTCCACCTGTGGCTCTCACCTAGCAGCTGTTTGCTGATTTTATGGAGCAGACATTGTCGTGTACCTGGCTTCAGCTGTGTCACCACCCCCCAGGAGTGGTGTGGTGGCATCAGTGATGTACGCTGTGGTCACCCCCATGCTGAACCTTTTCATGTACAGCCTGAGAAACAGGGACATACAAAGTGCCCTGCGGAGGCTGCGCAGCAGAACAGTGGAATCTCATGATCTGTTCCATCCTTTTTCTTGTGTGGGTGAGAAAGGGCAACCACATTAAATCTCTACATCTGCAAATCCTGTCCCTTAGTCACATTATTTTTGTGGCTTGATGGCTTTTATTCCTTTCCGCATTTCCTTTGTGAATATTGCTTTCTTCGTTATGCCTTTAACTGGAATGGGTGAGGATTCTGGGATCCTTGGTTTAGCAGAAACCTCATGACAGAATCCTCTATAACGAGGCGGCCTCTTTTAGTTTCTGAGAAATAACACTGTCATCCAGGTGGAATCACAACCATCTTTTTATATACACGAAGTCCTCACTTCGTTTTGGAATTCCCTGAAAACTGACTTTATGGAAACAATGCACAGGAGGTCCTCCAACACCATTGGTTGTTCAAAGTCGTGTAGTTATACTGTGGAAGAAAAATAAGTGGTTTCACTATACATAATTTTGCTTCAAGGTGAAGTTTCCAAGAGACTTTCAAAGATGTTCAGTGAGGACATACTGTACATCAAATTCATATCCTCTTCCACAGTTCATGTGGAATTTCTTTATAAACTGCTTCTAGAGAATCTATTTAGGCAGGTTATGTGTAGAGATCCATGTCGCCGTTCCTCAATCTTGGCTTTGAGTCAAATCACCTGGGGAGCTTAGAAATGATGAGGCCTGGGTCTCAATGCCTGAGATTCTGATTTCCTTGCACCTGTGTGAGTGTGTGGATTTTTTTTTTCTTTTAAAGCACCAGAGGTGGTTCCAATGACGAAGTTTTTAGAGGCGTCAAGCTCCAATGAGTAAGAACAGAAATTAATTGTAATATGATTTCTTCAAATATTATCTTCAAATGCATTGTCCATCAACACCATATAAATTTTATTATGCTGTTTTTTCTTACCATTTCGCATTTTCTATTTATTTATCTTCTTTTTTTTTGAGTCCGAGTTTCACTCTTGTTGCCCAGGCTGAAGTTCAATGGCACGGTCTCGGCTCACTGCAAACTCTGCCTCCCGTATTCAAGAAATTCTCCTGACTCAGCCTTCCAAGGAGCTGGGATTACAGGCATGCGCTACCATGCCTGGCTAATTTTTTTTTTTTTTTTTTTTTATTGTTAATAGAGACAGTGTTTCTCCATTTTGTTCAGGCTGGTCCAGAACTCCCGACCTCAGGTGATCCGCCAGCTTCCGCTTCCCAAAATGCTGGGATTACAGACATGAGTGACCGCGCCCAGCCACCACTTAGCATTTACATTTTACAATTGTTGAAGTTATAGATTTATACACACATTGATTGCTGCTTTGTTATACACTTGCATATACATAAGATTGGAAACAGAAAAGAATAAAATGGGCACAGTATCCCTAAAGTTTCACATTCCGAGGCATTTCAAAAATATTTGCTCTTCAGAAATTTGTTTCAATGAAGAAACTGTGGTATACACACCCAATGAAGTATTATTCAGCCTAAAAAGGAGGAAACTCCTCTCCGCTGCAGACAAAATGGATGAGATTGCAGGTCTGTATATTAAATGAAATAAGCCAGGCACAGAATGACAAATATTTCACGTCCTCACTTCTATGTAGGAAGAAAAAAGGAAACCTTGGCCAGGTGTGGTTTCTCAGGCCTGTAATCCCAGCACTCTGGGAGGCCGAGTCGCATGGGTCACTTGAGTCCAGGAGTTTGAGACCCGCCTGGCCAACATGGTGTAACCTCGTTTCTACGGAAAACACAAACAATGAGCCCGGCGTGGTGACGCGTGTCTGTAGTCTCAGCTAATCCGAGGGCTGAGGCCCAAGAAGAGCTTGAACTCGGGAGGCGGAGCTTGCAGTGAGCCCGGATTGTGCCTGTATACTCCAACCTGGGCAACAAAAAGAGACTCCATCCCAGACACACCTACACACAAAAGGAATCTCAGGAAGGTGGAGAGTATAAAGGTGTTTAGCAGACGCTAGGAAGAAAAGGGGTGGGATAGGGAATGAAGACAGGTGGATAATTGGGTCCCAAAATACAGAAAGATGGAATAAGTGAGTACTACTGTTTGATAGTACAGCATGAAAATTTTAGTTTACAAGAATTGCTTGCATATTTCCAGATGCTTTGGTAAGAAGCTTCCTAACTTTCTCATTATGCTGGTTTTTAAGCTCTTCTCTTTCTGCTCTTGAAATCATGCTGGTTTTTTGTTTTTTGTTTTTTGTTTTTTGTTTTGAGACGGAGTTTCGCTCTTGTTGCCCAGGCTGGAGTGTCATGGTGTAATCTTGGCTCACCACAACCTCTGCCTCCTGGGTTCAAGCGATTCTCCTGCCTCCACCTCCCGAGTAGCTGGGATTACAGGCATGTGCCAGCATGCCCAGCTAATGTTTTATTTCTAGTAGAGACGCGGGTTTCTCCCTGTCAGTCAGGCTGGTCTTCAACTCCTGACCTCAGGTGATCTGCCCGCCTCGGCCTACCAAAGTGCCGGGATTACAGGCATGAGCGACCGCGCCCGGCCCGTGCTGTATCCTTATCTGGTGTCTGTTGTTGTTTGTTTGTTTGCTTTGGAGCCCAGAAATAACTTCTCACCTGTATGTTCAAATGATTTTTCACATGAGTTCTAAGAAAGCTCATTGGTGGAAAAGCAGCCTTTTCAAGAAATGGTGTTGGAGAAACTTGATTTCCACATGCAGAAGAATGAAGGTGGACCCTGTGTCACACCACGTGCAAAAATTAACACAAACTGGATCAAAGACCTAACCCCAAGGACTAAAAGTATCATAAGCCTAAAAGAAAACATTGGCCACACTTTCATGACATCAGATTGGGCAACGTTCTCTGGGTATGACACCAAAAGCATAGGCAACAAAAGAAAATTAGATTCCTTGGATTACATCTAAATGACAGACACTTTTGTGCAGCAAAAAACACTGCAAATTCAGAGAAAAGATAACCCATGGATTAGGAAAAATATTTGCAAAGCATATATCTGAAAAGAGGCTGATATCCATCATATATGAAGAACAGCTAGAACTAAACAACAAGAAACCCAAAGCATCCCATCAACAATGGTCAGAAGACTCGAGTAGACGTGTCCCTAAAGAAGATATCGTAATGGCCAATAAGCATCTAAAATGATGTTCAAAGTCACTCATCATAGGGAAGCGCAAATCAAACCAAGAATGTGACACCACACATTAGGATGGATATGATAAACAAACAGGTATTGGTTAGAACAGAGGGAAGTAGGAATGCTCGAATGTGATCGGAGGGAATGTAAAACCATGAAGGAACCGGGAAAATAGTATGGCGTCTACTGGAAAAATTAGAAACAGAATGATCAGATGTTCCCACAGTTGCATTTGTGGGTACCTGCCAAAAAGAATTAGAAGCCAGGAGTGGAAGACAGATTTGTGTACACCCATATTCATAGCACCATTATTCACAACAGCCAAAATGTGGAAGCAACCCAAGGGTTCGTAGACAGATGAATGAAAAAGCACACTGCAGTTCCTTCATACAATGGAAGACAATTCAGCCTTCAAAAGGCAGGCACTTCTGGCCGGTGTGGTTGCTCACGCCTGTAATCGCAGCGTCTTGGAAGACCGAGGTGGGTGGATCACCTGAGGTCAGGAATTCAAGACCAGCCTGGCCATCTTGGTGAAACCCTGTCTCTACTGAAAATGCAAAAAATTAAATGAGCGTGGTGGCGTGTGCCTATAGTCCCAGCTACTCAGTAGGCTGAGGCACAAGAATCGCTGGAACCCGGGAAGCGGAGGTTGCAGTAAGCCCAGATTGTGCCACTGCACTCCAGCCTGTGCGACAGAGTGAGACTCCATGGGAACACAAAACAAAGCAAAGTCAAACGAACAAACAAAACACAAACAAACAAAAAACAGACAGGCACTTCTGACGCAGGCCGCAACATGGATGAACCTTGAAAACATTATCGTCAGTGAAATAAATAAATCCCAAAAGGATAAACAGGCCCAGGCTCAGTGGCTCGCAACTGTAACCCCAGCACTTAGGGAGGCTGAGCCAGGCGGATCACTTCAGGTCAGGAGTTCGAGACAAGCCTGGCCAATATGGTGAAAGCTCGTCTCTATTAAAAATCCAAAAATTAGCAGGGCGTGGTGGCGCACGCCTGTAATCCCAGCCTCTCGGGAGACTGAGACACAAGAATCGCTTGAACCCACGATGTGGAGGTTGCAGTCAGCCCAGACTACGCCACTGCACTCCAGCCTGGGTGACAGAGAAAGACTGTCTCCAAAACAAAAAAATTAAACAAGGTATGATTCCGCTTATCTATCAAGTGTCTAGAGTAGTTAAACTCATAGAGTTGCAAACTAGAAAGGTGGCCTCCAGGGGTGGGCGAGAGAAAGGAATGGAGAGCTTGGTGAATGGGTGGAATTTCCATTTTGAAAGATAAAACTGTTCCGGAGACGATGGCGGCGACGGTTGCTAAACAATGTGAACTTACTTAATGTCGTTAAACTGTAAACTGAAAAAGAGTGGAAACTGTAAATATTTATACAGACTATTCTCTATGAACTAATATGTATTTATAATTTTTAATATTTATACGTGGTATATTTTCCCATATTAAAAGATGAAAATTAAAGCAGTTGGATGTTTAAAAAGTAAAGAAAGAAGTGAAGAATACCCACCAGCTTTCTCCTGATTAGAGGAAGAGCCCCAAAGCTTCTATGGACACTCACTTTTCTCTTCTTCTTCTTGCAATATTATGAGGAAATCCTTAGAGGTTGGGGAACTTGGGCGACTTTGGCTAATGAGGAGCTCTGGGCCTTGAGCCCCCCAGCCCACAGAATAGTAAATAGTCTGTGCCTCCAGCCCTGCAATGTGAGGTTGCAGTCCTGTGGGCTCCACTCCCGTCACCTGTATCAGGGGGCTGATGACTCACCCTGTCTTCTTGCCAGCCTTGAGGACGGAGTCTGAGCCTCCATGGTGCACCAAGCAGGGAGGACAGTTGAACCTGTTCTCCATGGTCGTGGCCCAGCAGAGGGGAAGAGCAGTTCAGTGAATGTAGGCAAAAGAAAGTGAGATCAGACACTTACTCTGTCTATGTAGAAAGGAAAGACATAAGAGACTCCATTTTGAGAAAGACCTGTACTTTCAACAATTGCTTTGCTGAGATGTTGTTAATCTGTAGCTTTGCCCCAGTCACTTTGAACCAACCACTTTGACCCAACCTGAAGCTCACAAAAGTATGTGTTGTATGAAATCAAGGTTTAAGGGATCTAGGGCTATGCAGGACGTGCCTGGTTAACAAGATGTTTCCAAGCAGTATACTTGGTAAAAGTCATAGCGATTCTCTAGTCTCAATAAACCAGGAGCAAGATACTCTGTGGAAAGTCGCAGGGACCTCTGCCCTTGAAAGAGGCGTATTGTCCAAGGTTTCTCCTCATGTGATAGTCTGATAAGTGGCCTCATGGGAGGAGAAAGAACTGACCATCCCCCAGCTCAACCCCCATAGATCGTCTGTGCTGAGGTGGATTAGTCAAAGAGGAAAGACTCTTGCAGTTGAGAGAGAGGAAGGCCGCTGTCTCCTGCCTGCCACTGGGAACTGAATGTCTCGATATAAAACCCGATTGTACATTTGTTCAATTCTGAGATGGGAGAAAAACCGCCCTATGGTGGGAGGCGAGACATGTTTGCAGCAATGCTGCCTTCTTATTCTTTACTCCACTGAGATGTTTGGGTGGAGAGAAACATAAATCTGGCTTACATACATGTCCAGTCATAGTACCTTCCCTTGAACTTCATTATGACATAGATTCTATTGCTCACATGTTCATTGCTGACCTTCTCCTTTTTATCATCCTGCCCTCCTACTACATTCCTTTTTGCTAAAATAATAAAAATAATAATCAGTAAAAACTGAGGGAACTCAGAGGCCGGTGCCGGTGCAGGTCCTTGGTATGCTGAGTGCCGGTCCCCTGGGCTCACCGTTGTTTCTCTATACTTTGTCTCTGTGTCTTATTTCTTTTCTCAGTCTCTCATCCCACACGACTAGAAATACCCACAGGTGTGGAGGGGCAGGCCACCCCTTCAAGTGAGTGCTGAGGGACGGTCGGGAGCCTTGTTTGTTTCCTCATTCTCAAGACAAACAGGAGAGTGCGGTGGGTAGATGGGAGGAGACCAATATGCAACTCTCTGCTCAGCAGACTGTGGAGTTTCTGTTCTTGGTTGTGGTGGGGGTCTCAGAAATCTTATTCAAAATTTTGCTTTCCTCCCCCACTGGTTGTCCTTTTCATAGATATCTCACCCATGATAGCAGGGAATCAGTCCCTCTAAACTATTCCCTAAGAACAACAAAAAGATTATGAAGGTGATGATGAGGATAAAGAGGATGACGACAGACACCATGGCATCATGAACCCTTACTGAGGGCTTCCTAAAGGCCAGGCTCTGAGTTCTTTGCTGTATGCAGCATATTTCATTTCATCTGCTTAGTCTCCATGTTATTAGTGCACATTTCAGGATGATTTTACAGACTAGAAAAGGCGCAACGGATTTTCATGTAGCTTGTACCAGATCACGAAGTCAAAAAGGGCGAATTCCAATTTGAACCAGGCAGTCTAAGTCCAGACACATGGCATTTGGCCAGTCCTCTCCCTGCAACCAACCGGCCCTCTCAAATCCTTGTCACTCAGGCCGATGCCCCTGCTCACTGTGCCCTTCCCTTTGGGGGTTCCTTAGAGACCAGAGCTAGACCAGTGGGTGCCACAATCACTGTGTCATGTATAGAGAGGGCAGCTGAGATCACATCAACGATTCCAGAAAGAATTGGCACAGGATCATTCGGGATGCATCTCTCCCTTGCCCTGTTCCTGGCTTTCCTTACAGCTCTGGACTTCCTCAAAGGAGTCACCAATTCGGAGTTTGGCTTCCATTCCTATTGAGGAAGATGGAAAGTGTTTCAAAAATGCTCCTCCGATGTGCCTGTGGTTAAGACTTCTTAGCTCTGCTTAAAACTTTTTGACGCTGGGTACGGTGACTCACACCTATAATCCCAGCCCTTTGGGAGGCTGAGGCAGGTGAATCACAAGGTCAGGAGTTCGAGACCAGCCTGGCCAACATGGTGAAACCCTGTCTCTACTAAAAATACAAAAGAAAAAAAAATTAGCCAGGCATGGTGGCATATGCCTGTAATCCCAGCTACTGGGGAGGCTGAGGCAGGAGACTCCTTTGAACCCGAGAGACAGAGGTTGCAGTGAACCGAGATCACACCACTGCACTCCAGCCTGGGCAACAGAGCAAGACTCTGTCTCAGAAAAATAAATAAATAAAAATTACGAATAAAAGTGCTTGGATGGGCTTGGCAAACTTTAGCCATTAGCTCATGTACCACTTTGGAAGGGCATACCTTCAGTCACTTCACCCTTTAATCTCTTTGCTCAAGACTAAAGTTCTGAGAGGAAGTCTAATCGGCTGAGTTGTGTCCATGTGGGCAGTGCAGGAAAGGATGCAGCGGGAGGCGGCTCCAGGGACGTCTTTGGCTTCCATCATGGGGGAGCAGGTGCCTGAATTATCCACCCTAAGAAATCTGGACAAAGGAAAACGAGGTTCTCTGAGGAAGGAGACATAGAGCCCAAGGAGCTAACCAAGAGACAAATAGTCATCCTGTCTTGTCATTTTCTTTTACACATGTGTGTACATTATCTTACACTTATTACTTGTTTTCTTTCTCTCCTTTAATTGCACCCTGCTGCAAAAGTTAAAATAAAATGAAAGTATTGAGATAGCTCAACAACTGACTTTTGGTCAATTGCCTTTTCCTATAGTGAACAGCTGCGCAGACGATTGTCTCTGTCACTGTGCAAATTTGCAAGCATTTGCATGATCACTCCCAATCCCCCATCACAGGGCTGTGTTACAGCACAATTTAGTTCAGTGTTTTGCTCTCTGTAACAGGGAGGTTCTCATCCATTACACGTTGCAGTAAAAACAGGGGTACCATAAGCAACCACCTCTTTCCTCAACGATGTGATGAAAGCAAAAGCCAAGTAGCTCCATGTATCCAACTTAAAAATACAAAAATTACGCCCGTGGGCTGCATTTGGACCTATGGCGGTGGCAGCTGTCACTGGGCCTAGCCCGGGGTGTGGACCTGGGGACTCCCAAGAAGGGCCTGAGGAGGAGGCTCACGGAGTGTCGGCGGAAGGCGCACAGGATGCTAAAGCTTTACAACGGCCTCTCGGAAGGGGAGTCGGTGGGACTCCCCACGGGGCCCGACCCCCTGGACCCCACTGATCGGAACGGGGCGCACTTCGACCGGGAAGTTTACCTAGACAAGCTGCCTAGAGAGAGTCCTCTGGCCCAGCTGATGGACTGTGAGACGGACATGGTGCAGCAGATCCGGGCTCTAGACAGCGACATGCAAACCCTGGTCTATGAGAACTACGATAAGTTCATCCCAGCCACAGAAATTGACAAACAGCATAAAACTGTATGAGGATTTGCAGGAAACCCAGAATTTCCCAGATAACCTTGTAAAAGAAGAACAAAGTTGGAAGACCCATAAAAAAAAAACATATATATATATATACACATATATATATACATATATACGTATATATATATATACATATATATATATAAAGTTGTATTTTCGTTCTGTTGTAAATGTTTAGTAATTTCTATTGTGATTTTTCATTTAACTCATGAAAGCATATTTTTAATTTTGCAAATGTGTGCTTGTGTTTAGCTATCTTTTTGCTGCTGACTTCTAATTTTGTTGTATTGTGGTCAGGAAAATGTGGTTTGGACAAGGTCAATCGTATAGTGGATTTTGTTGAGACTTCTTTATGGCCTAATATGTGGCCAGTTTTGGTGTTGTTGTTGTTGTTGTTGTTGTTTTGCAAATTTGCCACATGTGGTTAAAAGGAATGTGGATTATTTGTTTTTTGTTTTTTTTTTGGAGAGTTTTTATTTTTAAATAGATAAGGTTCTCAGTGTAATTGAAATCTAGCTTCAATTAACAATATGCTAGATCTCTCAAACCTTAGGATGTTAGTCAGTGTAACAATAGACTGCTGCTGAGACGAATAAACCCTGAACTCTCAGTGGGTTGGCACCCATAGCATAGTCTGGTGTAGGGCAGGGGTTCTCCTTGGCGGCCCTTGTCCAACATTGATTCAGAGATTCTGGAGGTTTCCATCTTTTAATTCTGCCATCTCAGAGTTTTTCACTTGTAGCCATATGGATAGGAAGAGAGGGAACATAGCTCACACTTGCCTTTGATAACCTTGGCCCAGAAGTGATTTCTTACATTCGTATTGGTGGGAATGCAGTCACATGGTTCCAAACTAACTGCGAGTGAGGCTGGGAAATGTAGTCTTCCTGCATGTAGAGGAAGAGGAATGGTGTGAACACAGCATTGTCTTTGACACACTAAGCATGTGCTGAAGAGTTCTTAGTCTCATAGGAGGTTTGTCTGTCCTGTGTAACTTTCTCAGTTTTTGCTTAGATAGTTTCAGGCAATGTTGTTTGGTGCATTCAGCTTGATGATTATTATGTCCTCTTGGCAAAGTAGTCAAGATTCCCATCAGTTTGAATGAAAGTGTTTTACAGATAGATCAGGAAATGTTAATACTTTAAAAGGCCCTTCTATTCCTCCACTGTACAGATAAGAACAACAGAGTCCTAGAGAGAGGAGGTCATGGGTCTCACTCATGAGTGGCAGAATTGAAACCAACATGGCAGTAACTTTGCCTTTCCCCCATCATGTTGTTCTCCCTCTATCTTCACTCTGCTGATTTCTTCACTTGCTCCATACAGACCTCCCAGTGCCAAGTGTATAAGTGTGTCCAGAATTGGTGGGTTCTTGGTCTCAATGACTTCAAGAATGAAGCCGCAGACCCTCCTGGTGAGTGTTACAGTTCTTAAAGGTGGCATGTCTGGAGTTTGTTCCTTCTGATGTTCAGATGTGTTCGAAGTTTCTTCCTTCTGGTGGGGTTTGTGGTTTTTCTGGCTCAGGAGTGAAGCTGCAGACCTTCATGGACAGTGTTACAGCTCTTAAGGCTGCACATCTGGAGTTGTTCATTTCTCCCGGTGGGTTCATGGTCTCGCTGGCTTCAGGAGTGAAGCTGCAGACCTTCACGGTGTTACAGCTCATAAAGGCAGTGTGGACCCAAAGAGTGAGCAGCAACAAGATTTATTGCAAAGAGCAAAAGAACAAAGCTTCCACAGTGTGGAAGGGGACCCCAGCGGGTTGCCACTGCTGACTCGGGCAGCCTTCTTTTATTCTCTTACCTGGCCCCACCCACATCCTGCTGATTGGTCCATTTTACAGAGAGCATGAGTGGTCTGTTTTGACACGGCGCTGATTGGTGCATTTACAATCCGTGAGCTAGACACAAAGGCTCCCCACGTCCCCACTAGATTAGCTAGATACAGAGCGTCCACACAAAGGTTCTCCAAGTCCCCACCATAATGGCTAGATACAGAGTGTCTATTGTTGCATTCACAAACCCTGAGCTAGACACAGGGTGCTGATTGGTGTGTTTACAAACCTTGAGCCAGATACTGAGTGCCGATTTGTGTATTTACAATCCCTTAGCTAGACATAAAGGTTCTACAAGTCCCCATCAGACTCAGGAGCCCAGCTGGCTTCACCCAGTGGATCCCGCACAAGAGCCGCAGGTGGAGCTGCCTGCCAGTCCCTCTCCATGTGCCCACACTCTTCATCCATTGGGTGGTCAATGGGACTGGGTGGCGTGGAGCAGGGGGCGGTGCTCATCTGGGAGGCTCGGGCCGCACAGGAGCCCACGGAGGGGGGAGGCTAAGGAATGGTGGGCTGCAGGTCCCGAGCCCTGCCCCGCAGGGAGGCAGCTAAGGCATGGCAAAAAGTCCAGCACAGCAGCTGCTGGCCCAGGTGCTAAGCCCCTCACTGTCCGGGGCCGGTAGCTCCTAGCGCGGGGCTGCCAAGCCCACGCCCACCCGGAACTCCAGCCGGCAGGCAAGCAGCGCGTGTAGCCCCGGTTCTGGCTCACGTCTCTCTCTCCACACCTCCCTGCAAGCTGAGAGAGTCAGCTCCGACCTTGGCCAGCCCAGAAAGGGGCTCCCACTGTGCAGCCACGGGCTGAAGTGCTCGTCAAGTGCCGCCAAAGTGGGAGCCCAGGCAGAGGAGGCACCGAGAGCGAGCAAGGGCTGTGAGGGCTGCCAGCACGCTGTTACCTCTCATAAGGAGTGATTAATCTGAGCTTCTCCAGAAAGTCCATTCCTGGTGGGCACTGGGAATAAGAAATCTCAGAGTATTAAAAAAATCAAGTGGTAGCACTTTTGCGAATGGCTCCCAAATTAGATCCTTTACTTTTTTTTTTTTCATGAAGCACGGTTGCCCAAAACACACTTAGCCTGAGATGAAGCACATATTAGAGAAAGGGTCTCTCTATAGCATTATGTATTACTCGAATGAGCATTAAAAAGAGGAGATGTGACATGCTCTCTCTAGCTATTATTACCTGCACTATAGAGTTGACATACACAAGCTCATTATTGCATTTTGTTTTATTCAACAAAATAACTTTAATGTTGAAGCTTAAATTGAATTCGCTAAAACATCTTTGTCTCCAGCATACTGTGCCTCAAGTGTCTTCTTGGTGTCTGAATTTTCTCCAGAATTATCGTGCTGAAGCTATGGAAATGGTGAAATTATATGCAATCTGAAAAACAATGTGGCTATAACATGGTAATTGGCCTTCCACATAATTAAAGGAACATTTCCTCATCAGAGCTGTTCCATCAGAGACCCAAAGGCTATCGTTGTACAAATCACCCACTTAGGAAAACCTTTATTCCCAGTAGCCTATAAAAATCTGGTTATGCAAACAGATTTGCTTATTCAGTAACATTAATGGCTTCTCATATTTAAAAAGTCATCAATGTGATTGGCCTATAATCTGTTTCCTCTGTGACCAAGTGTCATTTTTATTTTGACAGTTAGGAGCCTTTTGACTCTTTCACAGCTGGCATGAGGCACAGGGAGGGAAATCTCAAAAACCAACAACCTGTGTATTCCCAGCCTATTCATCAATAGAAAATCACTTCAACTGGATTACGGTCTTGTACCTGGCAGAAAGGCTGTTATGGACATTGGAATTGGATTTTTACACTTGATATGACACCTCCTTGAGTCAGATCAGATTCGTGTTTGATAGACTCTTGCCGAAAAATTGCTCCAGGGTCTGTGCAGTAGCTAAAGCCTTTTTGTTGTTGTTGTTTTAAAAGCAGCATTAAATGTTTTCATGAAGACCTTCCCAGCAGTTATTTTATTGGGAATATGGTCTTTAGCTCTGGTCCTGAATAACTCACACTGAGGAAACCTCTAACAAGTGTTTTATTGGAAGATGTCTGATGGATGGTTGGTTTTAATAACAAATCTCTTCCCTTTTTCTGTCCCCTGTGTTCTATTCTCCTTTCTCTACACATTATTCTGGGAGGATTCACCTATTCTCAAAGTCCTTTCCTCTTTATTTCCATTCCAGAGCTCTCTGTATAACTCCAGGCTGATGAATCCAACGGCCCAGTTGTTATCTCTACTTGGCAGTCTTTCTTGCATTGACCTCATCTTACCTTGCCTCTCCTGATTTCCTCTTCTGCCAGGGCTCACCACGTCAGATTCACACCACCATCCACCCAGCGTCCAAAACAGCTGGGCCTCCTCCTTCATTCCTCCCTCTTTCTCAGTCAAGTTAGTCTACTGTCTCCTCTCCATCCTCACTGCCACAGCCTTGGTCCAGCCAACCATCTTGTCTCACTTGGTGTATTGCAGCCTCCTACCTGGTCTACTTACCTCCCACTCTCCTCCAGCCAGGCTGCTCTTGTTCTAGCACAAAGTGGATCATTACTCCCCTGCCTAAAGACATCTACTGTCTCCCTTTGTCTACAGGATAAACACGACAAAGAGCCTTTAAGATTTGGCTCCAACTTACCTCTATATTAGTCACTTTTTATAATTATATGAACATCTCTCAGCTCCTCACCCTCTCACGTCTCGATTTGTGCACATGCTCTTCCCTCTGCTGGGAATGATCTTCCTCACCTCTCCTATCGACCTGGCTAGTTCCTACCATTTTCTAGTCTTCAACCGAGGAGTCCTGTGATGGAGAAGGATTTCTCATCACCTGATAGAGATTGCATGCCCACCCACCTCCAGGCTTTTATTTATTTATTTGACAGAATTTCGCTCTGACCATGCAGGCTGGAGTGCAGTGGCGCGGTCTTGGCTCACTGCAATCTCTGCCTCCCAGGTTCAAGCAATTCTCCCACCTCAGCCTTCTGAGTATCTGGAATTACAGGTGCCCGCCACCACATCTGGCTAATTTTTTTTTGTATTTTTAGTAAAGACAGGATTTCACCATGTTGGCCAGGCTGTTTTCGAACTCCTGGCCTCAAGTGATCCACCCACCTTGGCCTCCCAAAGTGCTGGGATTACAGGCAAGAACAACTGCACCTAGCCAATCAGGTGCCCCTTCTATTTGCTGCCATTGCCCCAGGCATACTTTCACCATAACTCTTACCATTCTGAGTTGAAAATGATTTTTTTTTTTGCTTTTTATTTCTCTCATTAAATGCAAAGCTCATTGAAAAGAGGACAGTGGTTGTTCACTGTTGTACTCCTAACCTTTGACTCAGTGTCCTGAGGTTGGCTCTAGAGCTGTGCACACATGTTCAGACATTGGAGCACATCTTGTCTAGCACCTCTTTTGAGGTGGCTTGGAGAAAAGTCAGTAGGTACCTCCCTAAGGATGAAACAGAAGCTTCACCTAAACCAGTTTTTCAACTTCAGCCTGCATTAGAATCCTCTGACAGCTTGTTAAAAATACCGTCTCCTAGAGCCCACTCTTCAAGAGTCGGTGAGTTTCTTCATCATCAAAATATATACAGAATTCAGGCAGTCTTCAGTGCCAGCCTGGTCTGAGCCACTATGGACTCCCACCTGCAGAATCTCCCTGCTGGTCTCCTTGCTTCTGCTATTACCTTCTTATTACCCATTCAAGTAGCCAGGGTGATCCTTTTAAAAAAATTTTTAAATTTGTTTGAGATGAAGTCTCACTCTGTTGCCCAGGCTGGAGTGCAGTGGTGCTGTCTCAGCTCGCTGCAACTCTACCTCCTGGGCTCAAGCCATCCTCCCACCTCAGCCTCCTGGGTAACTGGGACCACAGACATACACCGCCACACCCGGCTAATTTTTGTATTTTTTGTAAAGACACGGTCTTGCTATGTTGCCCAGGCTAGTCTTGAACTTCTGTGTGCACCCACCTCAGCCTCCTGCATTTTTAGGAGGCCCCTCTTGTAGGGATTTTGATCCAGAGGCCTGGGTGCCTCATGTCTCCTCCCATCTCTCTCTGTCTTTCTGTCTCTGTCTCTCTTTCTCTTTGCCTTATAGCTGCCCTGGGGACTAGACTCTGCCTTAGGCATCCCTCTGACTCTTGTTTGCTTTTACACTGAGGCTGCTTTAAGTGGCACCTTGATCCGAAGTCTTGGACTTCTGTTCCTATTCCTTGCTTTTGTCGGAAGGGCCGTGCAGCTTCTTGACAAATTGCAAAGGTGCCCACGAGTTTCCAAGTCCCCAAGAACGAAACCAGATGACAAACAAAGATGCAGCCCACAGCTGGGGAGACAGATTTCATGTCCACACAGAGACTCCAAGATGCTGAACTGAAATCCACCCTGGAACCTGTTTTCTCTCTCATTTAAGTTCAATGTCAGCTGGGGGCTTGCAGGGCAGGGCTGGTGACCATTCTCAGGGCAAAGATGCTTTGAAAGGGCAACTGAGAATGGTGTGGTGGTTGACAGATGGCACGTCAGAGCATAGATTAACATGGAAAGAGAAACTCAGCCCTTGGGGGGAATGTGTGAGGCTGGCAGCCACACAGAGGGCTTTTCCTGCGAGCTCTTGCACAGATGCAAACAGCCAGGAGGTTTTGCTTTCTGAGCCTGAGTGGAAGCATGTTCCTCCCTGCACATTGCCGCTCTGCAGCAAATGTTTATTCCTGTTGCATTGATTAAAACTGCTTACCAGGCCGGGCACTGTGGCTCACGCCTGTAATCCCAGCACTTTGGGAGGCCGAGGCAGGCAGATCACAAGGTCAGGAGATTGAGACCATCCTGGTTCACACGGTGAAACCCCATCTCTACTAAAAATAAAAAAAATACCCGGGCATGGTGGAGGGCACCTGTAGTCCCAGGTACTTGGGAGGCTGAGGCAGGAGAATGGAATGAACCCAGGAGGCGGGGCTTGCAGTGAGCCGAGATTGTGCCACTGCACTCCAGCCTGGATGACAGAGCAAGACTCCGTCTCAAAAAAACAAAGTGCTTACCGAAGGGGTTTGAGGGCAGTGGTGACAGTGTGTATTATGGCTTTGCCGGCTGCCAGTGGAGCCAGCCGCTCTGCACAGCCGTGCAAGTGTGTTTTGAAAAGTGGCTCAGCCAGCCAGGAGTGACTGGCTGTAAATATTGCTGCCACAACATCTTGTAGCCTGATTGGGGCCGTGTTTGCAGAACCCCTAAACCACTACACTTGTTCAGGCTTAAAAATAAGCTTACTTTTTTTTGTTTGTTTTGTTTTGTTTTATGAGATGGAGTCTTGTTCTGTCACGGGGTTGGAATGCAGTGGCATGATCTTGGCCCACTGCTACCTCTGCCTCCTACGTTCAAGTGATTCTCCTGCCTCAGGCTCCCGAGTAGCTGGGACTACAGGGGTGTGTCATCATGGCCAGCTAATTTTTGAATTTTTAGTACAGACGGGGCTTCATCATGTTGGCCAGGATGGTGCGATCTCTTGACCTCGTGATCTGCCCGCCTTGGCTTCCCAAAGTGCTAGGATTACAGGCGTGAGCCACCGTGCTTGGTCAAACATAAACTTACTTTCTTACCTCTTCTGCTGAACTCTGTTTGCTTCTTTTCTCAACTTCTGCTGAACTCTATTTTGCTTCTTTTTTCTGGATAAAGCTCTTCTTTATCCAGAAGAGCTTTTAGCAACAAAGTTACCCAATGCCCTTCCCTAGTCTCTCCTTGCAACAGGCGGGGAGCGGGGGAGGGGGGGAAGGGGTTGTTAGGAGGAAATCCTTGACAGAACCAATTTACATGACTGTTTGGAGGACTCTGGCTAGCCCCAGGAGGTGTTTGCATTTTTAAATTGGTTACTAGTGTCAGAATGTTTCATGAGTAAGAGCCCAGCCTCTATGTTGGATGCCCTGAATTTGAATCTCAGCATTGCCGCTTTGTATATAACCAGAGGATGGATTGGGGGACCTAATGGATCTACCATGACATGAACTTGCACCAACATTCACCTGACCTCCAAAATGCCTATTCTGACTGGTAGACCCTAGTCTCATCCTAGTGCCAGTTCACAGCCTGTGTCCAGTGATCCTGCACAGGTCCATTAGTTCCTTTTCTCCTGTTCAGTCATCCTGGTAAAAGGCTGTGTATTCCCTTGGAGGCAGGCTGGGAGAAAGATTGACAGTATTAATTTGTGGCAGTGGAGCAGTGTCCTTTCTGCAGGGGACCTGGCTTCCCATTCAGACAAGGGAATCCGGGTCTGTGAACTGGCTTATGTCTGGGAATTGACTGGGGACTGTGACTCTGTTTTTATGATTCAGATTAGACTTCTGCTCACCTGATCTAGAACTCTTCTGCAAACACAGATCCAGTAAAAATGTGGCAGGCTTCTTATCTATTTCACTTCTAGGAAAGCCACGATCAGCTGGCACCGTAGGTCTCTGAGAGTCAGGCTATGCTGGTTGCAGCTTTGACTCTGCTGTCTTTTATGGTAACTGCATCCACCTTGCCTTTGGGGATTGAGTGCTCTGATCACTTGGCCCCAGCCCCTGTAGTGTGCGTATGTCACTTACCCTCTTTATACCTCAGTCTCCTCCTCTGTAAAATGGGCATCCTAATAGCACCCACCCCCAGGACTGCTGTGAGGTATAGATGGATTAGCATATGGCAAGTAATAGAAGAGGATCTCAAAGTCCATGTGTCGTTATCAGAATTATTTCATGATGGGGAGAGCTGGAGGAGAGAGGAAGGTGCTGAGCAGACCCACGTGCTCTCCCACCAGTGTTTCCTGAGCACCTACTATGTGCTGCCCACTGTGAGAGCTGTTAGGGTTGAAATAGGGAGCACAGCAGGGTAGGGGCTGCCATCAGGAGCTTAGTGGGGAGACCGTTGTGCAACATGGTTCCAGCACTTGGGGTGGGGAAGCTCAGGGAGTACAGCGGCCTAGGATCCTGGGCAGAAACATGGAAAGGACACAGCCGCCCCAGCCTCTCCTGCCTCCCCTGCCTCCCTGGCCTCCTCTGCTTCCCTGGCCTCTCCTGCCTTCCTGGCTTCCCCTTCCGCCCTGGCCTCCCCAGTCTCCCCTGTCTCTCCTGCTTTTGAGGTGGGCCAGGAGCTGCTGGTGCTCACTTAGCCTGTCCTGGACTCTGGGTGTAGCACTTCGATGTCCAGAAAATACCCCCCAGTTCAGCCCATCACACAACCTAGGAAGGAGCTCCACACTGACACTAAGGGTGCATCCTGGGCTCATTCATCAGGGCATGCCTCCAAAATACTTCTCCACGTCTCCTCCCTTTGCCCACCTGCATTGTCTCTGTGCCTCAGCCCCAGCTGGAGGCCTGCAAGGATCCCCTATCTCCTCTGCCCCTGCACGGCTCGGTCCCAGGCAATCTGTCTGCCCACCACACCTTTCTCCTCTTGCCCACCACGCTCCAGCCCCACAGTCCTCTTTCTGCTTCTTTCCCAGCCTCTGGGCTTTTGCACAGGCTGTTCCCTCTGCCTGAACACCCTCCACTGGGCTGAGAACAACTCTCTGAGGCCTCTCTCAGCTGTTGCTTCCTTTGGAACAGCCGCTGCTGCTGTCCCTCTCCCAGCTCCAAGACCTGCTGAGCCTCCTGTCTTTTTCAGTTCCCATGCCCCCAGCACTTCTTCTTGGCCTCCTTTTGCCCAATTGACAATGTCCATTCTCAATGCCTTCCCACCCAGCGCTGAGCCCCACTGGGTGAAGGCAATGCCTGTCATGTTCTCCACAATATCCCCTCCCCCATCACCACGCCTGGTCCACAGTGATGCTCAAAAAAGATCTGTTGGTAGGCAATGGGAAGGTGCATTCATGTCATCCTGCAGGCGGAATTCTCCACGAGTTTTGAGCAGCCTCGGGTTTCCCACCACCTCCAAATCATGGAAGACACAGGGTAAGAGCAAAGACAAGGTGGTTGTGGCCGATGTCCACCATCTCGGGGCGTCCTTTCTCTTCTCTCCTCCTTGGGCAGGGAGACCATCGGGTGCAACCTGGCTGGGGCGGGGAGGAGGTGCAGGGCCTGGCCAGAGCGGGCCTGGCCACAGGCAGGGGACAGCGACTGCTTGGGCCTGGGCAGGTGAGAGCCGGGCAGGCCAGTACCCGGCGTGTCCGCGGTGCGCGCAAGCGGCCGGCAGAGGGCGTCAGAGAGCCAGGAGCGGCCCGCGGAGGAGCCCGCGCCCGCCGGGATGCCCAGCCCCGCGCCGCGCTGACCCACCGAGCCCTCGCTCAGACGCCCCAGCTCCGCCGAGAGGCCGCTCGCGCCGGGTCCTTCCTCTTCCCCAGGTGCAGGCAGAGCCCCCGGAGTCATGGCCAGCCCTTCCGGCAGCTCCGAAGCCACTGGCAAGCCCCGAGGCAGGGATGGCCGGCCCAGGAGGGAAGAGGACGACGTCCCTCCCGAAGAGAAGAGGCTGCGGCTGTTGCTGGAGGGGGGAAGCGCAGAACCTGAGGACTGCGAGGACGGGGAGGACGTGCCGCGGCCAGGCAGGGAGGAGACCGGGACCCAGACAGGTGGCGACGGCAGAGGAGTAAGTGACGCGGGCGCGGAGGTCCAGGGGTGCCAGGGGCGCGGGGTAGGGGCGGCGGGAGGCTCCGGGGCCGGCCCTGGGTTGAAGTTGGTAATTGAGCGGCAAGTCCGGCGGGCGCGGAGTGACAGCTCGTGACGGCCTCCGAGACGCCAGCTGCCCCTTCTCGGCTGTGTGGCTTCGACTTCCTGATTCTCCCACGACATCCCTGGCCGGGAGATCCGCTGGACTCTGTGGCTGGCCAAAAGGAGAGGGGGAGCCCCGCGTCCTGGGGGCCCCTAGCAGGGGAAGGGGCGGGGGTTGCCCCGGGCATCCTGTCTGGGGCATCTGTCTGGGATTCTGTCGGTGCCTCTCACCTGGCGAGGGGCCTGTGGTGGGGGTAGGGGGGAAGTCCCTGGCGCCAGGCTTGGCCAAGCCCTGCTCTGCTGGGCTGCAGGCTGGTGGCGCTCACCCAGCTCCTCACCTGTCCCGCATCTTCCTGTTTTTCTTCCCTTTCTGGTTGGGCAGCGAGAGTTGAGAGGAGGCAGATGGCTTCCATCCCAGAAATCGCTCTCCTCTTTCCATCCCTACAGAGAGGGACAGAGAGGCAAAGTTCCTTCCATCCCCCGGGGCGCTGTCCCTGTGAGCTCCCGGTGTCCTGCACACGTGGGCCCCTGAGTCACCGGGCCTGTGTGTGTGGGATGGGGCTGCGTAGCCAGGCTGGCCTCCTGGGGTTCACTTTGTGCTTTCCTACGCCTACTCTTCCTGTGTGGCTTTGCTGGCCTTCCACTGGGGAGGCACATGGGTTTGGAGGGCAGATGAGGACCCACTGGAGAGCCGTACCCCTCAGTGAGGGCTGCCACCTTGATGGTTTTTGATGGATAATGGGGTTGACCTCTTTGTTCCTTCCACATGTTTTTATGTTTGACCATTTGCTCAGCTGAGCTTGTCTTAATAATTGGATTCGTGGTTAATGAGCCCCACATGGGAGAGAGGGCGGCCTTCATTCTGAACCCATTTAGGCAGCACGGGCAGCCCTCCTCGCCGTGGGCTGCATCAGAGCCCCCCTGCCCAGTCTTGGGGTTGCTCCCGGATGCTGTCTGGGAGGCTTGCTCATGGTGACATCCTCATCTCCCTGTGCACGTTACTGCATTCAGAGCTTGGGTCACCTGGACACTGAACTCAGGTGAATTTTCTCTGAGATCCCGGGAGAAGGAGGACAGTTCTTTCGAAGGTTCTCCAGGGCCGATCACGGAAAGGATGAGAAGAGAGAGGTCCTGGTCGGGGACACAATTACGGTGGCAGTGTAACGCCGGGAAACTCTATTGCATGAAGTCCCTCTCACTCCCTCTACCTCCCTCTTTTACGTGGACTCTGCCAAAGACCAGGATACCAGAATGCAGTGGAGTGACCAAGTGTAGTGGGACCTTGGGAACGCGAGTCTGAAGCCAGGCGGCTGGGGTTTGCATCCTGGTTCTGCCCCTCCTTAGCTGGCTGACATGGCACAAGCCACTTACCCTCTCTGAGCCTTACTGTCTTCAGTGGCAAATGGATCTGTCAACAGGCCCCATTGCCTGGGGTTGTTACTGCTGAGATTAAGGGAAGCTCGTCCATAGAAGCACTTAGCGTTGTGCCTGGCACATAGTGTATGGTGGATAAATGAGACTTAGGACTAAAACTCATGCCCTGGTGTGTTTTTGCAGTGATGTTTTGTTCTGGGGTGCATCACAAGAGACAAGGTTCTTGGCTGGGCATGGTGGCTCAAGCCAATAATCCCAGCACTTTGAGAGGCCGAAAGGGGAGGATCGATTGTGCTCAGGAGTTTAAGACCAGCCTGGGCAATATGGTGAAGCCTCCTATCTACCCAAAAAAAAAAAAAAAAAAAAAGCCAGGTATGGTGGTGTGTGCCTGTAGTCCCAAGTACTTTGGAGGCTGAGGTGGGAGGATTGCTAGAGCCTGGAATGTCGGGCTGCAGTGAGCTGTGATCATGCCACTGCACTCCAGCGTAGGTCACAAAGTGAGACCGTTTCAAGGAAAAGAGAGAGAGAGAAACAGACAGACCCACAAGAGTCTTAAGCCAGAATCTTCATGTTAAAATGCTTTCTGGAGGCTAAAAGGATGATATGTTGATAATGAAATATTTAAAAGTCAGAAACCCCACTGAATTGTTTGGTCCACAGAGGGAAATGGGAATCGCATGACCTGAAGGATGATGGAGGAACTGACCAGAAACCATCCTTGTTTCCTGAATCTGAATATGGCACACTCTTTTCACGGTGCCTGTATCTGCTCAGTCTGGCGGCCCCTTGAAAAGAGGGAATCTTGATTTTCAAACTTAAAAGTTGGCCCAAAGCCCACTGCTGCCCACAATGCCCTCCAGACACATTCCTCTTCCCTTTTAGTTCCTATGGGAATACTCTCTTTGAAGAACCCATGAAGCAGTGTCAGGCTGGTACGAGGATCAGCAGTGATTTCTTTGAGGAGGAGAGCCCGTTTCTTCACTCACAGGCCATGTCTGAGTGGATCAAGAAGAACAGAGTGCCCTTTTATGAGATTTTGTCTGCGTAGACCATTAGCTTGGTAAAAATGCCAAAACCATCCTCGTTCTTTAATAGCAGATTATTTTGGACTTTTCTCTGCAAGAAAAGCAGCATGGGCATTCAGATGCTTTTAAGGATAAAATGTTCTTTCTCATCACCAGGCCTGGTGCTCTGGATGGCTGAGGTTTTAATGTGACTGGATGTCCCTTGGAGTGGCTCCTAGGCTGTGCTCTTGTGGTTGGGTGGCAAGGGGTTGCTTTATTAGGTGGTGCCTAGAGGATGTTTTAGAAGGTAAATGGGGACCCCAGGAGCCCCTGAGTGCCAAGTCCTGCTGCAGGGCATGTGTTTATGGTGGGGATGTGGAGGGTGGGGGCATTGATTTCCTGCCAATATCAGAAGTTTCACAGGCTTCTTGTGTATCCACAAACACCCATCCCATTGAGAAGGCCTAGAAAACCTGGCCCTCCCCAAGCCTTTATTGACCGCTTGTGAATGATACCAGGGTGTATCTGACCAACAGCTCTTCCTGGAGGGAGAGAAAAGTCTCTCCTAGGTATTTGGTTATCAACCTCAACCATTTGCTGAGCCTTCCCCAAGACCAGGCACCTTGGCAGAGATTTCTGGGTTGTCAGGCAGAATGGAGCATTCAAGGGTGATAACTCACTGCAGTCCCTGAAATCCCTGATGGATGCACCAGGTAAAAGCATCCAGGGTTGAAACCAGATGACGAAGGTTATTGTCAGCCTGGGGCTCCTGTAGAGGTGCATCCACGTTGCAGGGATTTCCCTTCTTGCTGAGGAGAAACCTGGGTTTCTCAGCTTTGGCACAGTCACAACACTTGGGGTGAGACCATTCGTGGTGGTTGGGGGGGGGCATCCTGTGTATTGTAGGATGGTTAGCAGCATCTGTGGTCTCCATCCTCTAGGTGCCATTCTACCCTCCCGGCTATGGCTACCCCAGATGTCTCCAGACGGTTTCAAATGCCATGGAGCAAGGGAGTGGTACGTGAGCAAAACCACCCCAGTTGAGAGCCATTGGTCTACACTTGTGGAAATGTTTGAGGGTGAGAGTGTCGAGCTTGGGTCCCTGCTGTACCCTTTATGAGCAATGCGGTCTTGGAAAATTAATAGTACTCCAGGGGCCTCAGTTTTCTCATCTATAAAATGGAGATAAATGAGATACACTTTCATAGGAAGGTTATATGGGATTTACTGAGATAATAACACAGTACATGAAAAATGCTGGGCATAGCATTTATTTATTTATATGTCTTTTAAAGATGGAGTCTTACTCTGTTGCCCAGGCTGGAGTGCAGTGGCATGATCTCCGCTCACTGCAACCTCCACCTCCTGGGCTCAAGTGATTCTCCTGCCTCAGCCTCCCGAGTAAGTGGGATTACAGGTGCCCACCACCACACCTGGCTAATTTTTGTATTTTTAGTAGAGATGGGGTTTCACCATGTTGGCCAGGCTGGTCTCAAACTCCTGACCTAAGGTGATCCACCTGCCTCGGCCTCGCAAGGTGCTGAGATCACAGGTGTGAGCCACCACGCTGGGCTGGGCATAGCATTGTAACACAGACAAAGCACAAAATACTTGGGCAATATCTTTTTACATTTAGCTTGTCTAGACTCCATCCTCCATTCCCTCATGCACTGGTGTGGTGCAGACCAGAATATCACCCACCTAGACTGCAGAGTGTATTTGGGTGGCATCTTGGCTTTCTGCACAAGACTTGCCTGTTCCCCACCACATCCCCCTGTTTCTCAGGGTCCAGGATTCCAGGAGGCAGGGATGTGGGCAGGCAGGGTAGGTGGCCCACCCAGTTCCATCCCACGCTGGGGACCTGCAGAGCTGGCTGTCCGAGACAGGGTGTTTGGACCAACATCTGGGTTTCTGGATTTCCATTTGAGCACAGCTGGACTACACAGGCTGAAGCTCTCTCTGCCGAGATATAGATATTTCCCTGGTGACGATCTTTCAAGCTGACATGAAGACATGGCCACCCACTGGAATGTCGTGTGTCTGCTGTGGCGCCCTTGTAATTTGTGAGGCAGGCTCCTGAGGAATGCAGTGCATAAGTGGGAAATGGTGGGAAGTTCTCCCATCCCCCCCGGACGAAAGTGCTGCCTGCGCAGGTTGGTGGACGGTCCTTTGAGCAGGAAGAAGACATGAAGCACATTCCTGTTAGCTATGACAGAGAGGGGCAGGGTACACACTGGACATTTCGCACCCTTCCAAAGAAGCAAGTCTTACTATGCTGGGAGTACTTGTGGAGTGGGGGCTGTGTTGCCCTGGGCTTTAATTATTTCAGGAACATTTAACCACAGGGCAAGCAGGCTGGATCTTGATATGTGTTTCTCAGTTGGAAAGACTTTGGACCATAGGGAGATGTCTTCTCAATTCTTTTAATTTCATTAAGGTGGTCATTTTTCTTCCCGTGGCCTCTGGATTGTGACACAGAACTCAAGGGACAGGAAGGAGATGAGTTGGAGGCTGGGACAGGGGTCCCTGCCAGGGATGCTGGTGACTCACATGACGGTGTTGATGTGTGGAGTCCAGTGCCTGGTTTGGGGAATGTTCGTGGGATATGTTCCAAAGGACCGACGGACCTATCAGGTACTGGAGGTGAATGGTCAAGTCTGATCTCAGGGCTAACAGTGTCTGGAAAGGACAGGAAGTTGATGTTGGACTCATTGGCTGAGGTTGCTGGGGACCTAGGGGGCAATGTGTGCCAGGACAGATAGTTCTGGGGCTAGGAAGGCAGGTTTGGGCTGGAGACCTGGGCTTGGGAGGCATCCCAGGTGGACAGTGGTTGAGGTTGTGGAAATGACCGTGATTGCCTGGGATGAGAGTGGAGACAGACAAGATGGGGGTTTTGCTTTAAAGCCTGGGGAGCCCACCTCCCAGGTTCAAGATATTCTCCTGCCTCAGCCTCCCAAGTAACTGGGAATGCAGGTGCGTGCCACCATGCCTGACTAACTTTTGTATTTTTAGTAGAGATGAGGTTTGGCCAGGCTGGTCTCAAACTCCTGACCTCAAGTGATCGGCCCACCTTGGCCTCCCAAAGTGCTGGGATTACAGGCATGAGCCACCATGCCTGACCATTTTTAAATATTAATTTTTATGAAATATTTTTAAACACATTTTACTGTACATTGGAATAGTCAAGCATGATTTGAAAACTTTATCAAAATCCAATCAAATATCAATTAACCATTTAATTGTGGATAAGTAAGGAGACTGTTTTGACCAGAACATGTTAGAACAATTACCACTTATAGAAATAATCTATGTTTTAATGTTTTAATGTTTTAGTTGAATTAAACAGTCTTTTATATTCTGTCCAGGCGCAGTGGCTCACACCTGTAATCCCAGCTACTTGGGAGGCTGAGGCAGGAGAATCGTTTGCACCTGGGAGACAGAGGTTGCAGTCAGCCGAGATCGCACCACTGTACTTCAGCCAGCCTGGGTGACAGAGCGAGACTCTGTTTCAAAAATAAATAAATAAATAAAATAGAATTCTGAATTTTATTTTTAATAATTATTTTAGTAAAGAGAATGTCTTGTTTTTTGGAGTTGTTGAATTTATTGAATTGGCAAAAATTATGTATAAGAGGTTATACAAAATGACGTGATTGAAGTATGTATACATTACAGAAATGGCTAAATCAAGTTAAATAACACTTCACAATTCAAGATTCCCTCATTTATATAATACTTCATGATTCAAGATTCCCTTATTTTTATAATTATAAATAATTATGCCTTTCCTCCATGAATGTTAGTGGGATTTTTATATTTTTATTGAGATACAATTTACCATAAAATTCATTGCCTTAAAGTGTTCTATTCAGTGGTTATCAGTGTATTCTTAAAATTGTGCACCCCTCACCATTATCTAATTCCAGAATATGTTTATAATCGCAAGAAGAAATCTCTCCTCCTCCCAGTCCTTAGCAACCACTGATCTAATTTTTGTGTCTATGTATATTCGTATTCTGGACATTTACTATGGAGAGAATAATAATTATGTGATCCTTCATGTCTGCCTTCTTTCATTTAGCATAATGTTTTCAAGATTCATCCATGTTGTGGCATAGATTCGTACTTCATTCCTTCATTCAGTGGTCATCAGTATATCCCACTTTAAGAATCCACTGATAGTCACTAAATGGAACACTCTAAAGGAATGAATTTTATAGTAAATTCTATCTCAATAAAAATATAAAACACCAACATTCATGGAGGAAAGGTGTAATTCTGTATAATTATATAAATGATGGAATCTTGAAATACATTTTAAAACGTGCTCTGAGGTAATATGCGCCTCAGAAACGATAAATAAGTCAATTGATAATCTAAATCTCAGGTATAAACCACAGTTTAATATGTATTTATTATAAAGTATTGGTGGATTTTAAAATTAATTTGGGAAAGTTAGATTGATTATTGGTGTTGGTAAAAAAAAATTTCATCGTATGGATTATTTACCATATGGTTGTTTATAACAGACTTTAATGATCCATTGTGTTTCTTTTATATCAGTTGTAATGTCTCCTGTTTTATTTCTGATTTTATTTATTTGGCATTCTCTCTTTTGTTCTTGGTTAGTCTAGCTAGCAGTTTATAAAGTCTGTTTATCTCTTCCAAAAGTCAACTTTTTGTTTCATTAATTCTTTGCATTTTTTAAATCTCGAATTCGCTGAGTTCTGCTCTGATTTTTATTATTTCTTTCCTTCTCCTTAGTTTGGATTTCATTTTTTCTTGATTTTCTTGTTCCTTGAGGTGCATAGTAGCTTGTTCATAATCTTACTATGTTCTTGCAGTAGGCATTTATTGCTATAAAATTCTCTATTAGCACTGTCTTTGTTGTATTCCATAGGTTTTGGTATGTTGTGTTTCCGTTTGCATTTATTTCAAGAACATTTGTTATTTTCTTCTTAATTTTCTCATTGACTCAATGGTTGTTCAGAAGCATGTTGTTTAATTTCCATGTTATCTGTATAGTTTCCAAAGTTCCTCCTAGTATTCATTTCTAGTTCTATTCTATTTTTGTCTAGAATATACTTGATATAATGTTGATTTTTCAAAATTTGTTGAAACTTGTTTTGTGTCTTAACATATGGTCTAGCCTGGAGAATGTTCTATCTGATGAGGAGAAGAATGTGTACTCCACTGCTATTGGATGAAATGTTCTGTAAATGTCTGTTAAGTCTATTTGGTCTGCGGTACAGATTAAATTCGATGATTATTTGTTAGCTTTCTACCTAGAATGCTGAATGTTCAATGCTGAAAGTGGGGTATTGAAGCCCTCAGTTATCATGATGTTGAGGTGTATCTCTCTCTTTACCTCTAATGACATTTTTAATATATCTAAGTATTCCACTACTGGGTACATATATATACATATTTGGAATTTTTATATCCTCTTGCTGAATTGGCCCTTTTATCATTATATGATGGCCTTCTTTGTCTCTTTTTATGTTTTTTTGCTTAAAGTCAATTTTGTCCAATATAAATATAGATGTATTAGGCCATTCTTGCATTGCTATAGGGTTATCATAAGAAAGTACCACAGAATGGGTGCCTTAAATAACAAAAGTTCATTTTCTCACAGTTGTGGATGTTATAAGTCTAAGATCAAGATGTCAGCACATTTGGTTTCTCCTGAGGCCTGTCTTGGCTTGCAGCTGGTTGCCTTCTTGCTATGTCCTCTTATGGCATTTTTTCTGTGCACATGCATTCCTGGTGTCTCTTCCTCTTCTAATAAGGACATCAGCCATATTGCACGAGGGCCATACCCTGGGAGTCTCATTTTAGCTTTATCACTCCTTAAAAAAAAAAACAAACTTATCTTCAAATATGATTACATTCTGAGATACTAAAGATTGGGACTTCAACATACAAATTTTGGAGGAACACTGCTTAGCCCATAACGATGAATTCATCAATAGACTGATATGATCAAGGAAAGAATCGGTGAGCTTAAAGAAGTTTAAATAGCAACTTCCAAAACTTAAAAGCAAAGAAAAAAGAAGTAAAAGAACAGAATATTTAATAAGTGTAGGCCAATTGCAAAAGGAACAATATATGTGTAATGAAGTATCAGGAGGAGGAGAAAGAAAGGAATAGAAGAAATATTTGAAGAAATTCTGACTGAGATTTTCCCAAAAT
Organism: Homo sapiens; assembly: GCF_000001405.40. Classification (NCBI taxonomy): domain Eukaryota; kingdom Metazoa; phylum Chordata; class Mammalia; order Primates; family Hominidae; genus Homo; species Homo sapiens. Next base: position 12,006,138 of record NC_000008.11, on the reverse strand, counting down.
TGAAAATAAACAAAATCTACATATCTAGGAAGCTGAGAGAGTACCAAGCAAGATAAATACAAAAAATTTAAACATAGGCATATTATATTGAAACTGCCAAAAATCAAAGACAAAAAGAAAATCTTAAAAGAAGCCAGGAGGGAAAAAAATCTTTATCTATGGACAACCAAGGATAAGAATTACATCAGACTTCTCTGAAACCACATAAGCAAAAAGAGAGGAAAGTGAAATATTTAAAATGTTTAAAAAAAAAAAGAACACTATCTTAAAACTCTCTACCTAGCAAAATTATCTTTTTTTTTTAGACAGAGTCTCACTTTGTCACCCAGGCTGGAGTGCAGTGGCAGTGACCTTGGCTCACTGCAGCCTCCGCCTCCTGGGTCCAAGCAATCTCATGCCTCAGCCAGCCACCACCACGCCTGGCTAATTTTGTATTTTTAGTAGAGACTGGGTTTCGCTAGGTTGGCCAGGCTGGTCTCGAACTCCTGACCTCAGGTGATCCGCCAGCCTTGGCCTCCCAAAGTGCCAGGATTAAAGGTGCAGGCCACCGCGCCCAGCCTACCCTTTAAATTAAAGTAAAAATACATAATTTTCTTAGGTAAACAAAAATAGAGTTTGTCACCAGTAGTCCTACCTTACAATAAAAGTGAAAAGAAATTCTTCACTCATACTCAATGGTGAAAAACTAAAAGCTTTTCTTCTAAGATCAGGAACAAAGCAAAAGTACCCCTTCTTGCCACATTTATTTAACATGATACTAAAAGTTCTAGCAAGAACAATTAGGCAAGAAAAGGAAATAAATGGCATCCAAACTGTTGGGGGGTGGGAATGAGTAAAATTATCTATTTCCAAATGACATAATTTTTTTGTAAAAAACCCTAAACTTCACTCCCCCAAAATTATTAAAACTAATAACAAATTCAGTAAAGTTGCAGGACAGAAAATCAACATACAAATATCAGTTGTGTTTCTATAGCATTAACAACAAGCAACTGGAAAGCAAGTAAAGAAAATCTCATTCATAATAGCAAGAAAAGGATAAGATACTTAAGAATAAACTTAACCAAAAAGATGAAAGACTGGTACATTAAAAATTGCAGACATTCATGAAAGAAATTAAAGAAGACACAAATCAGTGGAAAGATATCCTATGTTCGTGAATTGGAAGACATAATAATATTAAAATATCCATACTATTCAAAGCAATTTATAGATTATATACAATCCCTATCAAAATCCTAATGGCACTCTTGACAGAAATAGAAAAAACAATCTTAAAATTCATATAAAGCCACAAAGGACCTAGAAGAGTCAAAACAATGAGCAAGAAAAACAAAGCTAGGGGCATCACATTTTCTAATTTCAAAATGTATTATAAAGATAGAGTAATCAAAACTGTGTGCTACTGGCATAAAGACAGACATATAGGCGACTGGAAGAGAATAGAGGGCCCAGAAATCAACTGACACTTATACAGTCAACTGGCCTTCAACAAACATGCGAAGAATATGTAATGGGGAAAAGACGGTTTCTTCAATACATGGTACTGAGAAAACTGAATATTCACATGCAAAAGAATAAAACTGGGCCTGTATCTTACACTACACACAAAAAGCAACTCAAAATGAACTACACATTTAAACATAATTACCTGAGACTGTAAAACTTATAGAAGAAAACATAAGGAGAAACTTTCATGATGTTGGTCATGGCAATTATTTTAACTTATAAATTGTAACAAAAGGATTTGGGAAGGACTGGTAGGTTTAAAGGGAATAGTTATGGGAGATTATGGGTTATAGGCTCCTGTGCATATCTCAGTAACTTCCTCAGTAAAGAAGACATGGCCTTGAGCCCGAATACCCTGGGAAGCTGGAACTAAGACTCAACTCCTTCTGACCCCTTCTCTCAATTAAGGATTCTTTTTTTCTCATTTCACCAAGAACAGAGAAGCAACCAAAGATAGCTTTTCTATTTTTCCACCACCATATCTCTTCACATAGTTTTATCTTTATCCATAATCTACCTTCTCTTCACTGTCTGATTCAAGGCCAACCCCTCCACTTACACTAGATTCCATCCCCAATGACTTTTTCAAGAATTTAACTCCAGAAGTTAAACATTATTTCCTGCATTATGAATCTCTACACCACCCCCAAGCAGGATAATTCATTTTAGGTAGAAATATGTGGTAATAGTTCTCATTTAAAATTCTGTACATTTCCAGCTACTGCCTCATTTACTCCTCTCTTTATAGAAGAAAGCATCGTTTGTCTTTATTCAGCATCTCCACTTTTTCTCTTGCATTCTTTTGCTGTTGTTTTGTTTTTCTGGGAAAGTTCTTTAATGTTTTTAATTTGTTATAAAATATTTCAGACTTTAAAAATAAAAAGTAAATATATTGTGTCATATAATTTGTCTTCTCCTCTTAAAGCCGGAAGCTTCATTTCTAATGATGAATGTCCTTCAGAATATTATCATTGCAGACTGAAGTGCAATGCTGATGAACATGCAATTACATACTGTGCTGACTTCAGCATCTGCTGCAAACTGAAGATCATTGAAATTGACGGACAAAAGAAGTGGTGAAAATGCTAACTCCATCTTCTTCAGACTCCAGGAGCAAAAACATGTCTTAAACTCTCTTATCTACGAATAATTAACATGATGGATGAAAATTATTATAATTGCATGTTTAGATGGTCAGGTGAAAATGAATATAAATTTTATAAATGCTTACACTCTATTTTCATTTGTGCATTTTAACATTTACTCCCTTAATTTACATCCACAGCCACATTGCTGTTTCACCCATAGTACTATATCCCAGCCCTACCACTTATTAACTGTTCAAGCTTGGGCAAATTATTTCTTTTCTGTCTATCTCAGCTTCCTTATTTATAAAATGGGATAGCAATAGGTACCTACACTGTGGTACTGTTAGGATTATGTGAGTTAGTATATGTGAAGTTCTTAAACAGCGCTTGACCCTATTATAGACATTATATAAATGTTAGCTATAGTTTCATGGAACCCAAGAATTTGATCCATCCTATTCCTTTGGGGTTTTATATAATTATTCTGTGTTGCCTAAGAGTTCATGTTTGTTAAAATGTTAGGTGGTTTTGAAAATAAGGTATATTTTTCAGGTTATCAGATATATAATTTTATATAAACACAATCTATTGATGCAACATTATTCTATTCCAGTAATCTAGGACTTGATCACTAGTAGTGAGAACTAAAAAGAAAGAAGAGATACAAGGTGAATTTTAGAATTAGGATTGGCAGGATTTATTGGCCATATGATATATTGAGAAGCCATGAATGATGATTCTGAGATTTCAAAGCTGATAAAAAGATGGATGCCAATATAACTCACTAAACTAGAGAGGCAAGAAGAGAAAGTAGGTTGGGAATGTGGGGAGATTCAATAAAGAGATGTTTTGGCATAATAGGGTTTTAGTCATGTAAGGGATATGTCAGTCTACTAGGCATATTTACAAAAGTATAATTTTCTTTTTCTATAAATTAACTGAATTCCTATTAGGAACCTTATTTTGCCTGGTCACAGAAACTGAAACTTAGTCAATTCATAGTTGATCATATCTTCTCCAAGTTATTTTTAAGTTCCAAAAGAGGTAAGCAGTGATGAGGTATCTCGGAGAGCGTTTATTATGTTAACCTACTAAAACATCTTCATTCTCATCTGATCTTCTGTCACTAATCTAGGTACAACTGCTGAGTTCTGTCTCATTCTTATTTTTAATAAAATTTGTAAAGCTCTTTGGGTGAGGCCCATTCTTTGGTACATTGGTTGGTCCTGCTACTCAAGCATCATCCTAGGTCCTTAGGTTATAAGTAAGTCCCAATAAGGGCCACAAAATAGTATTTCTCTTGAACTACTTCAGAGAGCCCAGCCTCATCTCACCTCAAATTCTTTCTAAAAAGTCTTGCATCATGTCTCAGACGAGTCCTAATATGTGGCATCCACTATTTTTCTTGTCTGTTTCTCTGCCTGCAAGTGGTAATGTCCTGTTGGTAGTGGAAGCACTGGGGTTACCTCTCATTGTTGCTGTGGAAGCTGGTACCAAGTGTTTCTGATGCCTTGGCCCTTTGCGTCCCAAGACGTCTGTGAAAGAAAAGAAAGAAAGAAAAGAAAGAGAGAGAGAGAGAGAAAGAAAGAAAGAAAGAAAGAAAGAAAGAAAGAAAGAAAGAAAGAAAGAAAGAAAGAAAGAGAAAGAAAAAGAAAGAGAGAGAGAAAGAAAGAAAGAAAAAGAAAGAGAGAGAGAAAGAAAGAAAGATTCTTTAGCTTTTTCAGTGTCACTTCCTTACCATAGGTTCTAGCTCCCCAGGCCCTGGCATCTACTAATTCTTCCTGGCTGGCCCAGACTAGATTCAAAGTAGAATTTTTGCTATATTTCAGAACCCCTTTGTCCCAGGAGACAATATAGAAGAGTGGTTAATTAATTTGGGTTCTAGAATCTCTGTAAGACTTATCAGTCCCAGATGTGTGATTTTAGAAGAATTACTCAAATCTCTGCTTCAACATCTTGAAAATGTGAATTGTGAAAATGTCTAGTTAAGAGATCATTTGTAAGATTAAGTGAGGCAATATTAAAAAAAATACATACTACAATCCTTGATGCCTAAAAGTGCTCCAAATACCAGCTGTTAGGAATATATCTGCAGTAGTTCCCCACCCAGCCACAGTTCTAGTTACTTACAGTCAACCACAGTCCAAAATATTAAATACGCTGGGTGCAGTGGCTCATGCCTGTAATCCCAGCGCTTTGGGAGACCAAGGTGGGTGGATCACCTGAGGGCAGGGGTTCGAGACCAGCCTGGCCAACATGGTGAAACCCCGTCTCTACTAAAAATACTAAAATCAGCCAGGTGTGGTGGCAGGTGCCTGTAATCTCAGCTACTCAGGAGGCTGAGGCAGGAGAATCACTTGAACCTGGGAGGCAGAGGTTGCAGTGAGCCAAGATCACGCCACTGCACTCCAGCCTGGGTGACAGAGCAAGCCTCCATCTCAAAATAAATAAATAAATAAACACAAAATTCCATAAATAAACAATTCATAAGTTTTAAATTGCATGCTGTTCTGAGTAACACAAAATCTTGCACTACGCAGCTCCACACACCCAGAATGTGAATCATCCCTTTGTCCAGTGTATCCACACTGTAAACACTACCTGCCCATTAGTTATTGAAATCATATGCTTCTGAGATCCAGCCACTAACATCACCATGGCTCAGTGACCCAGCATCACCCGAAGGAGATGATCCCCCTTCTGAGCTATGGTCAGAAGATTAGCAATAGCCTAATGCTATGTCACAATGCCTATGTCGTTTTCCTCACTTCCTCTCATCACATAGGCATTATATCATCTTACATCAGCACAAGAAGAAGAGTGAGCATAGCACAGTAAGATATTTTGGGGGAGACAGAGTTCACATTCACATAACTTTTATAGTATTGTTATGATAGCATATTGTTATAATTGTTTTATTATTAGTTATTGTTATTAAAATCTTACTGTGCCAAATTTATAAATTTAACTTTATCATAGGTCTGCATGTATAGAAAAAAAGCACTGTATATATAGAGTTCAGTATTATCGACTGTTTCAAGCATCTACTGGGGGTCTTGGAACATAGCCCCATGAATAAGGAATAACTACTATATATTGTAAAGTTAAAGTATAAACCTAATATCTAGAGTTCATTTATTTATTCAACAAATATACCTTTGGCACTGATGGCCTGCTAGACTTTCAGCCCAATACTGGTGTAAAATGATAAATAAGACAGTCATGGAATCTACTCGGATTTCACAGTCTAATCAGAGACACAAATAATTGATATAGTAACAATTGTGACAAGTGCTATGAAAAAAAAAGGAATGGGTGCTGTAAAATTTGTAATGGGAAAGAGGACCATCTCTTCACAGAGGATACAGAAGCTGCTTCCTTCTGCATCTCCCACTGTTGGCTAGAATACATTTCTGTTTATTAGGATTGTCATTTGGAAAGGCTGCATATTGAATCTGTATGGCTCAGGGTCAGACAGGGACATTTCAATTGCAGCTGAGAGTATGGCAGTTGCAGAACAACCACAGATCAGGAAGATGAGAAGAGTAGCATGATGACCCTAAAGAAATACCAAACCCAGGAGGCAGAAGAAAGAGCCATCTAGTCCTAGCGTGGAGCATATTGTACTTCTCCATTTTCTAATCCCAGAGCACCATGTGGCCTTAGGGGAATATATGGATGAAAAGAAAAAGCTGGTGTGCTGGTAAGCCACATACTTGTTTTCAAATGATGCGCACATCTCCCCTCTTTATCTCTAAAGTCTATGAACTAGGTCAGCTCCCAACTCGTGGCACCTACAGTGAACCAGACGCTGAGCCAGGGGAGGTCTAGATAACAAGAGACGATCTCTGACAGTTGCTGAAATTCTTCTTTACCTTTTAGAGCAAAACTCAGAGGCTGTCCTGTTCTGATATTTAAGTAAAATCACGAATTGCTGGTAGTTGGTGACCTAGTCAGTGAACGAGCTCCTTATCAATAGTGGGAGAATGATAGTAATAGTCCGTTCTGGGGAAAAGAATTTGGCACTGTAATGGTCTTGGGGTTTTTTAACTTTGGCTTTGTAAGCAACATTATTTTTGCTTGGGTTAAAGCCTCTTCCAGCTGTTTATCAACATAGATAAAAGTATATTGCTTTATTATTTCTCCTTGAGTCATATTCAACACTTTCTTTGCATGGGCAATGCCAGTATCCCACTGAGCATGTCCTCTCTGAGGTTGAGGTTTCCAGGTCTTTTTTTCTCAGAGTGATTGCTGGCTTCTTTGGGAGCCTCAGCCAGTAATTCTTTATACTGTTTATGACCTTTATACTCCCATACCTGCTTTTCATGAACCCACGCCCTCACTGGCTGGTTGCTAAGAAATTGGACATGATATGACCAGGCACCCCTTGTGTCAATTTTAGTATGAACTTCCAGCTGGGGCTCACTTGAGACCAAGGTAGGAACCTAAGGTAGAAATGATAGGTTCCTGCCTTGGGCTTTTTCTGTTTGGTAGGTTTTTTACTACTGATTCTATTTCAGATCTCATTATTGGTTTGCTCAGGCATTCAATTTCTTTCCAGTTCAACCTTGGGAGGTTGTACTTTTCCAGGCATTTATCAGTTTCTTCTAGGCTTTGTAGCATGTGTGCATGCAGATGCTCCTAATAGTCTCTGAGGGTTTTTTGCATTTCTTTGGGGTCAGTGGTAATATCCTCTTTCTCGTTTCTGATTGTGTTTTTTTGGATCTTCTTTTTTTAGTCTAGCTAGCAGTCTAAATAAGCAGACTTATTCATTCTTTTAAAGAGCCAACTTTTGGTTTCATTAATCTTTTGTATGGGTTCATGTCTCTATTTCATTCAGTTCAGCTCTGATTTTGGTTATTTCTTTCCTCTGCTAGCTGTGGGTTGATTTGCTCTTGTTTTTTTAGTTCTTCTAAGTGTGATGTTAGGTTCTTAATTTGAGATCTCTCTAACTTTTTGGTGTAGGCATTTTCATGCTATAAATGTTCCTCTTAACACTGCTTTAGCTGTGTCTCAGGGATTCTGGTATTGTACCTTTGTTTTCATCAGTTTCAATGAACGTCTCTTTTTTATTTTTTTTATTTTTTTTTTAAGACAGCGTCTCACTCTATCACCCAGGCTTGGGTGGAGCAGGACAACCACAGCTTACTGTAGTCCCAACCCCTTAGGCGCAAGCAATTCTCCCACCTCGACCTCCCAAGTAATTGGGACTACAGTCGTGCACCATCACACCTGGCTAATTTTTTTTTTAATCTTGTAGAGACAGGGTCCCACCATGTTGCACAAGGTGGCCTTAAACTCCTGGACTCAAGTGATCCACCTTCCTTAACCTTCCAAAGTGCTAGCGTTACAGGTGTGAGCCACTGCACCTGGCCCAGTTTCAAAGAATTTCTTGATTTCTGCCTTAATTTTATCCTTTACCCAAAAGTCTTTAAGGAGCATATTGTTTAATTTCCATGTACTTGTATAGTTTTGAGAGATCTTCTTGGTATTGATTTCTATTTTTATTGCATTGCGGTCTGAGAATGTTACTGGCATGCGTTCTTTTTAATTTGTTAAGGATTGCTTTATGGCCAAGCATGTGGTTGATCTTAGAGTATGTGCCATGTACAGATGACAAGAATGTGTATTCTGTTGGTGTGTGGTGGAATGCTCCATAGATGTCTGTTAAGTCCATTTGGTCAAGTGTTGAGTTTAGGTCCTCAATATCTTTATTTGTTTTCTGCCTCAAGTATCTGCTTAACACTGTCAGTGGGGTGTCAATGTCTTTCGTTATTATTGTGTGGTTATCTAAGTCTCTTCATAGGTCTCTAAGAACTTGTTTTATAAATCTCAGTGCTCCAATATTGGGTGCATATATATTTAGGATTGTTAAGTCTTCTTTTTGAATTGAACACTTTATCATTTTGTAATGCCTTTCTTTGTCCTTTTTGATCATTGTTGCTTTTAGTCTGTTTTGTCTGAAATAAGAATAGCAACCACTGTTCTTTTTCTTTTCCATTTGCTTGCTAGATCTTTCTCCATCCCTTTCCTTTGAGGCTATGAATGTCATTGCGTGTGAGATCTCTTGATGACAACATACAGCTGTGGCCCAGCCTTTCTACTCCTGAATATTTGCAAAAGAAAAATGAAAGCATATATCCATACCATGACTTGTACATGAATGTCCATAGCAGCTTTATTTTCAATAGCCAAAAACTGGAAATAATCAAACATCAATCAATACGTGACTGGATAAACACATAGATGTATAGCCATGCAGTGGTGCTCAGCAATGAAAAGGAATGAACAACTAATTCATATTATAGCAAGGACGAATCTCAAATAATTATGCTGAGTAAAAGAAACCCAACAAGAAAGAGTATAGAATATATTATTCTATTCACATGAAATTCCAAGAAAATACAAAGTAATCTATAGTGTCAGCAGAAAAGTTGTGGCCTTTAGACTGAGAGGTGAAAGAGAATCAGGAGGGGAATATTACAGAAGGCATGAAAAAATGTTAGGGGGAATGGATATGTTCATTATTTTGAATGTGACAATGGTCTCACAAACGTATAGATATGGCAAAACTTATCCGATTGTACACTTTACTGTTTGAAGTTTATTGTATGTCACTTATACTTCAATAAAAAATGTTTTTTTAAATAGTAACAATTATTTTAAATGACCTTGACAAAATATTGTGCAACACTTAAAAATACTATTTATGAAGTTTATAGTGACACTGATATATAGTATATATCAAGTTACAAAAGCAGGATACCTAATTATAAGAATATTGTTTATAGCTATGTAAAACAAAATATTAAACAACAAACTAGGCATAAATGAAACTTTCTTTAGAATGACAGTTTGTCTCTGAGAAGAGCAGTTCATCTGTAACTTGTCCATCCTTGTCATGTTTAATATTTTACCAATTTTCTAAAATTAGCAATTACATTTTTATTGGAACAAAAGCCTATCAAATTTTAATTTTACTCATTTAAAAGAGTAAGAGCACATAGTTCTCAGGCCTCCATGTACTTTTGGAAAACCTGGGTGGGAGAACAGTGTCTTTGTCAATAGGAAAAGCTGTCAAACAAGAAAGGGCTGTCCATTTTTTTTCCTCAGATGAGCATTGCCAACACGGCTGCCTCAGGGGTGTTCAGTGTAGCATATCTACCTGAAGCGAGGCATACCCCAGCCCTGAGAGGTTTGTATAGGACTGTGTGCTCAACCTCTTCTCTCTGTTCCCTGACAGCCGATGTCAGACCCTGCCACTAGCCTCCTTAACAGAAGTTCCCAGCCATGAAGCCTCTCCTTGTTGTGTTTGTCTTTCTTTTCCTTTGGGATCCAGTGCTGGCAGGTAAAACTGGCATATTTTGGGGGGTAGGGGTGCTTCATATAGAAGAACAATGCCACTAAACAACCCAATAAACATACACCACCCATGGGCCCTTTAATTTTCAAGCTAGAAAAAAGCATCAACTAGTTTTGATGTCAGCAAGACCTGGGCTTGAATCTGGCTGTCCAACTTGTTAACTATATAACTTTGGACAAAGGTCTAAGCTTCTCTGAGCCTTAGTTTCCTTTTTTTTTTTGGCTGAACTGATCCGCACCAATGAGCCTTAGTTTCTTCATTTGAAAAATGGAAATATGGAAATGAAGAGTCTCACAAGGATTAAATCAGATCATGTATGGAATATGTCCATACATAATATGAAAAGTACCTGGCTCATGAGAGCTATCATTGTATTTTCATTAGTAATGCCCATCCTGTCTTCCTGCTGTTATTTTGTCTCTAATTCAAGAATGTATCTAAGTATAATAGTCAAAACCAGAAAATAGTGACAACACAATTTGTTAATTTTCTAATATACTGCAGTTTCCTACAGTTAATTTACTATTTGTGAATCCATTAGTTACATGAGGAAACAGATTTAGAACGGCTAGTTTCAAGAGAATCACTGAGCTTTATGTGATAGAAGAAATGCCTGATCAGATGAGATAGCAGCCAGGGAGACATGACAGAGAGTGTGAGTGGCCCTGTGCTCTAGCTTCACCATATCCTTTCCGACTTTAGCAATCTCATCTGGAAAATTCTTTTCACTCAGTGTTACTGAATCAGTCCAGTCAGATTGGTTCATCTGCCTAGATGGACTGAAGTGTTTGCCTGAAGTATTCTCCAGGCAAATGAATCACATCTTCAGATTATGTGACTCACCAGGCTAAATTTAAGAATTCATGGGATCAAGGCCTCTTAAAGCTGCTGATGCAACCAATTCCATTACGGTTTATGGCAATGGATTTGTGGCCTCCAGACAAAGAACCCCATATAGTGTACAATATTCCCTTCAATTCCTTTTGCATTCTCATAACTTGTCATTTCCATTGAAAGTTCTTGTCTCATTTTATAGACCATTATATTTCATCTTCCCAAAAGTGTTACAGATTGTCCTCTAGGGCTTCTGTCTTGCAAACTAAGTAACACTGATCCCTTCTTGTTCATGTAGGACAATTATCCTCCAGGGCATTATGACTCAGATAGGGTATGTGTTTGCTCAAAATTTCTACAGATTCCTTGAGCTTCAATAAGACTTCTCAAATCTTCAGAATTGATTTCATCCTCCTTCAAACTCACAAGACCGTTCCACATTGCAAATACATCATTGCACTTGTCATGTTTTTTCCTCTCTCAGAGATATTTTGTATTTCTTCTCTTTTTGTCTAGAATGAAAATTCATTGAGGTTAAGGTCTATATCATACTCAAATCTGTACCCCAACAGTCCTTGATTCACAGGATTTATAAAAATTGGTTTATGAATAATAATGAGTAAGTAATTATTTAAAAAATAATGAATGAATGACTATGTGAATAGCTAGCTTGATTGTTTGGGTTATATTCATTGACAAATTCAGGGAAACTTCCAAATTATTACTTGTTTTAGTCAGCTTGGGCTGCGATAACAAAATTCCGCACACTGTGGCTTAGACAAACTTTATTTTCTCATAGTTCCAGAAGATGAGAAATCCAAGATCAAGGTGCTAGCTGATTCAATTTCTGATGAGAGCTTGCTTTCAAGCTTGTAGATGGCCATCTTTTTGCCGTGACCTTCACTAATAAGACCATCAATCCTATTGGATTAGCCTATCAATCTTATTGGATTAGGGTTCCACCATCATGACCTCATTTAACTTATATTACTTCCTGAAGGCCCTATCTCTAAAGACAGTCACATCAGGGGTGAGGGTTTCAGCATATGAATTTTGGGGTGACACAATTCAGCCCCTACCACTAATTAATTTTTTCAGTTACAGGATCAATTATCATAACCAAATCTCCTTGGTATCCGGTTGGATAAAAATTGAGGGACTAGCAATTTTATGGTCCAAAAAGGCCTGTAGTGAATTATCTTTCTATTCATTTTCCTTCCAGGTATAAATTCATTATCATCAGAAATGCACAAGAAATGCTATAAAAATGGCATCTGCAGACTTGAATGCTATGAGAGTGAAATGTTAGTTGCCTACTGTATGTTTCAGCTGGAGTGCTGTGTCAAAGGAAATCCTGCACCCTGACATAAGAAACCAATGAATGGCCACTATCCTGTAGGCCCTTGATTCTGCCATCTTTCACAAAACCAGGGAATTTAGATCAAACTGTGACACCATGATGTGTCCATGACTACTGGTTTTTAGCATTTTTATAGGCCAGCAGACTCTTGTGGTCTTAAATTTAAAGAGCTGAGCTGTAGCCTTCTTTAAAAGAGCTCGGTTTTTCACAAAAACAATGTAGAAGATATTTTCTCACCTCAACGTGATGTCCAGTGTGCTCATCAGCACCTGTTTCTCCCTCTAATCATAGAGGATATTCTTATTATTTAGAAAGGCTTCAAGGGAAACAACTTTTGACACCTAAGTCGTGTCCTACCTTCGCTTCAGCTTCGCATTTCCCATTTCTGTGAAATTCCCAACTTTAGAGAAGCAGATTTGCCATGGCCTTCTGACAACCTTGTACATCTCTCACATAAACCGCATAGGCAGGGCTTAACTACAGGCTGGCCCGAGTCTGCACTGAGTCTGACCCTGAAGTTCCTTTGGAACAGGAGAGGCCATCTTGTGATGGGCTGGAACAAGGTAATTTCTCATCCACCTCCCTAGTTTCAGTTGAGCAATGGAACTTCCCACCTGAGCCCCTAGGGTTCAGCTACAGGCTATAAGACTGCCGTCCTGTGGTTTAGTGTTGGTTCCTTAGCAGCAGAGTGATGCCACCTCTGCTGCCCGTCATCTGACTCCTCTGGATGGGTGTTATCCTGTGGCTTAAGAGCTAACACCATGCTGATCTTGCTTTGCTATATGTGTAACTAATAAACTGCCTAAATGCATTTGGACTCATGATTTTCTTTACCAATAAACTTTATGAAGGTGTAACAGGAAAACTTAGCAACTTCTGTCATGTTGCTTCTGACCCTACTGGCTACGCTGGTGAATTCTTGCTTGATTTTTCAACAACATTCACCCTTATGGATGCATGAATGTGTGAGTTCTGTATCTGCTGCTCACGATAAAGACTGGGTGGCAAAGGAGAGTAGATTCTGGCTATGGAGCAACTTTCATGATCTTCAGTGCTCGATATGGCTCAGGCTCTCTAGTGATGTGAGACTGAGAGTGTGGGGCTCTTGCCGCAAATAGCTGGTTGCTGATGTGGTACAAGGAAAAGGATACAGCGTCTTAGTTCTGGGGCTGACATGACAGTACTGCCTGCCCAACCACACATGGCTGCTGGGAAGGGATGAAAAGAGAACAGCAGGTGAAAAAGCATGAGGGGTTGTAAGGAGTTCTGTACTTCCAGCAAATGTCCAACCTTTGAGCAAATTCAGTGTTGGTGTCTTTGGAGAGGAAGGTACTAAAAATCCAGTAGAATGTGTCCTCTCTGAGGCCCAGACTCCCTATGTAGACTGTAAGGAGTTTGGTTAAAATTGAATGGGATCAGAGATGGCCTGGAATTGTAACTATGGTTACTAAGTGTGCAGAGTAAATGCATCCAGACATGGCTAGGAAAACTGTCAGACACTGAGGGAGACAGAGGGGTCCCTACTGGAAGAGCACCAAATCTTCTGAAACTTTGGCCTCATAACGTCCTGGACAGTCTTAGGCTTGCTTTTCATCTCACTCCTCCTAGTTGGGTGCAAGTTCTCTACACATACAGATAAAGAGAAACCTGAAAACAATCCAGCCTGCTGACAATCTGAAGAATGAGGTGTGATGACACTTTACAGACTAACTAGAAAGCTGATCCCCAAAGCCAGGGAGTGAATCTACGTTCTCTATGCTAGAAAGTACTCTCTGGAATCTGGCTAAGTCCTGCATGGACAGAACTTTCCACTGCTACATGATATCAAAATAAGGCTATTACATCAGGGCCAGGCAACCTCTATGCCTTAGACCCTGCTCTACTATTCGCACTAGCCAATATTAAACCTGCTTATCCCAACTCCCTGCTCCTTCCAACAGAAATTTGCTAATCCTGCACTGCCTTCACCTTACCCTTGACAAGCCATATACCCTGTCAGGAAATGAACTTTGTAACAACCAAGGTAGCTGCAAACTTTATTCTTTTGAGAGAAAGTGTGTATGTTATATGCACACCCTCCAGCTTTGCTGAAGGAACCTGAACAGATATTCACTAACTTTGGTTGGTCTCTGTACATTGACACTTCCAAAAGAAATCCAATTCCAAGATCCAAAGCTTTTTAAAAAATAATTTAATTATTTACCAAATCTATCTGTATGGAAACAAAATGGGGAAGGGATTTGTCACAATATGGAGCAAACTCTCTTCAAAATTCTTTCTGAATATCGCTCCCTGAAATCTTACTCATTCAGTAGTGAAAACTGCATTGTCTAAAAGCAACATCTAGAATTTATCTGGGATATCTAGAATTCGTAATAGAGATTCTGAGAAGCCTCAAGGGTAAGAACAAGCTCTGTCTTTAGGGAAACTCATTTTTACTTAGAGCTAATTTTTGACATTTTTTCCAATTTTATTGAGATATGATTGCCAAATAAAAATTGTATATTCAAGGTGCAGGACATGGCTTGATTCCATATGCATCATGTAACGATTACCACAAATTTCTATTGTTTCTAAGCCACCCCACCTGAGAAATTTTGCTACAGCAGTTCTAAAAGGCAGAGAGAGCATCTTATATTTTCTGTATTCTGATAATTTGACATCTGAAGTCTTGTTGAACCTGGAGGGTCTGCCCCTCCCAGAGTTAGCCAACTCCTAGAGACAGTATGCTTTTCAAATCATACTTGCCCACAGTGTGCTTTTCAAACCAACCAATTCAGAGTCCACACCTCAACCACCTCCTTTATCAGGCCTTCATACTACGGGACCCTATCCACTCACCCTAATCACCCAAGTACCAGGCAATCAGGGATATTCCCTGGACTCCAGCACCTGCTAAAATTATTCGAATTTTAGCCAATCAATTTAGAGGTTTATTTTGTTAAAGTTAAGAAAAGTGGCCAATGACACAGCCTCAGGAGGTCCAGCTTAATTTTATGCATTTTAGGGAGACAGAAGTTACAAGCAAAGACATAAATCAATGCATGTAAGCTATACATTGGTTCACGGGGCACGGTGGCTCAAGCCTGTAATCCCAGCACTTTGGGAGGCAGAGGTGGGTGGATCACAAGGTCAGGAGATCGAGACAATCCTGGCTAACACGGTGAAACCCCGTTTCTACTAAAAATACAAAAACTAGCTGGGCATGGTGGCAGGTGCCTGTAGTCCCAACTACTCGGGATGCTGAGGCAGGAGAATGCCTTGAACCCAGGAGACAGAGCTTGCAGTGAGCCGAGATCACACCATTGCACTCCAGCCTGGGCGACAGCGCGAGACTCCGTCTCAAAAAAAAAAAAAAAAGAAAGATATACATTGGTTCAGCCTGAAAAGCAGGACATCTCAAAGCAGGGGGAGGGGAGCTTCCAGGTCATAGGTGGATTCAGAGATGTCCTGGGTGGCATTTGTTTGAAGGAGTTAAGCTCTGCCTAAAGAGTTAAAGTCAGCCTAAGTTAATTTAAGGTAAGGTAAGGTAAGGTAAGGTGGGAGGGGGTGGGTGGGATTGTGGAAGGCAAGGTCCCTGTCGTGTAGATGAAGCCTCTAGTTTGCAGGCTTCAGAGAGAATAGATGTGAATCTCTCTTATTGGACCTTAACCCATTTCCTGTTTGCCCTGAGAATATTCTTGTCTCTAATCCTAATGTAACATATACATTTCTGTTGCATTAGGATTACAGACAATTTCTGTTTGCAAATGACTCCAAGAACAGTTTTTATATTTTATTTTCACATTGAAAGTCAGTCAGATTTGCATCAGCTTCAAAAAGCATGTTATATAAAATCATATGAGTACTGGCCATCTGCACTTTTTTTTTTTCTGAATGGGCAATGGGTTAAAAAGTGTCAGACTCTCCTGAAGAGCCCTAGTAAAGGAAGGAGATTCTCTACAGAATGTAAATTTCCCCATCAAGAGACAGCTTTGCAGGGCTATTTCAAAATATGTCAAAGAAATGTATTTCAGGATAAAATACTTTTATTTTCTTTGGGGCCCACTATCTATCATATGATGTTATACCAGATTCAGTTTGGAATTTGGCACAGTCTGTTTTCTCAGCCTTAAGATCGCTGTTTTAATGTTAATGCTGGTCAGTTGTGTCTAAACTCCAAAGGGAGGAAGATATAATAAGGGATCTGCAACACCTCCCACCTTCCCATCATTGCCTGATATAAGAATAGCTACTCCTGCTCTCTTTTGATTCCCATTTGCATGGAATACCTTTTCCCACCATTTTACCTTGAGTTTGTTTGAATCCTGCTGTGTTAGGTGAGTCCCTTGAAGACAGTGGATATTTGGATTGTGATCTTCAATCCATTCTCCCATTCTGTATCTTTTGAGTGGAGCATTTAGGCCATTTACATTCGATGTTAATATTACATTCTATGTTAATATTGAAATATGAAGTACTTTTCTTCATCATGTTAATTGTTATCTAGATATGTTTTCTCACTGTGTTATTGTTTTATAGGCCTGTGAGTTTTAAGTTTTTAAGAGGTTCTATTTTGATGTATATTGAGCTTTTGTTTCAAAGTTTAGAACTCCTTACAGCAGTTCTTGGAGAGCTGGTTTGGAAGTGACAAATTCCCTCAGCATTTGTTTGTCTGAAAATAACTTTATTTCTCCATTTACAAAACTTAGTTTTGCAGGATACAAAATTCTTGGCTGACAGTTGTTCTGTTTAAGGAGGTTGAAGATACAACCCCAGTCCCCTGAGGTTTCTGCTGAGAAGTCTGCTGTTAGTCTGATAGGTTTTCCTTTGTAATTTCACTGCTGCTTTTTTCTTACTGCTCTTAGAATTATTTCCTTCATGTTGACTCTAAATAGCCTGATGACTATATGCCTTAGTGAATGTGTAATGAATTTCCCAGGAGTTCTTTGAGCTTCTTGGATTTGCATATCTAGATTTCCAGGCAGGCGAGGGAAGTTTTCCTCAATTATTCCCTAAAACAGGTTTTCCATACTTACTATTTTCTCTTCTTCCCCAGGAACACCAATAATTCTTAGGTTGGGCCACTTTACATAATCCCATACTTCTTAGAGACTTTGTTCATTTCCTTTTATTATTTTTCTTTATTTTTGTCTGATTGGGTTAATTCAAAAGTCTTGTTTTTAAGCTCTGAAATTCTTTATTCTACATGTTCTAGTTTATTGTTAAAAGTTTCCACTGTAATTACAAAATTACAGTGGAAATTTTGTAATTCCCTCAGTGTGTCTTTCATTTCCAAAAGTTCCATTTGTTTCTTTCTTGATGATACCTATCTCTCTGGAAAATTTTTCATTCAAATCCTGAACTGCTTTTTAATTTCTTTAAGATGGTTTCCACCTTTCTCCAATATCTTCTTGAGTAGCTTAATAATTAATCTTCATATTTCTTATCTGGTATTTCAAAGATTTCATCTTGATTTGAGTCCATTGCTGGATAGCTAGTGTGATCTTTTAGGTGTGTTATAGCACCTTGTTTTGTCATATTACTGGAGTTATTTTTCTGGTTCCTTCTCATTTGGATAGACTACTTCTTCTCGTTATTCTTGAATTTATATTTGATATGACTGTGTTTCTCTTATTTGCTTGTTTGTTTTTAAATTTCTTTTTTCCCCTTAAGGATGAGACTTTAATTCTTATAGTTAATTATAGCCTAATTCAGTTCTTGGTGCTTTAGAGGGTGAAGACCCTTGGTTATAGAGAGTCTTTGTATGATGGTTTTCTTATATGCTAGTTGTAGTAGCAATGTGCTCAGTGTGTGAGCAAGTTCACTGTGTCCTATGGGGTTGGAATGGTAGAGGTCTCTTAAAGCTTATCCCATTCCCCCATAGTGTGGACTTATTTATTTATTAATTTTCCCCCAGTATTTTATTTACTAATTTGATAGTTCAGGCTTCAGGCCAGTAGGGGAGGTGTCCCTGGGTAGGAACCAGCTGTGGCTAAAGCAGGTGGGTGAATGATGTCCCAGGCTTGACAGAGGAGGCCAGAGGAGCTCTCAGTGAGTTACACTGGGGTCTTATTGTGGGAAGGGTTGGAGCCACCTCAGCCCTGCTGCCAGATCACCAGGAAAGTTACCCACCTCTCAGGCATGCTCCTGTCCCAGTGTTCCTGCTGTTCAGGAGCTGACTGACAGGACTTTTTTTCATGACCTTTTTTTCATCTGTAGGAATGTTGATGTTCCAAATAGAGAGGAATTGTGGCTCTGCCTCTCATGCAACCTTGAACCTAGAGGGTGCTCCTCCTGTGGGGATGTGTTCCAGGAAGACTGTCTATAGTTGCACCCACACTAAGCTCCCATGGGAGAAGCCCAACTGTGCCTATGGTGGTGGATAACATGGGAAAGACTTCCTTTTCTCCAAGACCCTTCACATGCGCCAGAGCTGTCTGACTGTTGGGATACAGTGAAGACCTTCCTTGCTGAGCCCAGCACTTCAACTGTGTGTCTACTGAAGGAAGCCTTCCATCTGGTGCTCAAGGCCTGCCTCCTGGATTCTTTTGTCCCACAGGGTGTTCCCTTGATGTGATGCAGTCCTCCTTCCCCTGCAAGTGGGAGTCCCTGGAAGTCCCTGGGAGCCAGGTCACTGTGAGTGTTCTTGCTCCTCTGGGTCTAGCTGCCCAGAGAAGTTGACACACTCGAGGCTGGTGTTGGGGAATGTCTGCAAGGGATCCAGTTATGTGACCTATGCTCAAGTTTCCCTGCAGTGGGTAGCAGCACCAGCTCTAATGGGAGTGGCAAGGTTGTGACACAGATTCTGTGAAATTCCTTTGTTATTGATAGCCTTAGTATGTTAGCTTTCTTGAATGCGGGTTATAGTAGTAATGAACTGGTCATGTGGACGGACTCAGGACCTCCTGTTCAGCCAGAGTGGTGCAGGCAGCAGTGATAGCTGAGATCCCATAGCGGTTTTCTCCTTCCTGGGTGCAATGTTAATCTACCAGGAGATACTGTCAAGGACTGTGTGGGTTGGCCTCCAGCTAGGAGGTGGCGCTTGCAAAAGAGCAGCAGCTGCGGTAGTAGCCCTGGGATTTTTGCTTGCCTGATGTTGCCCAGAGGGGGATACTCTGGTTTCTCCGGACATGGGCGGGGCCATGTCGCTCCCAGGAGACTCTGTCCTTTGCGTTGAGTTACCAGGGCGGGTGGCCGGGCAAAGCCAGGTAGGGGCTGGGTCGGGAGGGCCTGCACACTGGTCTCCGTGTGCAGAGAAAGAAGGAGCTTCTATGGGTATTGGGGGATGGGAGCGGGTCTCAGGCCACTAGGTTAATGTTTCAGAGGGCAGCGTTGCTGCCCCTGCTGCACAGAAGAGTCTGTGCAAGAAGTAGGGAGTAGCAGGCGGTGGTAAGCTCCACAGTTCCTACCCACTTGACAAGGCAGATCCACTCCCACGGTGTTCCACTGGAAGCAGCGAGCTGAGTTCCTGTCAGCCTGTAATCAGAACTCGCGGCTGCCGGGAGTCATAAGCTTTCCCCGCAGAGATTGCAGTCCAGGCGTTCAGGCCACGCCCCTCCCTGTCCGCTGCAAAGCCGGCGTGTTCCCGTGGCTCCTGCACTTGCAGTTTCTGCACCCACGACTTCTGCACCTACGGCTCCTGCACTTGCAGCCCGCTTTTCACCCTCCCCGCCCCGGCCCTGGCCAAGGAAGTTCGTCCCCACCGAGGTTGTACTGTGAACCCCGTTGGGAGATTCTTTCAAACTGCAACCAGCGCCTGAACTTTGTAGCTGGCCGCAAGGCCTCCTGTGAGGAACAGTAAGGAATGGCTGCACTTAATCTACGCTGGGATCTGGAAGTGCATGCAAGGGTCTCCCCCTAAAAGTATGGAATAGTTTATAGTCCATAACCATCCCCAAGTCGGTTCCTGCGTTAGTTCGGGTTAGGGCTTCCCCGCCAGCACCCCCACCTTGTGTCCTGGACTTTCAGGATCCCTAGTGGGGATGTGTATCCCAGAGGCAAATTCACTCTGTCACACTCAGGGGACTCGCAGCCCTTCGACTGACTCAGTGTAGGCTGCAGTCTCCTGCTTCCTTCAAAACATCAATAGATTCCTATGGTTTTCCTGTTCAGTTATTGCGTTGCTTCTCGAAAAATAGTTCACAACGTGAATCTGTACACACTATTTTGTCCTTCCAAGTGGAAGAGGTATGCTAGCAGTTCCTCTAATCCACCATTTTGGAAAAGCATTCCTAATTTTTCAAGGATAGAAACATTTTTATGGCCTGGTCATCCTAAATAGCACAAAACGTCTTTGTCCATTGCAAACTATAACATACTCAATATTTCAACTTAAATATTTTCAATATGACTTTCACTTCATTGTTTTCAACATCAAACCACGAGTGTTCATTAGTAGGTTCCCAAGTTAGACAATCCAATAGAAAAATGGACGAACGTCTTGAAGGGTCATATCACAAATAAGGATATCTAAATGGCCAATAAACATCTGAAAAGGTGCTCAGCTTCATTAGTCATCCATGCAACACAAATCAAACCCCATATGTCATCACTATATTCTCCCTAGAATATCTTTTTAAAGGCATAAAATACTAGATGTGGACAAGAATGTAAAGCAACAAGAATGCTCACACATTGTGGATGAGAGTATAAATTGGTACAACCAATTTGGAAAACAATCAGATGCTATGTATTTACTAAAACTGAATGTATGCATAGCCTGTGCCCTAGGAATTTCTCTCCTAGGTATATAACCCCCACAGAAATCCCTGCACCACAACCCTATTTATAAAAGTGAAAACTGGAAACTACAAATAAGACCATCTTCACTTACAATATTCAAATAAATTGTAATATCTTTCCCAATGTATTACAGTATGCCATTGAGAAGGATAAACTACAATTACATGAAACAGATTAATAAACTTCACAAAAGTAATGTAGTGGGGAAGACGCCAGACACAAAGGAATACCTACAATTCCATTTATATAAAGTTCAAAAATAGATGTCAGCGCCTTCCTATTAAAAGTCAGGCTAGGAATTATTTTGTGTGGAGTAGTGACTGGTAGTGCCTGGGATGTTGTAACATTCTTTTGTGGGGGCAGGATGCTGGTTACACAGGTGTGTTAAATTTGTGCAGTTCATGAGGATGTTTACTCATGATTTGTACATTTTTTAATTGTATGTTATACTTCAAAAAGTTCTTAAGAGACTTTTAAGAAGCGACAAATTAATAAAAAGAAAAATACTCAATACAAGGAATTAGAGTATTTCTGTAAGAGAGACAATAAAGAGAAATACAGCAGACACAGGAACACTGATAGGCTAAAGCCATTGTTTTAATCGAATGGTGCAACTGAGAGGGATCTGGGTTCCCAGAGGAAATCAGCAACAGCTTTCAGGTACTCACAACTATTTCCCAGTCAGTATAGGTAAATATTTTGGGTTTACACAGCACAAATGTATAGTATCACACAAAATACGATATTGTTCGTTTTTTAGACATTTTGGCCGGCAAGTACCTTGCAGTCGCCAACATGAAGCAAAGATTTTTTGTATGTAGACATTGGGTCCACTTCTACCTGCCAAGAGAAACAAAGGTTAATGCACAGTTAGTGTCCTGAAGTGTCATGTTGTCATGGATAAAATTAGACCTCAGACCATAGTTTTCACTTTTTAATAATGAATTAGACGCGATCAAAGATACTCAAGACATTTTATAGCTGGATGCCCCTTTTCAGTTGCTCTTACCTTGTTTTCCAGGGGCCCTATTATAAGCCATTATATGAATCCACAATTAGTTACATGAATTACTGATCAACTGTGTGGAGTTAACAGGACCCAGCATATTCAGCTTGAGACTATTGGCTTCAGAAAGAATATTCAGACATCGAAGTCATCCCAGGAGCCTGCAGAGGTCCCATACCAGGAGGCATGCAGGGTCTGGAATAGCTACCTGAGGCAGTTTGTGATTATCAAAGTGTCAGCATAAAGAAAGAAGGATCACTGAAGTGGAATTTTAGAAGCCTGCACTTCTACCCCTGTATTCCCCAAAAACATTCTGCATGACTTTTTGTCAAGTGCTTAATCACAAGGTACTTAAGAAGTACCCATTCTCCCATGGGTACTTTGCACCCATGGGAGAATGAGTGTGAAATGGTTTGAAATACCTGAGACAAATATGGAAATTTATTGCTAGTAATTTTTCTACACCTTAAGAACTGGGAGCCTCTGGAAACCAGAGGGTGGAGGAGGGGTAATAGGAAGGCAGTTTAAGAGGGTAAGGGTGGCCCTGAGTTGCCCCTACTGTATCACCTGCTCTTGCATGCTAAGTCTTATCAGTTTCTCCACCCAGGTGCCCCCATGAGTCCATGGATTGAACCTTTGTGGTGTGAAAATAATCAATGTGGTATGGTCAAGGGCCGTTAGCAGGCAAACTTGCCCACCATGTGCTCCCTAGACCTCAGGCACTTTTCTGGGGACAAAGGAGTCCAGTAGAGACACACTGCAAAGTGTCGGAGGTCCCACCATGCAGGACATCAGCCATCATCTCAACATGGTCCTCATTCGTATCTGTCTTCGTTTTATTTATTTTTTTTAATTTTTATTTTTGAGATGAAGTTTCACGCTTGTTGCCCAGGCTGGAGTGCAATGGCACCATCTCAGCTCACTGCAATCTCCGCCTCCTGGGTTCAAGTGATCCTCTTTTCTCAGCTTCCCGAGTAGCTGGGACAGGCATGCGCCACCATGCCCGGCTAATTTTGTATTTTTAGTAGAGACGGGTTTTCACCATGTTGGCTAGACTGATCTCGAACTCCTGACCTCAGGTGATCCACTCGACTCAGCCTCCCAAAGTGCTTAGATTGCAGGCGTGAGCCACCGCGCCCAGCCTCATATCTGTCTTTTAAACACTTCACACTTGGTCCTTGAGTGATACGCTTTATATATGAAGGTTTGAGGCAAAGGGTAGGGGCTCTCTGCTGACCCCAGAAAACCACAAGCAAAACAGTTTTGAGAACCTCCACTTTAGTGACTGAAGTAGACTCTTCTCATTATCACCAAGTTGCTGGCTTCTGTCCACAGAATGTAAATTCTGACCTCTCAAACTGATGTTTCATAGGACCTCATCATGCTATAAGTTAGTGTAATACATCTTAACCAGCTGTGTCTGTGGATTCTGCTCAGCATAAAATTTACCTTGGCTTCTAAATGAGTGAAAAATAACATGGGTGGCTGACTGTAGAAGGCAAGTTCTAAGAGCCCTCAAAGAACAGTCTCCTTCTCATCCCCAAGTCCTCGCTATTCTTTGAAAGTCTCATCTTTTTGCTCTGCCCTACTTCTGCCAGTACCAACAGTCCAGCCTTCCCCTCAAACTTCACCAGCTCCTCAAACCAAAATCCATAACCAGTTTCTTTTCTGAAGAGAGCTACCTCCTGTTCTGTGTCCTTTGGATCTTTTCTCCATTCTCTGGACCAGCCCAGCATGTCCATCTCTGCTCACTTTCCTCCCTGTTGCAGCTTCCTTTGTCCAAGTCCTGCCTTTTTCTCACTCTTGTAGAACCTCACACCTTTTTTCCCTTTACTATTCCTAATTCTACAAGGTGGGGACTCCATTTTACCTGGTGGAACATAGAAGAGTAAGTTAAGGACCACGAGGGCCAAGAGGACGCTCCTTGTGGCCATACCAATCAGCAAAGAAGCAGCTGTGACTCATCGGAGAGTCACTCTCTCCGCAGCTTTGAAGAGACGGGGAGCTGCATGGCTAGTGAACCTTTTGGAACAAGAACATCTGCCTGCTCCACTGAGCAATCCAATCAGCAAAATGTCTGTTTGAACATGACATCCCTTCATTAAAGCACACTTCCTGGGTGCCACATGCATGCTAGCAACTGCATGAACACTGTGTAGGCAGCCCTATTCTAGGCCCTGGTAGGGTGCTGTGTAGGTGTCTGTGTATCTTCATTGTACATCCACTAAAATGCCTATAGTGTGCAGAGAACCATAAGGCTGCCTTACATAGTTGACAAAGAGTTTGTTTTTTTTTTCAACCTTACACACACACGAAGTCCAGGTAGGCATGATTCTCTCCATTTTAAAAACAAAAATAAAGAGTCTCAGGTAGAAGAAATGACTTTCTCAAGCTCACATAGATCCTAAATGGTAGCAACATGATTTATAAGCAGGCTTCCCTGACTCCTATATACAGAAGTACTAAAGTATGGCCTTGCCCAGTTCTGGTATAGCTGTAATGTCTTTAGGAAAATAAGAGCTCCTCAAAAACAGCATGGAAAAAGCAAGTCCCCATAACACCCGCAACATGACCCAGGGAAAAACACTGAGTCTATGGCTCCCCATTGAGCATATGCTGTGTGCCGGGTAATGGGGGGGCATACAAAGAATTTATGACAAAAGTCTTGCTTGGAGGGACTAAAGTCGACAGTGTTTGACAGTTTTTGAAGTGTTTTAAGTTTTTCAGCAACTTTATCTGATACTGTATGAAGAACACAAAACCCAGAATCAGAAAGTCTTTCTGGTCTGGACTCTGCATGCAGTAGCTTGACAAGCTTTTAATAAAGCACGTACTTTACCTCACTGACCATCAGTTTTCTCACTTGGAAAGAAGGTTGTACACCTGGCCAGGTGCAGTTGCTCATGCCTATAATTCTAACGTTTTGGGAGGCTGAGGAAGGTGGATTGCTTGAGCTCAGCAGCTCAAGACCAGCCTGGGCAACATGGCAAAACCCCATCTCTACAAAAAATGCAAAAATTAGCCAGGCATGATAGTGAGCGCCTGTACTCCTAGCTACTCAGGAGGCTGAGGTGGGAGAATCACCTGAACCCAGGAGATCAAGGCTGCAGTGAGCCATGATTGCACCACTGCACTCCAGCCTGGGTGACACAGTGAGACTCTGTCTTAAACAACAACAACAACAAAAAATAGGTTGTACTCCATCATTCCCACCTATCAGGAAGGCTTGTCGCAAGGCCAAATGAAGTAACTCTTAAGGCCAGTCCTTTATAGAACATATAGAACATATATTTAAGGAACTATTAGACTCATGTAACAGAAGAAGACATTTAAAACTATAGATATTGGCCAGGTGTGGTGGCATGTGCCTGTAATCGCAGCACTTTGGGAGGCCGAGATGAGAAGATCGCTTGAGGCCAGGCATTCAAGATCATCATGGGCAACATAGTGAGACCCCTTTCTCTATTTAAAGAAATAAAACTAGACATGTTGCTTCTCCAGCTAGAGAGTGAAATAGCCAGGACTAGGAACACATGCTTCCCTCTCTCTGTCCCTGTTTTATTCACAAGAATGCATCAAATGTATGCCACTTCAATGGACTCTTGTTTTCCAACTTCAGGATGTTTGCGATGTGGTTGAGATTGCACATCTGTGAAAGACTCATAAAGAACTGCAGAGCAGAAAATCAGTAAATAGAGAAAGAATAGAGGACCTGAGTTTTGAGGAGCACAAAGAGAAAAGATTAAGCAAGCACAAATGCATTAAGGGACTCTCCTGAGACCCACTTTCCAACCTGCAGCATTAGGCACAGCCTGATTTGCACTCTCTCAGCTGCCATGGTCCTGATCTTCTGTTCTCCAAGAAACTCCCTCTGTCTCCATCTCAACCCTTCCCACTGTGCCGTCCAGAACCACAGTTCTACTATAAACATACCTTCTACTTTATGTCTTCCCCAAGAACACTCTTCCATCTCTGTGTCTTGGCAAAATGCTAGGTCCTTCTCTAAGGACACTGCTTCCTGGCAGCCTTGGTGACTGGAAGCTGTTCATTGACCCAGGCTCCACACACCAGAGGACAAGTAAGCCCCACTTCACAATCTCCTGAACGATACCTGAGATGATCCTGACACCGCCTTTCCCTCACCCTGTCCACATTGAATTGCTCGTCAAACGTTCCCAGTTCTGCCTTCAGCATGCGTTTCACACTCGCCCATTTCCATCTCCACTGCTGCCACTGCGTCCATGCCATCACCTCTGTCACCAAACTCAGTAAATGGCCTCTTAAATGGCTCCCATATCATTTTTAGATATTTACCATTTATTCTCCACTTGGTAACCAAAATGACCTTTTATAAAACTGAAATTGATTTATGCATTTGCCCTGTGGAAAATCCTTCAGGATGGCTTCCCCCTGGCCCCACTCTTCACAGGTCAGGACTATTACAATTCAAGGTGAGTTTTAGGTAGGGACATAGCCAAACCATATCAGCATCCTCTCCAAGTATTTGCTTCTTAAGATGATGTTCTTGTTCTGTATCACATCACAATCTTCCTGGATTGCTTTGTACCTTTCAGGCACATTGTCAGAGTCTTTTCCACAATTCTACCTTCCCTTTTCTTGCCATAAATGCTGATGTGAGGTTTGCTCCTCAATCTTATTTTCTTCTTACTCTTCTGAATCTCTCTTGTTGAATTCATTCATTTTTATGACTCTTTGACTTTTGATTCTAAAATTTATATATGCAATCTCAGTTCCTCTTTTAAACTTCCCAACTGTCTACTTGGCTGCTCCACCTAGACATCCTACAGGAAGCTCAAACTCAACCTATCCAAAACATTACTAATTTTTTTCTCATCCTTCCTCCCAAAACCTCTGGTGTTTCCAGTGAACTTCACCACTGAACCCACAAACTTAAATCAGAAACCTGGAAATTATCCTAACTACCTTTCTCTTTCTAAATTCCACAGATATTAAAAATCAAGTATTTATTTATTTTATTTCTTATTGCTCTTGAGATGAATATTCTCCTTTTTACACTACTGCCAATACTCTTACTTTACTTCTCACTTGATCTTGGAGTCATAAAGCCTTGTAATGGGTCTCCATGACTTTGATTTTACAACACCCTAAACCCATATTAAGACAAGTGTGGACTTGATTCCCCCAGCTTAAACTCCTAAGCACAGCATTAAAATACCCTTAGTGACATTATGCTAAGTGAAATAAGTCAAGCACAGAAAGACAAATACCGCATAATCTTACTTATATGTGGAATCTAGAAAAGTCAAACTCAGAAGCAGGGAGAAGAATGGTGGTTACCAGAGGCTAGGGCCAGGAGTGCAGAGAGGGGAGATATTGGTCAAAGGGTACAAAGTTTCATTTTGTCAAGACGCCTGAGTAAAGACATGGGACACTCTCCCTCTCCAGAAAAAAAGAACCAAAATTGTGAATTACACCTAGGATAGAACATCTATGAGAAAACTCCAGAGTTAAACAGAGAAGTTACAGGAAACACTGGAGCCATAGAAGGAGCAGGATGTGGGTTGGCTAGGAGCCTGGAATGGCTCCCATTTGCTGGGAAAAGGTAAATGAGAGCCTCTCGGGGGTTCACATCTCCATCTCAGACTACTGTAACCCTAGCAGCAGGAGGGCTTTTATCCCACGTGGGCCCTGAGATTAGCGTGGGTGGTGATCAGGATACCTCTCAAGGGCATTGCTCCACACAGGGAAGTCATGTTGAGTTATACACATCTCCTGAGATCTAAGCGGCTGCAGCACAGTGCTAGTGCAAGCGCCCAGCCTCCACCAGAATGAATCCTGTCCTGGGAACCAAGAGGCCCCACATCTCCACAGAGGAGAACCCCCACTGATATCCCCTGACGTCCACCCAGATGGCTGCAGTGGCTCGGCACTGGCTGAACCCAGTGATGCTACAGAGTCCTCAGCACTTTAGCCCAAGTGGAGTACTACTCCCTGGGGAAAGGATGGTGCAGTGCACCCAGGAGACTCTCGCAGGGACAAAGGGAGCCCTACTGGGAGCTTTCCAGAGCCTGACAGCTCCCGTCTGGGACTGTAAGAAGCAACCCTGCCCCCACCAGTAGAATGACATCTATGCTTGGGCTCACCCCCTAGGCCACTGCAGCAGCTGCTGGTCCCGCCAGGAGTCAAAACAAGTTGGTCTGAGAGCTGCCTCTCTGGATCTGTGAATAACACCCTGCCCTCACTAGCAGTACAGCCCCTGTGCTCCAGCCCATACACAGAAGGTGGGGTCTCTTCCTTTACTCCCATGCACAACACTACAGCTGCTGCTGCTGCTACTGGCAGCCAATGCGAGTGAATCCAGGAGCTGCTTGTCTGGGTCTGTGAATAGCGACCACTCCCTGACCAGCAGCAAGGCCTTTGTGCTTGAGCTCACATGCAGAAGGCAGGATCCCTCCGCTGCCCTGAACAACACTGCAGCCACGAGCTGAAGCAAGCACTACTCAGAGCCTGAGAATTTTCTGCTTAGGGCTGTGATCACCAACCTCATCCCTATCAGAAGCACATCCTCTGTGCTTTCGTTTGTGTTCTGAATACAGGCTCCCTCCCCATATACACCATGGCAGCTACTGCTACTGCTGGAAATGAAGTGTGAACTCCCAGAGCCTGAGAGCTCCTTGCAAGGGACAGTTGAGAGCAACCTTACCCATACCAGCAGCAGGATTGCTGTGCTCTAGCACAACCTCTGAGGTCAGGCTCTCCACTCACCACCACAGATCGCTCAGCCCCACCTACTACAGCCTACACTCCTGCACGCCACCAAAGCCTTGACGTCATGCCCCCAGATACTGAGCACCCCATCTGAAGACTAGGAATTACCCGATCCATTCCACCATCTCTGGTCCTTGTACACTCCTCCTAGGGACCTGAAGATGGGCCCACCTAGCCTGCTGCCAACACCACCAACCACAGCCACCCACATGTGTTGCCTAGGAGCCTAGAGACTAGCCTGCCAAGCCCATCATAGCCACCACTAACATTAGGAAGTGCACCTGGGAGCCTGAGTGTTATCCTGCACCACTGCTACCCTCACTCACACTATTCATGCTGCCCAGGGACCTGAGAACCTACCCACCCATCCAGCCCTCCACTGCCACTGCCAGTACCAAGAAATCTGCCTGGGATTGGCCCACCTGGACCTGCTAACACTGGTGCCCACATACACCATCCAGTGACCCAAGGTCACGTATGCATTGTCTGTCATTATCACTACAAGGGCTTGAGGAGTGGCCAACCTGGCATCCCTAACCCCAGCAAAGCCTCACCATAGCTTCCATTAGCAACTGCAGCCAAGCCACTGAGGAAATTACAGATACCACTGATGCTATTCACAGCCAAAGAGATTCATGGGATGGGGAGACAGGTCCTTGGGATTTTACTGTTGTCTAGGAAGCAGAATCTTTTCCAACTTTATTTCGTGTAAAGTGTTCATTACAGCATGAATACAAGATGTATTCAATCCACAAATACAACAGCCCACAGGCATTCAGGAGGTTGTACATCACAAAAGAGAAAAATCAAGACTAACAGCATAATGAACTGTTGTTTGGGGGAATTTGACCATCTGATTCTAAAATCTGTATGGAAATGAAAAGAACCAAAAATAGCCAAGACACTCACACACACAAAAAAGATAAGTGGGAAGATTTGGCTCTGTTGGAGACAGACTCATAGATAGATAGATAGATAGATAGATAGATAGATAGATAGATAGATAGATAGATGATAGATAGATCTTATTTAAAAGTTTATTAACTTATTATGAAGCTATAGCAGTAAGACAGCATGGCATTAGTGCAAGTATAGACAAATAGAACAATAGAACAGATTAAGGTTCCCAGCATCAGACTCACGCATATGTGGAGCCTGATTTAAAACAAAGGTGGCACAGCTAGACAGTAGAGAAACAACAATCTTTTCAATAATTTTTGGTCTTGAAACAATTGGTTTTCCATAGGGGAAAAGAAAACTAAATAGGACCCCTAATTTATACCATACACAGAAATCATCACAGGTGGTTATAGAGCTAAATGAGAAAGAAAAATAATAAAGAAAAAAGAAAGATAATATAGGAAATAGTTTTATGACCTGGGAGTAGGGAAAGATTAGTAAGCAAGAACCAGAAAATTAAGAATATGTGTGCTTACTGTATTGGCTGGGTGGGGTGGCTCATGCCTGTAATCCCAGCACTTTGGAAGGCTGAGGCAAGTGGATCCCCTGAGGTCAGGAGTTCCAGACCAGCCTGGCCAACGTGGCAAAACCCCATCTCTACTAAAAATACAAAAATTAGCCAGGTGTGGTGGTGGGCACCTGTAGTCCCAGCTACTTCGGAGGCTGAGGCAGGAGAATCGTTCGAACCCAGGAGATGGAGGTTGCAGTAAGCCGAGTTTGGGCCATTGCACTCCAGCCTGGGTGATGAGCAAGACTGTCTCAAAAAACAATAATAATAATAATATTGAGTACCTACTGTATGGCAGTGTGCGTGCAAAGCATTTTATAAGCTGTATCTCATTTCATCCTGAAAAAAAACCACGCATAACCTTCCAATGCACTTTTTGAGGAGTTCTTGAGGCTGAGATGCTAAATAATGCATCTGAGGGTCTAGGCCTGCAAAGCAGAGTGTACCCAGGAATACCATGCTCCACTGACACACCACACACAGCCCTGTGGTTGTTGGCTGCCTGCGTAAAAGCCTGCCTTAAGGGTCAGAACAAAATCAAAGTTAGTGTCATCTTCACCCTCAGACATCCCTCATCACCCCAAGAGAGACAGGCCTAAGGGCCCTTCTCCAGGGCTGAGTCTCTGTCACTCCAGAGAAGCCCTGTCTGGCTCCACTCTGGACACTGTGCATCCAACCTTGAACACAGCACTGAACCGACTCTTCTAAGGGAGAGTTTCAACTCCTCAACTCCAAAAAAGAAATCTCTCCTAGAACCTTCAGAGTCCCCTCATCCTAGCCAACGTTTCATACCAGCCATTTGGAGAACAAAGTCCATCAGTGAACTTTTCCAGGACTTTTTTTTTTTTTTTTTTTTGCAGTATCTGCCTTCAGCCAGGTAAATAAGTCAGCTGCTAGACAAGGAAGCTGTCCCTTCTCCACTAGTTCTGAGCCCCTACCTTCTCTTGGTCAGGCCACTGGTTGACAATTTGAGAGACTCCGTGTGTCGGAACTGTCTTTCCAGGCTTAAATTCAGCCTGTGTTTCATAACACCCTTTCTCTGCGCTCCTGAGCTTTCAGTGGTGCTCCAGAGGAAAGGAGAGACAGAGCAGACATTTTCACTGCCATGTTTATATCAAAGTACATTTGAAGGCAGAGGGAAAGCGCTCAGGCCTAGGCATGGGGATCCTGGTCTTTTCTCCTATTCTGCTATCAGGAAACGTGACAGCCTTAGCTGAGTCTCTGGTTTTCCCGCGGTTTGTAGAAAAGGAGGTAGCACTGAAAGGCCAGGGCCTTTTCTTCCTCGAATTCTGCAGAACCCTGTGATCTCCTCAGTCTGCCCCTCCAGGAAGAGTGAGGCCAGGGTCCAGCCCCACCCATCGCAGCCCAGCCCAGCTCTATAAAGGAGCCTCCCAGGCAGACACCACTGGGAGTTCCAACTCTGTGCCCTCTTCGGCCATGAACCTCTGTCTTTCTGCATTACTCTTTTTCCTGGTGATCTTACTGCCTTCAGGTAAGACAGTGGGCGTGAGTCTGAACATAAAAGTGGGTGTTCCCAAAGATTGAGATGCTTAAAAAACCCTCTAACTATAAGCCCAGCAACAGGACACCAATATCAAATGGGCCACCATGTTAGGGGCATGGTGAGCGGACCCCAGCTCCTGCCCTGCTCTGCTGTTGCTGCAGCTGGAAGATCTGCCAGTGCACCGGGGACGGGGGTGGATGTCATTGTGCACACAGATCGTGCAGCCACCCAGATTCCTATCTCCCCTCCAATGCCTCTGGCTACCCTGAGCTTTATCTGCCTTGCTGAGTTGTGATAAGAGGTGAGGTAAATCACAACTAACAAGCCATCAACCAGGAGGTGATGGCAAGCCTAGGATTTCTCCCAGCCTCATTAAGATTGATTTTTCTTTTCTGTGGTCTCTCCCCGCTTCAGGAAAAGGTATGTTTGGGAATGATGGAGTCAAAGTTCGCACCTGCACTAGCCAGAAAGCCGTATGTTTCTTCGGGTGTCCGCCAGGATACAGGTGGATTGCGTTCTGCCACAATATTCTGTCTTGCTGTAAAAATATGACACGTTTTCAACCCCCGCAAGCCAAAGATCCATGGGTTCATTAAAAGGATATGTGAATGGCTCAAAGTACTACACTCCTAATCTGTGTGTCAGGATCTTAGAGCTCGTAAGTGAGCCATGGGCAGAAATGAGGACCACATTCTGACAATTTACTGGCAAAATTCCAGAAACATTTTGTAAAGGCAGCACTGCCATGAAATGCATCCCCTGTTATTTTTCCTACCCTCCCATCTCCAATCACTCATTCCTCTTTCAAATTCAAATTCAGGCCAGGCGCAGTGGCTCACGCCTGCCCGCCTGTAATCCCAACACTTTGGGAGGCTAAGGTGAGCAGATCACTTGAGGTCAGGAGTTTGTGACCAGCCTGGCCAACATGGTGAAACCTCATCTCTACTAAAAATACAAAAATCTTCCGGGTGTGGTGGGTGCATGTAATCCTAGCTACTCAGGAGGCTGAGGCAGGAGAATTGCTTGAACCCGGGAGACGGAGGTTGCATTGAAAAGAGATCACGACACTGCACTCCAGCCTGGACAACAGAGTGAGATTCCGTCTCAAAAAATAATAATAAAAATTCAAATTCTATTGATTAATACAAGTTCACAGGCCCAAGCAATGATATATTCTGGCCATAGAAACAAAAGCTAACCACACACCAGTCACACACTTGAGTGGTTTACATCTATTAGGGAAATTACTCCACACAATAAAATCTACAATTTCTCCCATTTGGCAGATGAAGAATATTTTCCAAGGTCACACGACAAGAGTTAGTCCCAGGTTTAAATCCACAGAGTCTGCACGCAGTGTCTTGAGTGTAAAGTTGCACCACCTCTCCATTAGTAAGCATGGGAATCAAGCTAGATTGTGGTTCCAGTGAGGAGGCAAGAATCCAACTAGACCCCCCGAATGGCAAGACCCTCAATGCTCATCCTGTGGTTTAAAGCCATCATGCTTCTGGTTGCCAAGTTGCTTTCATGGCTCTGTACTCAGTGGCTTTCACGAGTCCCGATCGGTTTCACCCTAAAATCCCACACACCGAACATGCTACTTTCACCAGTGCGGTGACACACTGGACCCTACACCCATTCCAAACCTGCAGCTGTCTGAAGGCAGCACTGTCCAAGAGCACGTCCTCACCATCCACTCCAGGGTTCCCACCTGGAGGCAGAGGCCTCGGGTCTGCATTGAGACCCTCCTCATTCTCTACTAAGAAAACAGAAGGGCAGCTGAGTTTTGGATCTCCCTTCTCCACAAACATGCCTAGCAGGCACACTCTGAACCTCTGCACCAAACGCTAAGCAGGGGTGAGCCGACTGCTCAGAGCCCAGCCTCAACATCGATCACCCAAATTCCAGCAAAGAAGAAAAATCAGAGATCATCATGGTCCATGAGGCGAGCCTCCGAGGGTATCATGCTTCAGCTGATCCCTTCGGGTCTGTGAGTGTGTCTACAGTGGTCCTGTGGCATCAGACCACCTGCACGTGCTCATTTCAAACCACCCCCTTATCAAAAAAAAAAAAAAAAACAGGGAAGGACATTGCAAAAGTTCACAAAAGAATATCAATGCAATGAAATTAACATAAAAATAGAAAATAAAAGAGAAAACTGGGCGAAGGGAAAAAGCAGATATTCTTTCACCAGATGTCAAAAGGATCTAATGCTCAAAAAAGCCAAAAACTCCAACCCTTTTCTTGCAGTTTCTAAGGCCATGGTCACTCCAGCCTGGTGGAGATGCTGCTCTAAGTTTGACAGTGGGGTGCAGAAAAGACACAACTCTCTCCAGCAGCATTCAGAGAGGACTGAAACGTTTACAATTACTTTTGCTGAAAACCCACACAAGAAACAAGAATACTAAATTATCACACACAAACAGCATAATGTATTGACCCTGTAGCCCACTGGGTGTGGACTTTGAGTCAATGGGCAGTGTCTCTGAGGGGGCCACAGGTGTCAATCTCACTCTCCAAGTCCCAGGGCACCCATGAGGAGGGTCCAACATTTAGGCTTAGAGACCTATATCCCCAGAAATTTTACTGGGGTGAATGACAGAATCACATGGGTGCCATTGAGATATCAGTTCGTCCTGGTGCAGCAAACTGTTTCAGGGCCATGACTGGACAGAACAGCCCTGCAGAGCCCCCTTGGTTTATGGGCACGTCTCACATCTATTCTGTGGGGGTAAGATGTATTCCCAGTACACTCTCTGTATGCTTAAGACATCCAGAGTTAATGTCTGTTACTTGAAACCAAGAAATCTGGCCAGGTGCGGTGGCTCATGCCTGTAATCCCAGCACTTAGGGAAGCCGAGGTGGGAAGATCATCTGAGGTCAGGAGTTTGATACTAGCCTGGCCAACATGGTGAAACTTCATCTCTACAAAAATACAAAAACTAGCTGGGCTGGTCTCGAACTCTTGACCTCAGGTGATCCATCCACCTCGACCTTCCAAAGTGCTGGGATTACAGGTAGGCCCACCGCAACTGGCCAAATCACATATATTCAAAAGTACTCAGCTGTCAAATAATAATCACTGAGGACTCCCCATCCTGTGTCTGTCAAGTCACATTAAAGGGTTCAGATCTGGAGCCACGGCACTTTTCCAAAAGCCAGCATCTCTGCCTTTCAAGATCCACGTATGCAGAAGCTCAGTTTTGTTCAACAAACGTCAGAGGCCTCTTACCACCCAGTTCCTGATTTTGCATCTCAAGAACTCCAAAAACCATGCTGGCAACAACCATTTTTAGTGGAATGAGCAAGTGCGAGGAGAGGAGTGAAAAGGAGAGGGCGCTGTTGTATTATTGCCTCTGTGGAGCCCTTCTAGAAACCAGTTCAAGTTCTCCCTCTGGTCATTGGTCTGGAAGTGAGGGGACCTGAGAAGAGCAATCAACTTCTGCACAACAGAACCAGGTCATGTTGTGTCCCCCGAGATCATTATGATGTCCACCATCACTGAGATGGTGTCAAACCCTAAGAAAGGAAGGATTCTGTTAGCAAGACTAGCTGTCCCTACCATTGGATGTTCAGAGATCCCGAATAAGAGCAGAGGTCTCATCAGTTTCCTGAAATTGGCCTTTGGCAGGGAGCACATGTCTCCCATCTCCACGATAACCACCCACTGTGCTGGGCTCATGCCCAGACATCCCAGCAGACGGGACTGAGCATGGCATGGCTGGTGGGTCACAGGCAGACCCTGAGGTTCAGGCCTGGCCTGTTGGAAAGTACGGTCAGCCACAGCGGTATAGAAGCTAAATTCCCTGCCTTCTTTCCCCCGACCATCGAGCAATAGTGAGCGCCACCTGTCGGATCCAGGTGGTGTGTTATCCCCACAAAATCTAGGTGGAAGCCTCTGCTGCTCAGGCCTTCTCTGCTAGCACCAGCAGAGAGCTTCTGACCCGATCAGGCAGGAAAGCCTGGAGTCAACCTGTTGGGACAATAGTGCCTTCCTTATCTGCTGGTGCTTTGGTTTGGGGACACGGACAGCTTTTTTCTCAAATTATGAGACATCCCAGCTCTTCTTAGCCCACTCATCTGCTTCTGAGGACAAAAGCAATTCCATCGCACAGAGTTGATGGGAGTAGCAGTTCCTTAAGCTCCCTCCGAAAGATACCTGAGTGCTTCATATTGCAGCATATTTCACAAGCCATGCCAACCCTCACAGTTAGGGGTTTAAGCAGCCAATGCCAATGGCCACATGCTGAAGGGACAATGACAGTATTCTAGACCTCAGTTACGGCTTCTTCTTTTTTTTTCTTTTTTGAGATGGAGTCTCGCTCTGTTGCCAGGCTGCAGTGCAGTGGTGCGATCTTGGCTCACTGCAACCTCCACCTCCCAGGTTCAAGCAATTTTCCTGCCTCAGCCTCCTGAGTAGCTGGGACTATGGGCAAGAGCTACCAGGCCCAACTAATTTTTTTGTATTTTTAGTAGAGAAGGGGTTTCACTGTGTTGGCCAGGCTGGTCTTGAGCCCCTGACCTCAGGTGATCCACTGGCCTCAACCTCCCAAAGTGCTGGGATTACAGGCATGAGCCACCGCGCCCAGCCTACGTCATGGCTTCTTAACTCAGGCTGGAGCCAGGACGAGGGTGCAATACAGGAGCAACTGACTGTGGGCATGAGGTGTTCAGATGGATTCCTCGCCCTGATTCCTGAGGTTGTATGTGAGGAAGTCTTCCAATCTTATTCTCTAAAATTGGAGCAAATTGGCCGGGCGCGGTGGCTCACGCCTGTAATCCCAGCACTTTGGGAGGCCGAGGTGGGCGGATCACGAGGTCAGGAAATCGAGACCATCCTGGCTAACACGGTGAAACCCCATCTCTACTAAAAATACAAAAAATTAGCCAGGTGTGGTGGTGGGCACCTGTAGTCCCAGCTATTCCGGAGGCTGAGACAGAGAATGGCGGAGCTCGCAGTGAGCCGAGATCACACCACTGCATTCCATCCAGCCTGGGCGACAGAGTGAGACTCTGTCTCAATAAAAAAAAAAAAAAAAAAAAAATGGAGGAAATTGGCTGGGTGCAGTGGTTCATGCCTGTAATCCCAGCACTTTGGGAGGCCAAGGCGGGCAGATCACGAGGTCAGGAGTTCAAGACCAGCCTGGCGAATATGATGAAATTCCATCTCTACTAAAAATACAAAAATTAGCCGAGCGTGGTGGCAGGTGCCTGTAATCCCAGCTACTTGGGCGGCTGAAGCAGGAGAATCGCTTGAACCCAGGAAGCAGAGGTTGCAGTGAGCCGAGATGGCACTACTGCACTCTAGCCTGGGTGACAAAGCAAGACTCTGTCTCGAAAAAAAAATATTGAAGCAGATTACTCAACTAATTGCCAACCCATCAGGGGACCTGATAGTGTAAAATCTTTCATAACTAAAGTACAGGTGTAAAAACTAACATTCAGAGCAGGCAAGACATTTTCCCAGGACCACACAACTCATCAGTGTGCAAAACTGGGATTCAAACACAGATCTAGCCACTCCCTTTCTGCTTCCTGATCTGTAACATGAAGCCTCAGTCTCTCTCAGAGCACTGCTGGAACAGGAAGGGGAACAGGTGAACTGCAGCTTTCTGGAGATGTGGAGTCAGGTTAGAAAAGCATGGGTCAGGATGTCAGGAGAAATTTTCCCTTCAAACCGGACCATGAGGCAGGGATCCTTAAGCTCATAGCCTGGGACTTTGACAGGACCTGACAGGTTGAACCTCGTCTGAGAAATTCCCTTCCCAGTATCTGGGCAGGAGATCTCTAGCTTCTGTCTGGTTTCCCCCACAGGTTAGCACTGCTCAGCTCTGCTCAACTGGGGAGCTAGACAAGAGAGGAACTGAGAAGAAGGAGAAGCTGCAGAAGAAACTGACCTTTCTTTCAACTGCCCTGGAGTTAGCTCACTCCCAGAGGGATAAAAGACCTTGAATCAAAGTCTTTGGGCTGCATTTGATGGTGCTTTTCCTCCCACAACCTCAGGGGCAGGCTGACTCCCAGGTGCCTGGCTGGCTCCAACCTGAGTCCTGACAGGTGCAACCTGTATCTTGATGGCCTTCGATGGGCCTGGAAAAGGGCAGAAGGAGTACAAATGTTGCTGGTGTCTCAGGTCTCTTTCACAGACCAAAACCTCCCTGGACTAGG
Organism: Homo sapiens; assembly: GCF_000001405.40. Taxonomy (NCBI): domain Eukaryota; kingdom Metazoa; phylum Chordata; class Mammalia; order Primates; family Hominidae; genus Homo; species Homo sapiens. The sequence continues at coordinate 11,968,367 of NC_000008.11, read as the reverse complement.
GAAAGGCGTTTATTGGATTTGGCAGATTATCGAAAGCCTTACACCCTCTCCGTGTACACTCACGAGGCCCTGTCATCTGCAGCTGCAGCTGGGCCTCCTGACACTGAGCAGGTGTTCTGTGTAGAATGCGCCCTTCACACACACCAGAAATCAGTGGCTTTCTGACTTTAAAAGTAGATGTCTTGTGGGCTTGGTAACCACAACCTAAATGGTTTCTAGGGAATGCAGCCAAATCAACTTTCTGAACTTCTATTTGCTGGGTTTGTTTCATCTCAAATGCTGAGAACTGTGAGCCAGGCCGAAATATAAAAGCCCTTTGGGGCTGAGTGCAATGGTTCATGCCTGCAATCCCAGCACTTTGGAACTCCAAAGTGGGGCAGGTTGCTTGAACACAGGCATTTAAGGCCAGCCTGGGCAACATGGCGAAACCCCCTATCTACAAAAAATACAAAACTTAGCCAGGTGTGGTGGCTTGCACCGGTACTCCCAGCTACTCAGGAGGCTGAGGTGGGGGGATCACTTGAGCCTGGGGAGACTGAGGCTGCAGTGAGCCATGATCGCACCACTGTGCACAGCCTGGGTGAGACACCAAGACCCTGTCCCAAAAATTAAAATTTAAAAAGCCCCTCAGGAGACCCAGCCTAATATTACTGAACATGCTTGTGCTTTTCTTCACCTTTGCTCTAGGGGAATCTAAAATCCCTCCCAGTTCTGCAATTCCCTGCTGTGGGCTCAGAAGCCTTAGTTATTCTGGAAGCAGCAAGAGGTTCATTTTAGGCCAAAATCTATTTATTCTTCTCTCAATGTCTTTCAAAGGAAAATGGAAAGTAATGCAGTGCTCCACATCTTCATTGAGGAAGAACATGATGTGTCCCCTTCGTTTCTCTAAAGGAAATGCTGCTTAGGCAAGTGTCTAAGCCGTGAAGATCCCCCACCCTCGCTCTCACTCTCCTTCTCTTAGTCCTCTCTGTCTCACGTAAAGCAGACTCTTTGGAGGATACACAGAGTTATTACAAATAAATACTGGGTTGTGCTGGCCCAGGGTATGCTGACTTTCTGCTCAGCCCATGGCAAACCACCATGGCTAAGAACTCGTTCTCCACACCCCTCTACCCGCTTAGCCCAGGCAGCATCCTGACCTGTGCCTGCAGGACACCTGGTGTGGGACTCAAGAAATATCCGATGACAGAGTGCATGAGAGGCAGTAGGGACAGGGCAAGCAGGGAGCACATGCTGCTCCCAGGGCCGCTGGCTGCCTGTCCTGGGAACAGGGGCCTGGGATGCCACCCAAATGTCATCCATGGGCGCAGGACCATGGGCTGGTTGTGAGTGGGCTTTAGTATTGAACAGCTGGATCTCAAACCTGATTCTTCCTGAGCCACTGATTAGCTGGATGGTTATGAACGAGTCATTTAACCTCTATCAGCTTCAATGTGCTCTTCCCTAAGACAGGGATAATAAGAGAAGTTAATTCACAGGACTGTTGGGAGGATTAAGTGAGCTTAAAAAGTACTGAGCATGGCGGTTGGCAAATAGCAAGTGCTCGATGAGTATTAACCAGTAAATAAGCACTCAGCAGGTAGTAGCTGTCGCTGCTGCTGCTGCTGCTGTTATTTGCAAGTGGGTTTTGCCTTCTAATTCTTGCCGAATTATCTTCCCGCTGCGCCACATCAATGGCACGATGGGTCAGGGCAGCCACCTCCAGTGCCCCGTAGGCTCAGATTCACTAACAGTTAGAAGCACCTGTTCCTAGATGTACCCATTAATGGACAGGAGAGTCTGCGGCCCACCCATTAGGGACAGAGTTCCCACAGCCATCCTGTCTTCCCAGTCATAGCAGCACCCCTCCCCCAGAAGCACCCTTCCCTCAGCAGCCTCACACCTGCCTGCTAGGAGGTCGTGTGGCTCATGAGCAAAGCCCAGGTCTGGGAGCCGGGGGTTTCCTCACCCATGCACTGACCGTGTCTATGACTCTAGGCACGTCACCTCAACTGCCTGCAATGTGAAGGCTTGGACTGAGGTACCATGGTGCTACCTACTAAGGAAGAAAGAGGGCACCAGTCTAGAAAACATCTGGAGACAGTAGACAGTGCCCAGGAAGCACCAGCTCATGACTAGCATGGAGGCATTGCAGAAATACACAGCACAGGGCCGGGTGCAGTGGCTCACACCTGTAATCCCAGCACTTTGGGTTGCTGAGATGGGAGGATTGCTGGAGCCCAGAAGTTCAAGACCAGCCTGGGCAACATAGTGAGACCCCATCTTTACAAAAAATATACAAAATTAGCTGGGCGTGCTGGTGTGCATCTATAATCCCAGCTATTTGGGGGTCTGAGGTGAGAGGATCGCTTGAGCACTGGAGGTCGAGGTTGCAGTGAGTCATGATCACACCACCATACCAATTGGGCAACAGAGTGAGACCCTGTCTCTTAAAAAAAGAAGAAGAAAGAGGAATATGCCGTGCCCCATGGTCAGTTTCCTGCCAGGGGTGAAGGGAAGTGGCATCGTCACAAGAGAATTTCAAAACAATCATAAAAGCGACTAAGAGTCAGTGTATTATTTATTATTACCATGCTCCAGCAATTCTAGACAAGGTCAGTGATAACACTCCCGGGGGTGGGTGAGGGCAATCAGTCCCACTGTCCTCCACCTTGGTGTGCCATCGCCCGGGGGCCACAGCCTCCCACCTCTCCGATTCACGCATTCCCTAAAATGCTCCATGCCAGGGCCCAGCCCCCTTTGCCAGAATCACATTATTTTTCTCTCTGCTCTGGCTGCTGAATGCTCCCCACCCTATCTCACTAAGATCACCTCTAGCTGGGAGCCCTCAACCCTCTTGGGCTCCTGATGTTCCTTTCAGCTTTACTTCCTAACTGTGCCCACTCCCTGCTCTGTACCTGGCAGGGAAACTGGGAAAGTTTCCGGCATCAAAACGGAGTCCCTTGTGTTAAAAAAACCTTAACAAGGCCGGGCATGGGGGCTCACGCCTGTAATCCCAGCACTTTGGGAGGCCAAGGTGGGTGGATCACCTGAGGTCAGGAGTTCAAGATCAGCCTGGCCAACATGGTGAAACCCCGTCCACTAAAAATACAAAAAAAAAAAATTAGCCAAGCATGGTGGCACATGCCTGTAATCCCAGGTACTCAGGAGGCTGAGTCAGGAGAATTGCTTGAACCCAGGAGATGGAGGTTGCAATGAGCCAAGATTGTGCCACTACACTCCAGCCTGAGTGACTCTGTCTCAAAAACAAAAAAACCTTAACAAATAGAGCCAGGGAAGGTTGAGAAGGGAGGGTTGTCTTGCACAAATGCCCAATCAGAATTATCACAAAAACCCTGCAAAAACCACAACCTTGCACAAAAGCCATCTCAACCTTACACACACACACACACAAATATTTTTGTGAGGGCAGCTGTCCGGCAGCTTCCTGTCCAGCCTCAGACAGGTGCCACCCCTGTTATTGATCCTTGTAGCCAAGGATAATTATCTGAAAACAATTATGCGATCTTCCTCATTTTTCCTTTAACAACATTTGTCTTCCTTTTTCCCAATATGCACATAGTTTACTAGGACACATGTAGACATGTAGCCCCATTGCAATGCTCTATTCCCCCCAAATAAACATGATTTTTCTAGAAAAAAAAAAAAGGAGAGAAAAAACATTGTTTCCCAAACCTGCATTACACTTCTCAGTTGGATGTATTCCCATTGCAATTCCCATTCCTGAATAAACATCATTTTCTTTCTGTCTGTTATCTAGGTTGAAAAAACATAGCCAACAAAAGAGAATATAGGCTTGAATATTCATTGCACCAGCTCTGAAATCATGAGCTATTCAAGTAGACTCTCTGAAGCTCGGTTTTCTCATCTATAAATGGAGATGGTTTGTGCCATACCCACTTGTGAAGATCTACTGAGATACTATATATATGAGTCTTTGAAAGAGTTACACAAGTATGAGTTGCTTTTTGATTTGTTTATCACCATTTTCATTATTTTGCTCAGCTCAAGCCCAGCCCTGGGACCCTGACAAGTGCTGGGTCAGGCAAGGCCAGGGCCAAAGATCTGCTTGGAAAATAAGTGGGAGGAGTCGCTGGAGGAATGCTTCCTCTTCTCTCTGTATCTATGTGCTTTCTGCTGTCCAGGTCCTCCTCCCTGAGCTGCCCGAGAGCTTCTGGGACCCAGGAAGTTTGGAGTCACCTTCACACGCATACTTAGGCCTCCCTGCATCACCCACCTGCAGAGTCAATCTCAATTCTCTAAGAGCTGCTGGAACCAGGAGGAGGGGCTGCCCAGTGTTCCCGGGTGGAACAGCCCTGAGGACATTTCTATGGGAATTTCCCGGGTACCCTGGAGGGAGACGATACCCTTTCCCACTGAGAGAAGAGGTTTGGGAAGGAAATGAGGGGGATGGGAAAGGTTCCAAAATGGAATCATCTGTGAGATCTCAAGGGAACAGGCTCAGATGTAAATTTCATCATCAGCTGATCATCTAGAGCCTGCCTGGAGTCAGCGGCAAGGCTGTTTCTCCAGATGCTGGGAGAGGGGGTGCTGATATTGAACATCTGCATCCCTGCTGTGAGTGGCCCCAACAGAGAGCCCCCAAGGGCCTTGGCCATCACTGCCCCCTGCATCCGGAGCCCTCCCCAGGACCCATGAGCCCCCAGCTGAGTGTCCAGGGAGCCGAGGAACTGCACCTGAAGGCCTCTCCCAACAGCACTCTTGAGCGAGGCCCTCACCCACAGAGCACGGCAGGATTCATGAGCTGCTTTCACATAACGTGGACAGAGTTCATTATTCCATTTTCTTTTAGAGAAGGAAACCGCAGCTCAGACAGTAAAATGATCTATACAAAGCCATATAGCTAGTGAGTAGGGGAGCTGGGAGTCCAGGCAGCTGTCCTGACTCGCAGTCTAGCGCTCTTTCCATTCGAATGCAGTGAAAAAAGAAGAACCAGGTTGATTATTTTGGCCTAAGCTTTATCATCTATTAAAAGCTAATCCCAACCCCATCTCCCCAAACTCTTGCTGCCCGGAATGTGTCCAGAAAGTACTCATGGGCTCAAAGATCGAACTTCCAGGGAAGAGAGATGGACATTGCAATTTCTGCCGAGAACCTCAGGACACATATTCCACATCCAACCCTGGGGACCTCCCAAGACAAGTGAGCTCGCTCCTCTTCTCAGCCCTCACTCTGCTCCGATCTCCAGGCTAAAGCACCCAGCTGCGTTGATTCCCAGGACACTACTCAGAGCTGTGTCTGAGCGGCCCCCACTCCTGCTGCACTCCCATTTGTTTCAAGCAGGATATTTCACATCTGGTCCTGCCCGAAGACAGAGAAAGAATGGGATGCTCTTGTCTCTAATCTCAGATTCCAAAATTCCATGAATACAGCTTGAGACCAAACTCATTTTGTGGGAGTTCACACCACTGACTACTCATATGAATTTTCCATCTACAAAAGCCAGTCATGCTTTGTCTCAAAGATGGTAATTAACCTTTACCTTCCCAAAATGGATGCTTATGGTACTGATTTTGGTTTTACCTGAGGGTGCAACCTTCCATTTATCCCAGTTTGACTTCATTTTATTAGACTTGGCCTCTCATGCCAACCTGTTGAGATCGTCTAGGTTTCAGATTCTGCCACCCTCTGGCGTGGCAAGAAACTCATTGTAGGGATGGGAGAGATGGACAGCACCTCTCCCAGGATTTTTTTCTTTAAGAGACAGAGTCTTGTTCTGTCACCCAGGCTGGAGTGCAGTGGCACCATCATGGCTCACTGCAGCCTCAATCCTCTGGGCTCAAGCAATCCTCCCATCTCAGCCTCCTGAGTAGCTAGGACTACAGGTGTGCACGACCATGCCTGGTTAAATTTTAATTTTTTATAGAGATGGGGGGAGGGTCTCACTATGTTGCCCAAGAAGGTCTCAAACTCCTGGCCTCAAGTGATCCTTCTGCCTCAGCCTCATGAAATGCTGCGTTTGGATTACTATTATTTTGGTAGAGAGGTGCAACCAGCTAGGCTTAGGGAACGCCTGTACCCCGCGACTTCATCCTGGGATCCCTGTCTTGAGTTGTGTAAGTTTGGGGCAACAATGAGTAAACTATGAGGTGGGGGAGGTCAAGCTTTATAGGCTTCTGCCCTTGTCTACTGCTGGTTACTTCCTCCTTCACCGGAGCACCTGCCACCCCACTCTCAGCAACGTTCATCTCGAAGAGGCTGAGACAAGCTGAATCCACAAAGGGAATCTCAATTGTAAGGATCAACAAACTTTTTCTGTGAAGGCCAGAGAGTAAATATTGTAGGCTTTGCAGGGCATGCAGTCCACATCACAACTACTCAACTCTGTGATGGAGTCAAAGTAGCTGTAGACAATATATGTGTGAAGCCGTGTTTCAATAAAACTTTATTTATACAAACAGACAGTTGTCAGATTTAGCCCACAGGGTGCAATTTGCCAACTCCTACTCCACTGGGATATTTCAGCTGCTGTGGCCTACCACAGAGCGCCACACAGAGAAGCTTGCACCAAGACTCTGCCCTCAAGCAGCTTCTAATCTACACGTTTGTGAAAGATGAGTAAGTATAGGAAGGGGGAACATGTAATAATATTCTTTCATATCATCACAGCTTTTCCATTCACTCCTAGAGGGTTTACCCTGCACTCGCTGTGTGCCAGGCACTGTGCTCGGCCCGTGGGAAGGTAGAGATGAAGTCCCCACACTGCCCCAGGGAGTGCCCCATTCCCTCTGGAGCTGTGTGAACAAGGCTCTGGCCTTCTCTCCAGGAATACCAAAGGGAGCACAGAGACCAGAGGGCAAAGGAGGAACGGCAAAAATGGAGTGCCTAAATCACCTGCACACCTTCCGTCCTCAGCCCTCCGGTGTGACTTTGGATGACTTATGAGCTCTAAATCTCAGCTCCTCCTCCTATTTGAGGAAACAATGCTTATCCCCAAGGATTGTTATGAAGCTTAAATGACACATGTGCAAAGCACAGGGCCTGAAACAAACTAGATGCTTACTAATTGATACTTTTGTTTCTTTATCTATGAAAGGATAAAAAAATACTTCCCAATGGGGCTGTGCAAGATGGATCACACCTGTAATCCCAGCATTTGGGAGGCCAGGGTGGGAGGACCACTTGAACCTAGGAGTTCAAGACCAGCCTAGGCAACATAGCAAGACCCTGTCTCAAAAAAAATTTTTTTAATTTAAAAATAATTTAAAAATTTTTCAAAAAGCTTTCTGATGAACACTACTGCTGACCATTCCATGCAATTCTGAGTAGTGTTATTCCCTCTAGAGCATCCCAAAATGCCAAAATTCATTCATTTATTCATTCATTCAGGTATTCTTCTTACAAACATATAATTCTCGCCTACTATGTAAGTAGACACCCTCCAAAAAGCCTGGAGGTCTGTCCTCTTTGAGTTTACAGCATAGTAGAGATGATAAACTAAAAAATAAATAAAAATAAACAAGCTAATAATTACAAAAATGGCAATTGTTTGGAAGGAAGAGTGCAGGGAAAGATTTATATATGTACATGTGCGAACGTGTGTACATACATACACACATGTAATGTGCTGCACAACATACGTACCACACTCAGATCAAGGTATCAGATGTTCCCACCACCCCAGAAAAGTCCCTCATGCCATTCTCAGGCATTAACCCTACCAGAGACAACTACTACTCTAAATTCTGTGACCATCAGTGAATTTTGTCTGTGGCTGAACTTGGTGTTAATGGAATCACACTGTGTGCAGTCTCGTGTGACTGGTTTCTTTTGGTCAAGGTTATGTTTATTAGGTTCATTCTGTTTGTGGAAGAGCAGTTCATTCTTTTTTATTACTGTCTATACCACAATGTATCTGTTCTCCTATTGGTGAGCATTTGGCTTGCCTCCACTTTTTGGTTATTAAAAATAGAGCTATTGGCAGGGGGCGGTGGCTCATGCCTGTAATCCCAGCACTTTAGGAGCCCAAAGTGGGTGGGTCACCTGAGGTCAGGAGTTCAAGACCAGCCTAGCCAACATGGTGAAACACCGTCTCTACTAAAAATACAAAAAAATTAGCTGGGTGTGGTGGCGGGCGCCTGTAGTCCCAGCTACTTGGGAGGCTGAGGCAGGAGGATTGCTTGAACCAAGGAAGTGGAGGCTGCAGTGAGCCAAGATCATGCCATTGCACTCCAGCCTGGGCAACAAGAGCAAAACTCTGCCAGGAAAAAAAAAAAAAAAAAAGCTGCTATAAACCTTTTTGTACACGTATTTTTTTTAAATACATGCACTGATTTCTTAGTAAATACCTGAAGTTTCCAAGTTGTTCGCACCAATTTAATTCTCATCAGCAAAGAGGGAGAGCTCCATTTGCCACACATCTTCACAAACACTCAGCATTGTCTGTCTTCTACATTTTCACCTTCTGGTGGGTGTGTAGTGGTATCTCATTGTTTTTTCATGGGTTTTGTTTTGTCTTGTTTGAGACAGAGGTTCCCTTTGTCGCCCAGAGTGGAGTGCAGTGGTGCGATCTTGGCTTGCTGCAACCTCAGCCTCCCAGCTCAAATGATTCTCATGCCTCAGCCTTTTAAAATTATTTTTTGTTTGGCAGGGCACGGTGGCACATATCTGTGATTCCAGCACGAGTAGCATGCCACTACACCCGGTTAATTTTTGTATATTTTATAGAGATAAGATTTCTCCCTGTTAGCCAGGCTGCTTTCAAACTCCTGACCTCAGGTGATCCACCTGTCTCGGCCTCCTGAAGTGCTGGAATTACAGGCGTGAGCCACCATGCCCTGCGAAACAAAAAATAATTTTAAAATTATCCAAATGTGTCTCTTTAAAAATTTTTGTTGTTGTCGTTTTGAGACAGAGTCTCCCTCTGTCGCCCAGGCTGGAGTGCAGTGGCGCAATCTTGGCTCACTGCAACCTCCACCTCCTGGGTGCAAGCGATTGTCCTGCCTCAGCCTCCCTGAGTAGCTGGGGCTACAGGCATGCGCCACCACGCCCAGCTAATTTTTTTTGTACTTTTAGTAAAGACGAGGTTTCACCATGTTGGCCAGGCTGGTCTTGAACTCTTGACATCAGGTGATCCACCTGCCTCGGCTTCCCAAAGTGCTGGGATTACAGGCGTGAGCCACCGTGCCCGGCGAAAAATATTTTTTCACTTCCATTTATCCAACAGTTCCTGCTGTTTTGCATACCTGGCACTAAATGTCTTCTTCCGCTTTCCTGTTCCCCACTTCTTTTGTGGGATCCACTGGAAGCCTCCCTTGTGGACTGTGACTCTTTCCTGCCACCAGGTGGCAGACTTTGCCTGCTGTGCCACCTCTCCTGCCTGCTCAGTGTCGGTGGGAGTTGGGGGTGGACAAGCTGAGAGAGTTCTGTATCTTTTCTGAAGTTCTGCTTGGCGATCAATTGCTTCCTTTTCTTTTTGGTCCTCGTGGTCAGCACAATGCTTCGGATAGAGTCAGCATTCAATAACAAGCAAAGCAGACACAGTTTTTGTTTGTAAGTTAAAGTTCTAGAGGCCTATTGCATAACAATGTGTGTCTATGTAACACGACTGAACCGTACTCTCAAAAGTGGTTATGAAGATAAATTTCATGTTATATGTTTTGCAGCACAATTAAAAGTAAAAAATAAAAAAAAATAGGCCGGGCACGGTGGCTCATGCCTGAAATCCCAGCACTTTGGGAGGCCGAGGTGGGCATATCACCTGAGGTTGGGAGTTCGAGACCAGCCTGACCAACATGGACAAACCCCGTCTCTACTAAAAATACAAAATTAGCCAGGCCTGGTGGCACATGCCTGTAATCCCAGCTACTCGGGAGGCTGAAGCAGGGGAATCGCTTGAACCTGGGAGGCGGAGGTTGCAGTGAGCTGAGATCGCGCAATTGCCCTCCAGCCTGGGCAACAAGAGTGAAACTGCGTCTCAATAAATAAATAAATCAGGCCTTTCTTTACCCAACCCCAACCCCAAGGTGGCGCTCATCATCATGTGCTTACACCTCCTGTTATCATTTCTATCAAAAATAATAACAATAACACAAAATTGAAAAGCAAAGTAGATTAATGGGTTGGGCACGGTGGCTTGTGCCTGTAATCGCAGCATTTTGGGAGGCTGAGGCAGGTGGATCGCCTGAGGTCAAGGGTTCAAGACCAGCCTGGCCAACATGGTGAAACCCTGTCTCTACTAAAAATACAAAAATTAGCTGGGCGTGGTGGCCTACACCTGTAATCCCAGCTACTTGGTTGGGAGGCTGAGGCAGGAGAATCGCTTGAACCCAGGAGGCGAAGGTTGCAGTGAGCCGAGATCGTACCATTGCACTCCAGCCTGGGCAACAGAGCGAGACTCGTCTCAAATAAATAAATAAATAAATGCAAAGTAGATTAATGAAGGCAAAGCCTCTCTTTGCATAATTTCTCTACAAGAATGTCCACTCTCCAAATTCTCTGTGACCTGTTTGCAGAACGTGACAGTTTACAGCAATAAAGGCACACGAGGTTACAGCTGTGGCCTTCCTCTCGCAGCAAGGGGGAGCTAGGGCCCAAATAAACATTCAAACCAAGGAGCACAGCAGTGAGTGGCCTAATGGTGGGATAGCGGGAGGCTGCGCACTGGGTGAGGCCGTCCCAGGGGAGACCCTCCTGCCACTGCTGGGTCTGACGCAGGAAAGCAGCCCCTGCTGTGGGCCCATGAGACAGCTGCCAGAAGGCCAAGCTGCCCATGACAGCTCCTTCGCCTGCAAACACACACACACATGCCTGGAGATGGATCTGGCAAGGCCCTTGGAAATCACCTCTGAAGATGAGTAAACTGAGGCTCGGAGAGGCAAAGGAACATTGTCAGGACCACACTGTGAGGGAGGCCAGAAACCGCACTGGATCCCAGGTCTGCGGAGGGGCAGCCCAGTGCCCCATGCACTACACCATGTGCATTTAAGGAAGGAAGTTGGCAAAAACGATGGGTGGAAATCAGTTTCTGACCACTTAGAAAGTGGAAATCCTTAGCAAAGATAAGTTGATAAGATGTATCAATTGGGTTTAATTCTGTAAAAAGTTGTACATTCAAAATGTATATAAAAGGAAAGACACAAATTTGGAAAACAAGGGAGGTGGAGGCAAAACAAAAATATTAATAATAATCAGTGAAGAGAACAGCACCGTGCTGGCCCAGTGGCTCACGGCTGTAATCCAAGCAATTTGGGAGGCTGAGGCGAGCAGATCACTTTAATCTAGGAGTTCGAGGCCAGCCTGGGCAACATAGAGAGACCCTCCCCCCACCCGCACATCTCTTTAAAAAATAAAAACATAACTGGGGCCAGGTGCAGTGGCTCACACCTGTAATCCCAGCACTTTGGGAGGCAGAGGTGGGCAGATCACTTGAGGTCAGGAGTTCAAGACCAGCCTGGCCAACATGGTGAAACCCCACACTAAAAATACAAAAATTAGCCAGGTGTGGTGGTGCGTGCCTGTAATCTCAGCTACTTGGGAGACAGAGGCAGGAGAATTGCTTGAACCTGGGAGGCAGAGGTTGCAGTGACCCGGGATCGCACCACTGCACTCCAGCCTGGGTGACAGAGTGAGACTCCGTCTCAAAAAAAAAAAAAAATGTAGCCAGATGTGGTGGCGCACACCTGTGGTCCCAGCTACTCCAGGGGCTGACGTGGGAGGATCACTTGACCCCATGAAGTAGAGGCTGCAGTGAGCCAAGATTGCACCACTGCACTCCAGCCTGGGTGAGAGTGAGATCCCTCAAAAAAAAAAAAAAAAAAAAAAAGAGTACCAAGAGAACAGCACTGAAAGATGTTAGAGACTTGGATGCAGTCAGCCTGGGCTCTGCTCAGTGTGTCACTTACTAGCTACATGACATTAGGAAAGGTATTGAACTTTCTGAACTTCAGTTACTCACTGGTAAACAGAAAAATAATAATTGCACAATACAGCATGAGGAAGTTAATGTAGTTAGCCCAATATCTAGTACCTCATGTGAGTTCAGTAGATGTTGAGTGCATCTGATTCTATTCATTGATGATAAGAATTGATAGCACATGTCAGACCTACACCCAGATTCCATTTGACAAGATAGAATTTATGAAAAATCCAAGCTTTGCTGAGGTCTAGATAGAAAATTTGCAAACTGCGTAGGGCTTCCCTCAAAGAGCAACAAATCACAGAAGCGCCAGACAGCAGGGCCAAGTGTTTACAGTGCTGAATGCCCTTTCAGTCCTTTTCATCTTCCATAGACTGTAGGACAGTGTGTCTTCCAAGATGCGTGCTCACATCCGATCACGGAGGAAATCATTCAAAACATTAGCTAGAGAACATTAGCAAGAAGCCTACAGACCGCCCCGCCCCACCCCCCTCGCCCCGCCAACCCCCCACCGCCCCGCTGACATTTCAACCGAGCTCCTGTTCTCCCTTCCTGATTTTCTAACAATGCACAGGCCCTGCCCTCGAGCCACCCACCCACTGCCTCCCGAGCGATGGGCACTCCCAGACAAGACCCAGGCTTTCCTCCCTGCGGCGCCAGCCTGGGAAAAGCAGACAGAGCACGGGCCCTGATGGCCCCTCCGCCGGCTCCCCCAGCCCTTCCCTTCCCTGGCACCAAAACAGATGACTTCATCTGAGGGATTCAGCTATCAGCCAGCCAGCCCTCCGGAACGGGAGCGGAAGGGAGCACCAAGGCTGGCCTCTGCTCTGGTTACTTTGGCACAGGACGGGGCTCTGTGGAGTGTCAGCCACAGCCTTCAAATCAGAGGAGCCACAGCCTTGCTCCAGGGTCCCTGCCACCCGGGGCCAGCACTGCCCCTGCACGTGGCCGCCTCTCCCAGCCTGACCTCCTCCCTCCTCCACACTGCGCTGGGGTGCACAGCAGCTGAGTTAGGAACAGATGACAGAGGAGCCTCCCTTTCTGAGTCCTTGCTCCCCGTCCTGAGCCCCCAGGCTGCTGACCACAGTCCATTCATTTGGTCCACGTTGAAAGTCTCAGTGCAGTCCAGTCGTTTTTAATCCAGAGCAGGAATTAAAGCCTCGATCACTGTCTAGATCCGGGTGTCCACTCTCCTGCTCCTCAGCCCCCTTCCTTGACGGCACCATATGTGACTATGGAGGGGCCCGCAGGGAGTGTGGGGAGAGTTGCTCAGGCAGGTAGTGGCCCCAGGGAAACCGCTACATCCCACCTCGGCATGTCACTGCACTGGTGGCTTTACTGTTGGTCTTTTTCCACCTGGTCCAATGCTTTACAAGTACTGGTGGCTGCCCTGGACGGAATGGAGCACCCCTAAGAGGGCACACACTGGAGTTGGGCTTGGGTTTCCCACAGCCATGTGAGCTTGCACCAAGTAAGTTACCTAACCTTGCTGGACCTCAGTGCTCTCATCTGTAAAACGGGGACATAATTGTTACCATCTCAGCACATTGTTGTGATAATTACTACTTTATGCCCAGTGCATAGTAAGCACTCAATAAATGCGAGTTTTTTTGTTTTGTTTTGTTCTAAATAGAGTCAGGGTCTCCCTCTATTGCCCAGGCTGGAGTGCAGTGACACGATCATAGCTCACTGCAGCCTTGACCTCCATGAGTTACTTTTGTTACCTGGGTCTGTCTGGTGGTGAGGGTTTCTATGATATATGATGGCCTTGGTGGGGTAGTCAGCTTCAGCCGGACTTTCTCAGTTCGACTACACCACCCTTCGAGTGTATAAGTGGGGGCTCTGGACCCCCAAGGTAGCCCCGGACTCCTACGTGCTGGATCGTGGGTTTCAGGTGTCCTTCTCTGTTTCAGCCTGGGATGGGACACACTGCAATTCCTGGTGTCCAGACACATCAGAATCACTAGATGGAGAAGTAGGCTTTGCCCAACATCAGAAGAGAACTGGGCCTGGCATGGCGGCTCACACCTGTAATCCCAGTACTTAGGGAGGCCGAGGCGGGTGGATCACTTGAGGCCAGGAGTTTGAGACCAGCCTGGCCAAAATGGCGAAACCCCATCTCTATTAAAATTACAAAAAATTAGCCAGGCATGCTGGCACATGCTGCTTGGGAGGGTAAGGCATGAGAATTGCTTGAACCAGGGAGGCGGAAGTTGCAGTGAGCCAAGATTGTGCCATCCTGGGTGACAAAGTGAGACTCGGTATCAAAAAACAAACAAACAAACAAAAAACAGAAGAGAACTGTGTCATGCCTCTTCTGCACCCAGAGGGGCAGGTGCCAATGGATGGAGAATGCTCTTCCCTTCTCAAAGCTCCCCAAGAGGGGCAGGTGCCAGTGTATGGAGAATGCCCTCCCCTTCTCGAATCTCCCCAAGTCAATGTTCTCACTCAGACACCACTCCCTGGGAGCAACTTCCTATGCATCTCAGGGCCCCAGAGGCCAGTTTACTCTGTTGAGCCTTTGTGCAGGCTCTGAGTGACTCTCGTTCACCTCTTTGTGGCTGGGACTCATCTCCATGGTAGAGCCTGCTCCTGTCTCTTAAAGGGTGGGTGTGGGACAGGGTCAGGGAGTAACCCCAGGAGCAGGAAGGGCCGTGGACACTGTTTCTCATCAGATTTCACGTTTTTACCCATCTTCTGCCCACCTCTGAGGGATCCTTGCATGTGCATTAGGCTCTTCTGTCTCTCTACCTGACTAGCGTGCGTTCCCTGCCCCACGACACCTCCGCAGATTGGGAGGGTGTTTATGGGTCTCCATCTTGTGCTTGTGAACATGGAAAGGAGAGAGCCAGTGACCACCCCGCCAAGCAGCTTTTCCCAAAATCAGATCAGGGTCTTCTGGTTCTGGTTTTGGAGAGGAGCCCCGACGTCCAGCCAGTTACCCCAAGAGAGGATGCTCACTCTGTCCCTAGAGTGACAGTTGAGTAAGGTCCCAGAGGGCTGACCTCCACGCCTCTCTCTGCACAGCCTGGGAGTCATGGTTAGTGATGACCTGCAGAGATTCCTGCTGAGGCCACGGAGGCCCTGCCATGCGCTGAGCACTGGGGAAGCCCCCAGGCACCTACATGCCCCTAGACGGGAAGACCCTCCAGGCCCACAGTCTTCATGAGATGCCATTTTTTAATGGTGAGAATGAGTGTTGGCGAAAGTGCCCATCAACAGACACTGCCACGCTTCACGGGGAATAGCAAACCCGAAACAAACCTTTTGGGACGCAACTGGACTCTGTAGCTCAAAACACTTAAAAACCAGGTCCCAAAGGCACTTCCAGTGTTCTCCTTGACCCTCCCCTCTCATTTCAAACCTCATGTCCAACTCAAATCTCCTCTCAACACAACTCCAAATCCCTGGCTGCTCTCCTCAGCTTCATTCCTGCCCTGACCCCATTGTTTGCGTTTGGTTTTCTGTGCACCTGACATTAACCCTGAATTGTCTTTTTTTTTTTTTTTGAGATGGAGTCTCACTCTGTTGCCCAGGCTGGAGTGCAGTGGCGCAATCTGGGCTCACTGCAACCTCCGCCTCCTGGGTTCAAGGGGTTCTTGTGCCTCAGCCTCCCGCATAGCTGGAATTACAGACACGTGCCACCATGCCTGGCTAATTTTTGTAGTTTTAGTAGAGATGGGGTTTCACCATGTTGGCCAGGCTGGTCTCGAACTCCTGATCTCGTGATCTACCCGCCTTGGCCTCCCAAAGTGCTGGGATTACAGGCATGAGCCACTGCTCCCAGCCTAACCCTCAATTCTTTTACAAAATTTTGGCTTGGATTCACCTCTCTGACTCTTCCCAGGACAGACGGACCCAGGTAGGATGCTCCCAATGGCCCCTCATGGCTGAGCACATGGCACCCGGGATGTGACTGCTACTGCCATGAGGGTATCAGCTATTCAGTAAATAAGAAAGTAGGCCAGGTGCGGCGGCTCACACCTGTAATCCCAGCACATTGGGAGGCCGAGGTGGGGGGATCACTTGTATTCAGGAGTTTGAGACCAACCTGGCCAACATGGAGAAACCCCATCTCTACTAAAAGTACAAAAATTAGCCAGGTGTAGTGGTGTACACCTGTACTCCCAGCTATTTGGGAGGCTGAGGCAGGATAATTGCTTGAACCTAGGAAGCGGAGGCTGCAGTGAGCTGAGATTGCACCACTGCACTCCTGCCTGGGCGTCAGAGCGAGACTCTGTCTCAAAAAAAGAAAGGGATGGAAGGAAAGGAAGGAAGGAAGGAAGGAAGGAAGGAAGGAAGGAAGGAAGGAAGGAAGGAAGGAAGGAAGGGCGGGTGGGTCTAGGTTGAGCACAATAGCTCACACCAGTAATCCCAGCACTTTGAGAGACTGAGGTGGGAGGATTGCTTGAGCCCAGAGGTTCGAGACCAGCCTGGGTAACATAGTGAGTCCCGGTCTGTACTAAAAATTTAAAAATTAGCCCAGCCCAATGTGGTGGTGTGCACCTATAGTCCCAGCTACTTGGGGGGCTGAAGCAGAGGGATCTCTGGAGTGTGGGAGGTTGAGGCTGCAATGAGCTGTGATTGCACCACTGCACTCCTGCCTGGGTGATAAAGCAAGACCCTGTTGGAAAGGGAAGGGAAGGGGAGGGGAGAGGAGGGGAGGGGAGGGAGGGAGGGAGGAAGGGAGGAAGGAAGGAAAGGAGAAAATAAAAAGTAAAAAGTCAGGCCAGGCATGGTGGCTCACGCCTGTAATCCCAGCACTCTGGGAGGCTGAGGCAGGTGATCACCTGAGGTCAGGAGTTCAAGACCAGTCTGGCCAACATGGCAAAACTCTGTCTACTAAAAATACAAAAAATTAGCCGGGCGTGCGTGGTGGCTTGGTGGCGGGTGCCTGTAAACTCAGCTACTTGGGAAGCAGGAGAATTGTTTGAACCCGGCAGATGGAGGTCGCAGTGAGCCAAGATCACACCATTGCCCTCCAGCCTGGGAGACAGAGCAAGACTCAGTCTCAAAAAAAAAAAAAAAAAAAAAATCTGAGGGTTTGGGGTTTCAATCAGACTGGAGAGAAAATGACTCGGGCTGTGTCTAAGAAAAAGGCCAGTAACTTCATCAACTAGAGCTAAAAATATTAGGCATATATACAGGCAGCCCATAACCAACTTCCAGACAGGCTGCCCCTCAAGTCCACCCTTAATGTTTCTTTCCCCCTTTTTAACAATGTGACATCTACTACCAGTGTTAGGGGCTGCGTAGTGCATAAGTGCAACTTTCTCTGTCCACCCCTCACTAAGGGTGTCCACAGGGGTCTAAGTCCTGAGAGCATGCCTTCCAGAGCATCTGGCCTCCCTCTCCTCCCTCTCCTCCCTCTCTTCCTTCTAGGGCGCTACCATGTGGTGCAAGTTTCCAAGAACATGGCCCATGGCTAGGACCCCAGATTTCAAGTCCAGAGACCTGGGTTCTTTCTTTCCCGTCTGTGCGACCTTGAGTGAGTCATTTAACCTTTGTAGGCTACAGTTTCCTCATCTGTGACAGATACAAGAAGTCTTGCTCTTTCTCCCTTCCAGGTGGTAGGAATCAAACAAGACCACCAATGTGGGCGACTCCACACTCTTCAATGCCTGCCACAGTCTCCAGGTTTCCAGGCAGAGTCTCCCGGGCTCCAGCCTCTCCTCCCAACCCTGGATATGGGGACAAGGAGCAACCTGATCCCGGGCCTCAGATCAAGATAGAACTTCCCGCCATCCTGAGGAAGTGAGAGCCCCACTCACCACTCCAGACGCCCTTCCCCATGACTTCACTTGACATGCAGAGGAAATGACGGCTGGGCACACTGGCTCACGCCTGTAATACCAGCACTTTTGGAGGCCAGAGCAGGAGGATCACTTGAGGCCGGGAGTTTGAGACCAGCCTGGGCAACATAGCAAGATCCTGTCTCAAAAAAAAATAAAAATTTGTTTTAAAAGAACTTTTAAAAAGAAGACAAAATGACTTAAAATGGATAACAAAAGCGACCTGAATCCGTGGGACCAAGACCATAAATATCAGGGAGAGCTGCAAGGGGCTGTGTGCAACTGCTTGCACCACAAGAAGCGGGAGAGACCGTCTAGACTTGCAGTGGCAGGTGAGCCCTGGAGGGCCCCCGAGATAGTGAGGTCCTCGGATGCAGGAAAGGGGCTTGTTCTTTGTATTCTCCAGAACTAGCAGAGTCCCAGGAACCTCCTAAACTGCTGAAGAAGAGGCGCAGGATAGAGCCTGAGAGGTGTGGGAGAGGAGGGATGCAGCGGAGGAAGTGGGCGGCCTTGTTTTCAGGCACCATCCTGCCTGTGTGCCCTGGGAAGGGAAGAAAGGGAGGAAGGAGGTTTCCAAAGCTGCTGTGGCCACCCACAGGCTGAGCCACCTCGCGTCCCTGCTTCCTAGCGAGATTCCTTGGGCCCCGCCAGTTACTCTAATGACTCTGATTTGCCCCACCATCACACTCCCGGTGATTCTGGGCACCGGTCTGGCGCCGGTGTATCCCCAGCACTGCCGCCGCCGTGAGCTGCATCCCCCTCCCAGGCCCCAAGAGCGCCTCTTGCCATCACTGTCTGCCCATTGGGTCTGCTCAGAGCTGTGCACCCACTGCTGGACCCCACCCCAGAACAGCCATCATTGCGGAGGCTTCTCTGGAGGGGCGGGAGAGGCCACAGACAAGCTGTCGGGCTGGGTATTATTGTCCAGACCTGAGAGGCCACTTATCTGAGCAGCCCACACAGGGAAATGAGATAGTCCAGCACTACTTTTCCCACTAATATTCTTATCTTGACTGGAAAGAATACTGTGTTTGTGTGTGAAGACGTGCGCATGTGATTTTGCAAACTCCTGTGTGTGTCTATTTGAGTGTTTTCATCCCATGACTTCTGACCACATGTCTATACATTGGGACCATTTTCTGTGAATCATGTCTGCCTGGGGCGTGCTGTATGAGAAGGAGACGGCAAGAAGGGAGACAAGAAGTGGAGGATGCTAAGGAGAAAGACAACAGTCAGAGGGAAAAAACATTTTAAAAATGGAAAACAACTAGTTTCGGTAAAAGGATGAAGCAATGGGTATTTTCATACACTGATTATGAGGGTGTGTATTGATACAGCCCTTATGGAGAGTAATCTCTAAATGCTAAAATGTTGAAATGTTAAATGTGTCTTCTCTTGATTGGAAGTGTACCTTCCATATCTTCCCAAGAGAAATGCTTGCATCTAGACACACAGAAATATGTACAAGAATGCTCATGCAGAATTCTCTGTAGTAGCAAAAATTATAAACAACCTAAATGTTAATTGACAAGGCAGTGGTTAAATATAGTATTTTGTTGTTGCTTTTATATCTTTCCTTTAGTTTTTTTCTTTGTTTCTTATATCTGATGTTTCCTTAGATAAATTATATTATAGCACAGTATAACAATGCTCTGGAATACTATGTACCAGTCAGAGAGAACAAGAAAAGTCTTTATACCAGAATGAAAAGATTCCCCAAATATGTAAGTTTTTAAAAATTGTAAAATGTATATGGATTATACCATATAAGCAACAAAAAGGAAAAAGCACATATATATGTGTGTGTATGTGTGTATATATATCTCGAGAGAGAGAGAGAGAGCAGGAAGGAGTAAATGCTAAAATGACAGTGGTGGTCACCTCTAAAAGGAAGGACTAGAATTGAAGGTGGGAAAAGTATCTTTTGCTTTCTGTGCATTATCTGAATTATTCTACAATGGAAGTAAGTTTCTGTAATACTTATGAAATTATAAACACTTTTTGATTTTTTAAAATCAGCAAGAGTAGAATCCAGTCACTGTAGATGCTACGATCTAAACAAAAGCCAAGAAAGAAAATAAATACCTTGTTTTCTGTGGCAACTGTGATGTAGCCTGATTCCTCTTCTCCAGGTGAGGTGGAGAGGGACACAGGAGCAGAGGCAGGTGGGAAGAAGGCAGCCGCAATGCCAGGACATCCTGGAAAAATAGCTACCACTGCAGAGAACTCGGGGTCGGGGGTGGCTGGAAGTGTTCCTCAGTGTTAAATTCAGAAAAGGGTTTAATTTGGGTCAACATTGTGTCTTTATCAATGGCGAAACTGAGGCCTGGACTGAGAAAAATGAGGTAGAGTATCACACCCAAAGTAAAAATTAATTTCTGCAAGTCTACAATTATTTCTCTTTCTCTCTGTGTAAGTGGAGGAGGAGAGGGAAATTCAATCTGTAGACACCAATGAGTGTTCATTCCTCCTCCCAAGGAGAAATTCTGGCAAAGTTCTTGAATGTGAGCCGACCCACAGATACTGACGGCCAGCACGATCCAAAATCTAACTCTATGAGGAGAGAGGGGAACCAGGAAGCCTAGAACCAGAAGCTGAAGACTAAAGCTCCCAGCGCCTACTGAACCACCCCATCCCAAATCTCCTTGTCAAGATGGCAACTTTATTCAGAAGGGGGCTTCCAAGGTTAAACAGAGCTATTGAAGAAGAAATCATCCCTCACGCCTCCACCACAGGCCCAAAGAAGAACTATAAGAGGATCCTTTGGAAAATGAGATTGAATTTTGCTCTTGTGGCTACAAGGAATAGAACCAGCATCAAGGGTACATAATGTAATAGTTCTTTCAACTAGTGTCTGTGAGTAGATAAACTCCATCTTTGTATGAACATGTTTTTGGTTTTTTGGGTTTATTTTCCCCCCGTTATTCTCGAGCAGTACCCAGTTTCGTTGGGTATAAAATTCCAGATCACCAGTCATTTTCCTTCAATGCTTATTCCATTGTATTCTGGTTTTTTATAACTGTTTAAAAGTCTATTGACCACCAAAATGCTGTGCCTTGGCCTGCTAATCCATTCTTTCTCTCTAGTTGCTTTAGAAATTTTCCCCCTATCTTTGGTATTCTACAATGCACATGGAAGTCAATTTTTTAAAACCTTTTTAGGACTTGTGTTTCCTGAATCTAAGGATATCTGTCCTTCATCAATTCTGAAAAGCTCTCAAGTATTATCGCTTCAAATATTGCCTTTCCCTAATTCTTTGCATTTCTCCCTTTTGCCTTAGTTTAAGTTCCTATGAAAGCAGAACCTGAAAGGAAGACTTGAGTTAATTTAAGAGGTGATCACGGTGAACAGAAGTGATGGAATCAGAAGAATAAAACAGAAAATCCAATAAAGTTGGATTATGAGCTGGCTACCACTGAGATTCACTGGGGTTCAGTCCTGCTGAGGATTCTTTGAGTAAATTAATAGAGAATGCCTTATATTGTCTCACCAAAGGACAATTGAGTTGATACACTTATCTACTTCTTCTCATCCCTCATTAGTTGAGGGCTGCTGCCAGCTGTGTCAACACCTTCAAAAGTCTGAACTGTTTGTGCATAAGCTAAATGGGCTTTTGCAGTGTTGGGAAAAGCCCAGAGTCAGAAGAACAGAAAGACACTGTGGTCTGCAGTTGAGAAGGGATGCCGGCATTGCCCATGAAATGTACATGAAATGTTGGCATTGAACTGTGGCTGCA
Organism: Homo sapiens; assembly: GCF_000001405.40. Taxonomy (NCBI): domain Eukaryota; kingdom Metazoa; phylum Chordata; class Mammalia; order Primates; family Hominidae; genus Homo; species Homo sapiens. The sequence continues at coordinate 11,946,961 of NC_000008.11, read as the reverse complement.
CAAAATCAGGTGGGTCAAGCGAATTAACACAATGCATTACCAGCATCATCTTCAAATTTATAGTGAAACTTCTCATTTGATCTTTCATATCTCTTGGCTTCATTTCTATATTTTTCATTGCTTTTTAGCTCTGAGCCTCATATGTGGCAGTTTCCTCAGATCTCTATTCTCATTTGTTGATTTTCTATTTAGCCGTGTGTAAATAGCTCATCTTTCTCATAATAGCATTTTCTTATAGTTTCAGCTCTCACATGTTTATTTGCTTGCTTTCACATTGTACCATTATCTCAGTATCTTTGGCAGTAATCCTGCTATTCATTGTGCCTACTGGCTATCATGGCAGGATATTTTTCTATGTGTTTTGTGATGTATTTTCAGTGTGGATTTATTGAACTTTAATTTACTGAACTTTAATTTATTGAACTTTAATTTATTAATTTATTGAACTCTAATTTACTGAACTTATTTTCAGTGAGGATTTACCACCGCACTCCTTGCCATTCTATTGTAGAAATTTATTGAACTATTAATTTATTGAACTTTAATTTACTGAAGTTATTTTCAGTGAGGATTTACGAATTCACTTATTCACTTATTTCAGTGAGGATTTACCACCCCACTCCCTGCCATTCTATTGTAGAAATTCTACACACTGGGAAGAGAATCATGTACTTTACTATTTGATTCTTCCAGATGCTCCACGAAGGATATCATAAACTTGGGATCATTTTTGTCTATTGTGATAAAATACACATAGCATAAATTGACCATTTTAAACACTTTTAAGTGTACAGTTCAGTGGCATCAAGTATATTTGCATTGTTGGACAACCGTCACCACCATCCATTTCCACAACTTTTCCATCATCCCAAACTGAAACTCTGTGCCCATGAAACACTAACTCCCCATTCCACTCTTTCCCAGCCCTGATAACCACAATTCTACCTTCTGTCTCTATTAATTTGACTATTTTAGGTACCTCATGTAAGTAGAATTATACAGTATTTGTCCTTCTGCATCTGGCTTCTTTCATTTGGCATAATGTCCTCAAGGTTCATCCATGTTATGGTATGTATCAGAATTTCCTTTCTTTTTTAAGGCAGAATAATATTCCATTGTATGTATATTCCACGTTTAGTCTGTCCATTCATCCATGGATGGATATTTGAGTTGTTTGGACCAATGTTTAAGTGAATTTCTCAGCTTAGGTTTCGGTTTATTACATGAGAGATATTTTTTCCCCACCGAGAGCCTAAGCAACTGAAGTCTCCCTCACCAGCAGGTAGGATTTGTCTGGTCCCCCATTCACTGAGCAGACAGCTTTTCAAGGGTCCTGACTTTTGCACAAATCTCAGATCCAGCTCCCCTTTCTAAGGCCTCATCACCTGTCCCCATGAGCGTGCATCAGAATGTGCCCCACCCAGGCTCCAGCTCCCGCACATCAGCTCTCACACTTGCCACTCTACCTTTCTTTTCGTTTCTTGTGTTTTTTTTTGTTTGTTTGTTTTTTGAGACGGAGTCTCACTCTGTCGCCCAGGCTGGAGTGCAGTGGCATGATCTCCGCTCACTGCAAGCTCCACCTCCTGGGTTCACACCATTCTCCTGCCTCAGCCTCTCCCAGTAGCTAGGATTAGAGGCGCATGCCACCACGCCCGGCTAATTTTTTGTATTTTTAGTAGAGACAGGGTTGCACCATGGTCTCGATCTCCTGACCTCGTGATCTGCCTGCCTCGGCCTCCCAAAGTGCTGTGATTACAAGTGTGAGCCACCACGCCCCACCGACACTCTACCTTTCCATGTCCTCTTCATCTCTGGCGCCTGGGACTCCCCTTTCTTGATTTGAAGAAATGGTTTTCAATCTTGGCTTATATTTACATTCAACTGGGGACATTTTTTAAAATCCCAAGACACAACCCAGACCGATTACATTCAAACCTCTGGCATAAAAAGTGAGGTTTTAAAAATATATTATACAAATAATCATACAATAGGTACCTGGATATGTAAAAACTCATAAAGGTATAACTTGAGTTATCAAAATATCGTGAGCCCTGCTCTAGTACTGCTGCCTGTGTTAGGTGCTTCTGGACTCTGGTTCTAACAGTGGGAGGTTGTGTTTGTGATCATTCTAGGCACAACTTTAATCTGGAAATAAAATAGTCATTTTGGCTTTCTCTTTCAGCCTCCTACCTGAGAGTTTCCCAATTCTAAGAACATTCTGATGTTCTATGCCACATCTTCCTATGGGGTATGAACAATTTTTCAATAATAGCAAATAAATGAGTCTTCTCAGTGTATCTTCATCTTGTCACTACTGTTGAAGAGCGTGATTCTCCTCTAGCCTATACATGAGCTTCGACTGCTGTTCAGTTACTCCAGTAAACTCCAGGATACTTATTAATGATGGTAACAGCAGCCAACAAGTATTAAGAACTTTTGCTATTAAACTGCCCTGCTACCATTGGGACCAAGAATCTGGACCACAAATTTTCCATTTTTGTTTTTTATTTTCCTTCCATAAATGTAAGTATACAATATATAATGAATATAAAGTATATACTATATAATAAATATATAGTATAATATATACTGTATATTATTACTATTAATATAAACTATATGTTTATTATGAACGATTTTAAACTTAGAGATAAGCACAGAAAAACAGACCTCAGTAGGACCACCTGAAAGATTTAATAGATGTCAATACTTTGGCACACTGGTATCGGATCTTTTGAAAGAGAAACCAAATTGTGGCCAGGCATGGTGTCTCACGCCTGTAATCCCAGCATTTTGGGAAGCCAAGGTGGGAGGATTGCTTGAGACCAGGACTACCCTGGGCAACATAGTGAGACTCCCATCTCTACAAATAAGTAAGTGAAAAAAGAAATGGTTAAAGATAAAACTAAAACCCTTACCACTCCTTCACCCCTACCGAACCCAAGGGTAACTACTATCTTGAAGTTATGTTTACCATTTCCAAGCGTATTTTTCCTCTTTCTACGTGTGCATATATTCATAAATAGCCTATGATGCATGTAAATTTTCTACACAAATTCGATTGTGTTGGAATGACGGGGAGTGACCGAATGGCTGCCTGCTCACGTGCAGCCCCTGCTTGCTCCAGTAGATGTCACTCGGGTCCCAGTCGGCGAGGGCACAGCTGTTCTGTTCTCAGCAGCGAGTTTGGGATTCCCTCTGTGGTAGTGCTGACTTGCTTTGCAGTCTGAGACTGTTCACCTGCAAAATGCAGTAGCTTTATTTTTCAAAACGTAAAGTAACATCGGAAACAATGACACCTCGAATGATTTCAGTTGTGACTGGGTGCGGTGGCTCACGCCTGTAATCCCAGCACTTTGGGAGGATGAGGCAGGTGGATCACTTGAGGCCAAGAGTTCGAGATCAGCCTGGGCAACATAGCAAGACCCGCATCTCCAGCAAAAATACAAAAATTAGCCAGTCTCATAACCCGGTCTCAAAATACATAAATAAAAATTTAAAAATAAAATTTAAAAAATTAACAAAAAGAATGATTTCTTTACCAGAGAGAAAGCTCAAGAGAATGCAAGCACAGGGCAGAGGACGAAGAGCTGCGTTCATGTCCCTCTTGCTCAGCCGAGCAGCAGACAGGGCTTGGGCTGGCCAGGCCCCCCCCGCCTCAGTGCCCTCCTCTGAGAATGGAAGAGTTGGACTGATTCAGGGGTGGCAAATCATCCCATGTCACATGCCGCCTCTTGTCCATTGACAGTGGCTCCCTGGAGGCTGCTCTGGGCAGAGAAAGAAAAGGTTCAGTCCTGGACCAGCAATAGAGGGGCATGAGAGGGACAGGGCCGCATGCATGCTGCTGACCCAGGAGGCCACCTGAGGCCCTCCCAGCATAAAACCCACCTCCTGCCCTCCCCTGTGTGCTGGGGAGCAGCCCAGAGATGCAGACACACGGCCAGGACCATGCTCCCATCTGGGTTGCACACAGGTGTCATTATTTTGGAAGTGGTGTGGCTTACTTTCAGGCCCAGGAAGGCTTAGGAAGCTTGACCTCACAGGTGACAGACTCAGGACCAGGGAGCGCAGAGCCTGAGAAATATCCCCAGGTGCTGTGTGTGCTGTGATCAAGCTCTGGTCTTTCCCACCTGAAACCGCCAGCAGATTAACCCTGGCCCCCAGGTCCACGGCAGAGCCTGAACACACATCCACAACTTCCCCACTCACTCAAACTTGCCAACAGATCCAGCAAATTTGGTGAAACAAAAACAAGTCCAGAGAAGTAAGTGCTGCCAGTTTGATATGGTTCCAGGATGCAGTCATGGCCGGTGTCTTCCTTGGGACATCTGTTGGTCCTAGTGACTGGCCTGGAGGCAGGGGCATGGACAAACTGGTCCCTAGGGCACACTCCAGAGGGCTGAGAGCCCCACTGGCTGAGCCAAAGGCACCAGCAGCCTCCCTGCCTGCTCCTCCTCCTGGCCCCTCCCTGACCTGCCCTCTTGCTGGCCTCAGGGCCCCAGGGGAGGCCTAAAGAGGCCGTGGGAGTTTGGCTACCATTATCCGGCCCTTATCACCACTAACGTTCAAGCTGACACTGAGCCCACTTAGTTCAATGACAAGGAGCTGACCTGGGGGTCACGCCTGTCTCCAGAGAGCCGGTGCTATCTCGGTGACCTGCGGAAACCTTGGCATGAGCTCATGTTTTCTGACGACAGAGGACCCCAGCCATATCACAGGCCCGCGCCCCCACCCTCCGCATCTGGCATGAGCCGGGTGAAGGCTTTACCATTACTTACTGAAATAGCAACACTGATAACCACAGCAGACACAAAGCGCATTGATGAATTTCCATTCAGAAAAGCACCTACTCCGGCCCTGCCCACTGCCTGCCTGTGTCCAACGCGGTGGACAGCCAGGCACAGGCAGAGCCCTTCTTGGACACAGCCCCAAAACATCACCACCCCCAACCCAGCCCCCGTTGTTCGGGAACAGGCCTCAAAATCTGGCCATAAACTGCCCCAAGACTGGCCAAAAACAAAATCTCTGCAGCACTGTGACATGTTCGTGATGGCCGTCACACCCATGCTGGAAGGTTGTGGGTTTACCAGAATGAGGGCAAGGAACACCTGGCCCACCCAGGGTGGAAAACTGCTTAAAGGCGTTCTTAAACCACAAACGATAGCATAAGGGATCTGTGCCTTAAGGACATGTTCGTGCTACAGATAACGAGCCAGACCCATCGCTTTACTTTTGCCCATCCCTTTATTTTCCATAAGGAATACTTTTAGTTAATGTATAATCTATAGAAACAATGCTTATCACTGGCTTGCTGTCAATAAATACATGGGTAAATCTCTGTTCCAGGCTTTCAGCTCTGAAGGCTGTGAGACCCCTGATTTCCCACTCCACACTATATTTCTGTGTGTGTGTCTTTAATTCCTCTAGTGCCACTGGGTTAGGGTCTCCACGACTGAGCTGTTTTCAGCACCCCGTGAAGATACGATGTGTCCATATGCCGTTAGAGGAATATGTATCCCGAGAATTCATGCTACAGCGCACTTTCTCCTCACTTGGGAAAATGCCTTCAGGATAGAAACCTTGTTTGATACATTTGTATGTTCCGAAATTGTCCCCCGCCTCACCAGCACAGGCTGTTCAACATAAACGGGCTGGGTTGAATTGAATCGGGCAGTGTTGACAGAACACAGGACCAGGAAGCAGGTCACCCAAGCTGCTGGCCCTGCCATGGCTCCTGGTGGACGTGAGGGAGGTGAGTTTCCTGTCTATGCTCCAGGTGGAGTTACATTATATGGTCTTAAGATCTGTCTATTAAGAAGAGCACTTAGTGCATTTACATTTAATGTCATTACTGACATATTTGAGTTAAATCTACCACTTCTTTTGTAATTTTCTTTTTTTAATTTAATTACTTATTTATTTATTTATTTTTGAGATGGAGTCTCACTCTGTCGCCAGGCTGGAGTGCAGTGGTGCGATCTCTCCTCTGCCTCCCAGGTTCAAGCGATTCTCCTGCCTAAGCCTCCCAAGTAGCTTGTACTAGAGGTGTGTGCCACCATGCCCATCTTATATTTGTGTTTTTAGTGGAGACAGAGTTTCACCATGTTGGCCAGGATGGTCTCAATCTCTTGACTTCGTGATCCCCTAGCCTCAGCCTCCCAAAGTGCTGGGATTACAGGCATGAGCCACTGCGCCCACCTCTTTTGTGATTTTCTGTTTGTCCTGACTGTTCTATGTTTGTTTCTCTGTCTCTTCTTACCATCACTTTTTTTATTTTTTATTTATTTATTTTTTTGAGACAGGATCTCGCTCTGTTGCCTAAGGCTGTAGTGCAGTGGCATGATCTCAGCTCACTATGGCCTCAACCTCCTGTGTTTAAGCAATTCTCCTGCCTCAGCCTCCTGCATAGCTAGAATTACAGGTGGAAGCCACTACACCCAGCCAATTTTAAAATTTTTTGTTGAGACGGTTTCACCATGTTGACCAGGCTGATCTCAAACTCCTGGGCTCAAGCAATCCACCTGCCTCAGCCTCCCAAATTGCTGGGATTACAGGCATGAGCCACCACACCTGGCTCTTCATCACTTTATTTAATTTTATCATTCCATTCTTTCCCTCTACTAATTTGAAAAGTATATGCGCTATTTTATCATGATTACCCTAGCAATTAAACATACAGAGTTAACTTCTCATCAAAGTGTAAAATTGAGTGCTATTGACTGCGAGTGGTGGCGCTTGCGTGTAATCCCAACATATTGGGAGGCCAAGGTGGGAGGATCATTCTATCTCAGGAGATCAAGACCAGCCTGGGCAACATAGCAAGACCTCATCTCTGCTCAAAATAAAAAGTTAAATAAATAAATAAATAAAAATTAAAAATGAGTAGGGTGTGGTGGTAGTGCACATGTGTGGTCCCAGCTACTATGGAGACTGAGGCAGAAAAATCACTTGAGCATGAAAGGTTGAAGCCATAGTGAGCTGTGATCATACCACTGCACTACAGCCTTAGGCAACAGAGCGAGATCCTGTCTCAAAAAAAATAAATAAATAAAAAATTAAAAAAGTGATGGTAAGAAGGAGAGAAAAACAAACATAGAACAGTCAGGACAAATAGAAAATTACAAAAGAGGCAGGCACAATGGCTCACACCCGTAATCCCAGCACTTTGGGAGGCTGAGGCAAGTGGATCACGAAGTCAAGAGATGGAGGCCATCCTGGCCAACATGGTGAAACTCTGTCTCTACTAAAAATACAAATATAAGATGGGCATGGTGGTACACACCTGTAGTCCCAGGTACTTGGGAGGCTGAGGAAGGAGAACCGCTGGAACCCAGGAGGTGGAGGCTACAGTGAACCAAGATCGTGCCATTTGACTCCAGCCTGGGTGACAGAGCAAGACTGCATCTCAAAAAAAAAAAAAAGAAAGAAAGAAAGAAAGAAAGAAAGAAAGAAAGAAAGAAAGAAAGAAAGAAAGAAAGAAAGAATTTGATTACCTTCCGAATTCTATTATAACCTTTTTTGTCTGGCTACTTTAAGATTTTTTTCTTTGACTTTGGTTTTCTTCAGTTTTATTAAGATGTGTGGAAGTATGTTTTATTTATTCAGGTAGCGATTTATTCTATTAGATTTGATTTGTGGATTTGAGCGTTTTATCAATTCTAGAAAATAATTAACTATTATCACTTCAAGTATTGCCTCTATTCTATTCTCTTTTCTGGGATTCAACTAAACTTATTCTGTCTTCTATATATCTTATCCTTTCTTCTCTGTTTTCCATTATCTCATTTCTTCATGTCACATTCTGCTTAATTTCTTCTGGATAATTTCCTACTCACTAATTCTCTCTTTAATTGCTTCCAATCTGCTGTTACGCCCATTCATTACTGAACTTTTAATTTTCAGTTATTGTATTTTTCATTTGTACAAGTTCTTTTTGCTTCCTTTTAAAATCTGCTGTGTTTCAAAGTCATTGAAAGAGAAGGAAAAAAAATCTGCTATATTGCTCTTGAAAGTTTCCTGCAGATATTTCCTAGCTTCTTCTATATTTCCTTAAGCATGCTAATTATATTTTTGGTGGGTTTTATTTTTTTGTGTGTCAGTGGGAGAGTCCCTCTCTGACTATTCCAGCAGTCCAAGCATTTGTAGGTCTGATTCTCTTGCCTGTTCTTTCTCCTGGTTCTCCTCACAGTACCTTATTTTCTTCTGGTGTCAGGTTACCTTTCATTGTGTGCTGCTCATTGCACTAAAAATATATTTATAGTAATCATTTCAGGTCCAGGATGACACTACCTTGCTCCAAAAACGATTTTGCTTGCCTCTGCAGGGTGCCTAGAGGCTCCCATTAATATTGGTAATATCACCCTCTCACCTTCCAGATTTTAGGAACAATATCACAGAAGGGGTGTACACTGCCTGCGATACTGGGAGTAATAGCATTCTCTTCTTCCATGAATATGAGGAGCAATATCACCGGGTGGATGTACACCCACTGCTATACTGGGAGTAACGTCATACTCCACCCCCTGGAGATTATATTCGGATAAATATCACCGGGTGGGTGTACACCTACTGTGATATTGAACGGAATATCATGCTCTCTCCCTCCCTGGACATTAGGAACAATATCACAGGTGGGTGTACACCCACTGAGGTATTAGGCGTAATATTAGTATTCATTATTACTCATTTATTATTCATATGAATATGAATTACCAATATTAATATTTAGAAATAATTGCTACTAAAAAGTTTTCAGGTTACTAATATTAATATTATTAGGAGCTAATATTACTGTATTCTAATGAATAAGATCAGTATCAGTTATTAATATGGGGTGTTATTAATCAATATCAATCATTTATTGTTATTGTTAGTATAACTATTTAATATTCATTATCATTATTATCGGCATTGATTTTAAAATTATATTATCAGTTATTAATACTGATAATTATAATTAATACCAATAAATACTAATAATTATTAGTAGTAATTAACAATTGATACTATTAATTGATATTAATTCATAATTGATATTAATTCCGATAAGTAATATTGCGCCATTCCACACAGTATCGCAGAAAACGTACACGCCCCCTGTGATGTTGTTCCTAACAGCCAGGGGTAGACGATGCCATTACGCCAAATAACGCACCGGGTGGGCATCCCTTCTGTGATCTTGTAGCTAATATCCGGGCGCGGAGAGGACGGTATTAATCCCAATAATCCAGAACGTGTAGACCTCCCCTGTGTTATTGTCCCTAATATCCGAAGGTGGAGAGGAAGATATACCTCCCAATTTCTCAGGGGTTGTACACCAACCCTGTGACATTGCTCCTAATGTCCAGGGGTAGAGAAAATGACATGACTCACAATATGGCAGGGGGTGAACACCCCCTTCATGATATTGTTCCTAATATTCAGGGGGGAAGAGTATGATATTCCTCCCAATATCACAGGGGGTGTACTCCCCATATCCCAGAGGGTGGATAGTATCCCGATTTGTGATAGACTCCTCCACGATGCGGGGAGTAATGTCATCCCCCTCTCCTTCCCTTGCTATTACGATATACATCGCAGCGGGGCGGGCAACCCCCACGATGCGGGGAGAAATATGACCCCCCCCACCACTGATATGACGAGCCACATCGCAGGGGGGTGGACACTCCCAGTGATGCGGGGAGTCATATCTATCCCCTTTCCCCATGGATATTAGGAGCCACATCGCAGGGGCGTGGACACTCTCCGCTGATGCGCAGAGTAATTTCAATCCCCGTCCCTCCCTTCATGTTACCAGCCACTGTGGACACACAGTGTATTTACCATATTTCCAGTAAGATCATCTTTTCCATTGAACCTTATGAACAAGATCACAGAGGGGTGTACACCTCCTGCGATATTGGGGGTAATATCATTCTCTCCTCCACTGCATACTGGGAACAATATCACCGGTGCTTGTATTCCCCCTTCCATCTTGGGAGTCATATCATACTTGTCTTCCATATATTAAGAACAATAGCAAAGGGGGGGTGGACACTTTGACGATATTGGGAGTAACACCATTCTCTCTACCCCTGGATATTAGTAGCAATATCACAGGGGGATGTGCATTTCTTGTGATATTGAGAGCAGTATTATTGTCTTCCCCGCTGGATATTAAAAACAATACCACAAGGGGCGTCAAACCACCTGCCAAATTTGAGCGAGTGTTATCCTCTCCGCCCCCCTCCGCCCCCGGATATGAGAGACAATAACACAGGGGTAATGTACACCCACAGCTTTATTAGGAGAAGTGTCATCCTCTCCTCTCTTGGATATTAGGAACAATATCACAGCGGGGGGTGTACTGCCTCTGCGATATTGGGAGTAAAATTATCCTCTCTTCCCCTGGATGTGAGGAAGTGTATCAGAGGGGGAGGGTTAACATTCCCTGCGATATTCAATGTAATCTTATGCTCTCCCTCCCAGGGTATTAAGAACAATATTACAGGAGGGGTGTACACCCTCTGTGATATTGAGAGTCATATCATCCTCTTTTGCTCTGGACATTAGGAACAATATCACAGGGCTGTGTACACCCCCTGCGATATTGGGAGTAATATCATCCTGTCGACCTGAGGAGAGAAGCCATTTCTCTGCTGTCTCCTGTATCTGAAGAGAAGGAGGAAGTAAAAGTTGAAAAACAACAGGAATGAAGTCGGTGGCAAGACCAGCCGGTGGCACTGATGAGCCGGCCTGAGGTGAAAAGATTAACCACCCCCACTCTAAGCGCATGTGCTCTCAATCCATCACGATTCTTTCACGTGGAACCCCTTAGAGTTGTAAGCCCTTAAACGGGCCAGGAACTCTGTCTTCCTTTGGGGGTCGGGCTCTTAAGACAAGAGTCTGCCGACACTCCCGGCTGAATAAAAAAATCTCTTCCTCCTTCAATCCACTGTTTGAGGGGCTTAAAATCTCTTCCTTCTTCAATCCACTGTCTGAGGGGCTTATTCTGCAGCTCCTCCTGCTCCATTTCTTGGTTCACATGACTGGGAATCCAACCCAGGCAGCGGCACTGAGAGCGGCAAAGCCTAACCACTAGACTACCAGGGGGACCTAGAACCTTGTGGGAAATAGATTGCTCACAATTAGAAGTGGGTTGGCCATACGAAGGAAGCCTGGACATGTCCCTTGTTTTTAAGGTGTGGCACGAGGTAACTGGTAAAGGATACCTAGACCAGTTTGCATACATAGACACTTGGTGACAGCTGGTGCTAGACCCCCCACAGTGGCTAAGAGGGCAGGCAGCAGCAATACTAGTACCAAAGGGACAGATGGCTAAGGAAGGATCCTGCTCCACCCACCCAGAGAAATCAGCTGCTGAAGTTCTGCTCCAGCCAGCATCAGAAGATCCATTGCAGGAGATGGCACCAGAGATCCCAGTGGTGCCCTCCCCTTACCGGGAAAAGAGGCTCCCCACTCTTGAGCCATCAGTGCTTGCGCCTCTGTAAGACAAGCATATCCCCAGGCCACCCAGAGTAGACAAGAGAGGAGGCGAGGACTCAGGAGAAACCCCTCCCTTGGCAGCTCGTTTAAGACCCAAAATGGGGATCCAAATGCCCCTGAGAGAGCAGTGGTATACAGGGATAGATGAGGATGGTCATCTGGTGGGGAGGTGTGTTTTTGGGTACCAGCCCTTCACCTCTGCCCACCTTCTCAACTGGAAAAATAATACCCCGCCCTATACTGAAAAACCACAAGCTCTAATTGATTTACTCCAAACTAATATCCGGACCCACAACCCCACCTGGGCTGATTGCCACCAGTTGCTCATGTTCCTCTTTAACAGAGATGAAAGGTGGAGAGTGCTCCAAGCAGCAACTAAGTGGCTAGAGGAACACGCACCAGCTGATTATCAAAACCCCCAAGAGTATGGAAGGACCCAGTTACCAGGAACTGACCCCCAGGGGGACCCACATGAAAGAGAGGATATGCAAAGGCTAAACCAAGACAGAGAAGCTCTCTTGGAAGGATTACAGAGGGGAGCTCAGAAGGCCACAAACGTTAACAAGCTCTCTGAGGTCATTCAGGGAAAAGAAGAAAGTCCAGCACAATTCTATGAGAGACTGTGTGAGGCCTATGGTATGTGTACTCCCTTTGATCCCAATAGCCCTGAAAATCAGCGCATGATTAGCATGGCTTTAGTCAGTCAAAGCGCAGAAGACATTAGAAGAAAACTGCAGAAACAGGCTGGGCTTGCAGGGATGAATACATCGCAATGATTAGAAATAGCTAACCAGGTGTTTGTAAACAGGGAAGCAGTAAGCCGTAAGGAAAACAGCAAAGAGAATGAACGTCAGGCCTGGATAAATGCCAACCTGTTTGTTAGCTGCAGTAATCAGAGGGGTCACCACAAAGGGCAAGGGAAGGGGGGCCCCGGGAAAGAAACTCAGCTTGGCTGTCAGAGTTTGCAACGTAACCAGTGTGCTGATTGTAAAGAAATAGGACAGTGGAAGAACAAATGCCCTCAGCTAAAAAGAAAACCAGGTGACTCAGAGCAGGAGGCCCTGGACAAGGAGGAAGGGGCCCTGGTCAACCTGGCAGAAGTGTTTCTGGACTGAGGGAGACCGGGCTCAAGTGTCCCCAAAAAGCCTCTGGTCAGAATGACAGTCGGGGGTAGAGACATTGATTTTCTTGTAGATACCGGTGCTGAACATTCGGTAGTAACTACCCCGGTCGCCCCCTTATCCAAAAAGGCTATTGACATCATCGGAGCCACGGGGGTTTCAGCAAAGCAAGCTTTCTGCTTGCCTCGGACTTGTGCTGTAGGAGGACATAATGTGATTCAGCAGTTTTTGTCCACGCCTGACTGTCCCTTGCGCTGGTTGGGAAGAGACTTGCTTAGCAAGCTGAGAGCCACTATCTATTTTACAGATCACGGCTCTTTGCTGCTAAAGTTACCTGGAATGGGAGCCATTATGACCCTTACGGTCCCCTGAGAGGAGGAATGGAGACTTTTCTTAACTGAGCCGTGCCAAGAGTGAAGACCAGCTCTGGCTAAGTGGTGGCCAAGAGTACGGGCGGGACACAACCCTCCAGGGTTGGCAGTCACCCCAGCCCACATATTCATAGAAGTGAATCCTGGGGCCCAGCCGGTTATGCAAAAACAGGAGCGGGTCCCCAGAGAAGCCCTTCAAGGTATCCAGGTCCATCTCAAGCACCTAAGAACTTTTGGAATTAGAGTTCCTTGTCAGTCTCCATGGAACACTCCCCAGGTATCAGTGCTCCCTCAAGCACCTGATCTTGTACTTCTTCTAAAGAAGAAGAGGACTTTCTCCAGGTAGAGGGAAGGACAAGTGATGGAGGAAGGATGGATTCGGTTACCAGATGGGAGAGTAGCTGTGCCACAGCTGCTAGGAGCTGCAGTTGTACTGGCTGTGCAAGAAACCACCCATCGAGGTGAGGAGTTACTGGAAAAGTTGTTAGGCCGGTATTTCTACATCTCGCCTTTGTCAGCCCTTGCCAAAATGGTGAGGCAGCGGTGTGTTACCTGCTGACAGCAAGATGGGAGTCAAGGTCCAGCCGTTCCGCCCAGCATACGAGCTTATGGAGCAGCCCCCTTTGAAGGTCTCCAGGTGGACTTCACAGAGATGCCAAAGTGTGGAGGTAACAAGTATTTACGAGTTCTTGGGCGTACCTACTCTGGGTGGGTGGAGGTCTATCCAACATGAACTGAGAAAGCTAGTGAAGTAACCCCTGTGCTTCTTCGAGATGTGATTCCTAGATTTTGACTGCCGTTACGGATCGGCTTAGATAACGGGCCTGCGTTTTTGGCTGCCTTGGTACAGAAGACGGCAAAGGTATTGGGGATCACATGGAATTTGCATGACGCCTCCCGGCCTCAGAGTTCCAGAAAGGTGGAGCGGATGAATCGGACGATCAAAAATAGTGCTATTGTCTTCCCCAGTGGATATTTGAAACAACACCACAAGGGGCGTCAAACCACCTGCTAAATTTGAGGGAATGTTATCCTCTCCCCACATCCCCCGGCCCCGGATATTAGAGACAATAACACAGGGGTGATGTACACCCACTGCTTTATTGGCAGTAATATCATCCTCTCCCTTCTTGGATATTAGGAACAATATCACACTGTGCGTGTAGGCGTGTCGCGAAATTCAATGGAATGTCATCCTGCGCCTCCCTGGATATGACGAACAATATCACGGGGGATGTACAATTTCTGAGATATTGGGAGTGATATCATCCTCTCCCCTCTGGAAGTTAGGGACAATATCACAGGGGTAGTGTACACCCTCTGGGATGTTGGGACTAATATCATCCTCCTGCCCACTGGATATTAAAAACCATATCACAAGGGGCGTGTACACACACTTCGATATTGGTATGAATACCATCCTCTCCCTCTTTGGATATTCGGTGCCATATTTCAGGTGGGGTATACACCACCTGATTTTGGTGTATACACCAATACACCACCAATATTGGAAGTAATATGATTTTCTCCCTGTTGGATATCAGAAACAATATCACAGGGGGTTGTGAACAACCCCTGCGATATTTGGAGTAATATCATCGTCTCCCTTCATGATTATTAAGAACAATATCGTAGGCGTGGGGGGTGTACACCCCCTTTCATACTGGATATCGTCCTCTTCCCCCCTGGATATTAGGAACAATATCAGGAAGGGATGTACAGACCTGGCGACCTTTGCTGTCATAGAATTGTCTCTCCCCTAGATATTAGGAAAAATGTCACTGGGGATGTGAACAGCCCTGTGATATTGAGAGTAGTATCATCCTCTCCTCCCTTGCATATTGGGAACAACATCACAGGTGGGGTGTACTGCCTCTGTGATATTGGGAGTAAAATTTTCCTCTCTTCCCCTGGACATTAGGAAGGGTATCAGAGGGGGAGGGTGTACATTCCCTGTGATATTCAACGTAACCATGTCCTCTCCCTCCCAGGGTATTCAGAACAATATTACAGGAGGGGTGTACACCCTCTGCGATATTGAGAGTCATATCATCCTCTTTCGCTCTGGATGTTAGGAACAATATCACAGGGTTGTGTACACCCCCTGTGATATTGGGAGTCATATCATCCTCTCTCCCTGTGGATATTAGGAAGAGTATCACAGGGCTGTGGAAACCCCCTGCGGTACTGGGAGTAATATCATCCTCTCTCCTTCTGAATATAAGAAGATTTTCACAGGGGTGTGTACACCCTCTGCGATATTGGGAGTAAGATCATCCTCTCCACCCAGGAAATGACTAACAAGGTCATGGGGGTGTGTACTCCCCCTGCGATATTGGGAGTAATGTCGTCTTCCCCAAACCTGGATGTTAGCAACGAGATCACAGAGGGGCTGTACACACCCTGCGACATTGGAAGTAATATGATCCTCTCCCCACCTGGATACAGGGAAAGATACCACAGCGCGGTGATACGTTTCCTACGCTGTTGGGAGTAATATCATTCTTTTCCTTTCTGGATATTAGGAAGAATATCACAGGGGTGCTGTACAATTACTTCGATATTGGGAGTAATATCATCCTCTATTTTCCTGGATATTGGGCACGAAAACACAAAAGGGTGTACAACCCCTGCGATATTGGGAGTAATAGCACACTCTCCTTCCCTGGATGTTAGAAAACAATATCATCAGGGCTGAACACCCGCCGCGATAATGGGAGTCATATTTACTCTTTCACAGGCCATTTGGAACCATATCACAGGGGGTGTTTACAAACAGGGGTGGTGTACACCCCCTGTGATATTGGGAGTAACATCATTCTCTCCACCTCCGGATATTAAGAACAATATCCCGGCGGGAGGTGCTACACCGCCAGTGATATTGCGAATAATGTCATCCTCTCCTTCCCTGGATATTAGGAGCAATATCACAGGGGGGATGTACACCTTCTGTGATATTGGAAGCAATATCATCCTCTCCCCCGCTGGATATTAGAAAAGAATATCACTCACTGTGTACACCCACTGTGATATTAGGAAGAATATTGCAGGGTGTACACCCACTCTGACTTTAAGAGAAATAGTTCCCTCAAATGTCCCAAACAATATCACAGGTTATACAAGGATATTTCCCTAGGATATTACAAATACTATCACAGGGTGTACATGCACTGTAATATGAGGAATCGTATCTCCCTAGGTGATATTAGGAGTAATATCTACCTAGTAGATAACAAATAACATGGCAGGGTGTACACCCACTTTGATATTGGCTGTAATATTTTTCTAAGTTGTTACAAATAAGATCACCGGGGGTACCAACATGGTGTACACTCACTGTGATATCAGGAGTCGTATCTCTGTAATATATTATGAATAATATCACAGGGTGTACACCCACTGTATTATTAGGAGTAAGATCTCTGTAGGATATTACAATTAAGATCACAGGGTGAAGAGCCACCGTGATATTAGGAGAAATATCTTTCTAGGATATTACAAATAATATCACAGGGTGTACGCCCACTCTACTGTCAGGAGCAATATCTCCCTAAGATATCAAAAATCCTATCACAGGGTGTCCAATCTCTGCCTTCCAGGTTCTAAGGGATTCTCCTGCTTCAGCCTCCCGAGTAGCTAGGGTTAACGCCACCATGCCTGGCTAATTTTTTTTTTTATTTTCACTGGAGACGGGGTTTCACCACGTTGGCCAGGCTGGTCTGGAACTCCTGACCTCAGGTGATCCATCAGCCTCGGCCGCCCAAAGTGCTGGGATTACAGGTGTGAGACATGGTGCTGGGCCAGGAATTATAGATTCTGTTCATTTGGAAACACAGCTTCCATCTTTCAGTGTGCATGTACTTTTATGAAGAAATGATGTCAGAAAACCGAAGGATGATAATACATATGAAAAGTAACAGGCGTGTGAAAAGGTCTTCCGATTGAGAACTGTAAGGTTCGATTTCATTTTCAGATAATGGGGTCCTAGCTCTTGTGTCGTCCTTTTACATATTCTACATCAATGGAAGTTGTAGCACGGTGTCAGAATAAAATAGAGTGTATTTCATGGCTTCTTAATTTCTTTCAATTAGACTGAGATATTTTTCTTAAAGAGAGAAGGAC